>NC_000001.11:63190198-63493228 GCF_000001405.40 Homo sapiens | reverse complement strand
CCAGGCTGGTCTCCTACTCGGCCTCAAGTGATTTACCCACCTTGGCCTCCCAAAGTGCTGGGATTACAGGCATGAGCTGCCAGCAGTTGTAAATTATTATAGAAGTGGTTGTGACATCTATTTTCTTGCGCGCGCGCGCGTGTGTGTGTGTGTGTGTGGTGTGATCCACAGCTCACTACAGCCTCAACTTCCTGGGTTTAAGTGATCTTCCCACCTCAGCCTCCAGAGTAGCTGGGACCACAGGCATGCACCACTATGCCCAGCTAATTTTTTGGTACTTTTTGTGGAGACGGGGTTTTGTCATGTTGCTCAGGCTGGTTTCAAACTCCTGAGCTCAAGCAATCCTCCCACCTTGGCTTCCCAAAGTGCTGGGATAACAGGCATGAAATGCCCTGCCCAGCTGACATCGCTCTCTTTCTTTCTTTCTTTTTGTTTTTTGTTTTGTTTTGTTTTTTTTTATTTTGTTACATCCTGAGTCCTTGCTTTTTTCTAGCCAAATCTAGCCCTCTTACTCTTTCTTCCTGTTTTTCTAAAGGGCTCATAGGTAGCACTCATCCTTGCTGAATGGAAGGATTGCTGACTTCTCAGTTAGTAGCTCAGTCTTCTCTCAAATCCCAGTATTCTTAATTCTTCCTTTTGTGGGAGACTAATGAGTAGGCCAAGATCTTCAAAGTTTGGGAGTTGGCAGAATGGAAATTCTCAGATGGATTCTAGGATTACTTTTAAACCTCTTCAGAGATTAAAAGTTAGAGGAACTTGGTACAACCTTGAGGGAAAGAAAACTTAGGGAAGTAGGGTTATGCCTTTGTGTGTACCAGTAGGGAAGATAAACAAAAGTGCATATTTACTGAAGAATATTTAGTGGTATAGTAGGGAAAGGGTAGCTTTTCAATTTTCCTTCTGTGTATAGTAGTTGTAGATAGACATTTTTCTTTTTAACCAACACAAATGACCAAAAAAATAAAAAAAGAGAGAAGCCTCAGTATTTTTAAAGTGAGGCAAAAATACACACACACACACACACACACACACACACACAGAGCACATGCACACTCACAGAGTTATTTTCTGAAAGCTGGAAAATTGTTTCCAAGGAGAAATGTATGATCTACAGTTAAAATGTTTAGACATATGGCAATTGGATAAAATAATTTTTTGGTGAAAATAGAAAAACAGATAGATATAGATGTACATTAGGGTAGTGACTTTCATTCCTTGTACATACACAGTGAAGTAGTTCTGGGCAATAAATTCTTGGAAAAGTAGAGTAGGGATTGGATAAATGTCATAGTTTATGACTGAATACATACAAACAGGTAAAAACTCAAGATGGAGAGGTAATAATAACCACCCGATAAAGAGACTTAAAACCCTTTCACTGTACAAAAAAAAAGATTGCTTTAGAGTTATAACTTGATATTATAGTTTGATTTTTTAAAAGATATTCATCGCATTTGTGGCCACTATGGATACATAAAATAAACAATGCCTTTCATTTCTCAATATAATTAAATATTGTTTCCTAATATTTAAAATCTTAACTGTAAAAAAATTTTTTTTGAATGCTATAGATTCTGGAACTAATATTAAGATTACTAAAAAAGATGACACAGCCACTATTTCTTCCATAGGTCTCTTAAAAATAAAGGATAGTTGACCAGGCAGAGTTAAGGAACTATTTCAAATCCTCTACCAAGCTATATCCAGTATGTTGGCAATGTATGAGCCATCAGACCTTTCCTATATCCCCCAGATCCATCCTATGCTGTCTGTTCCACCTCTTATTTCAGATTTCTCATGCCTTTTTCTGTGACAGACTACTGCAGCCAACTTTGAATTTTTCCTCTTCTCTGAATTTCGTAGCATGCATACTAATTTAAAACCTCTTTGTTGTTCTTCTAACTTTTGGTAGATACTCCTTAAGGCCAGAGCAATTTGTTATATTTCTTTGTACACATTAGTACACATTTAGCAGTGCTGGTGGGTGATCAGTAAGCTTATGGAAAGCAAGTTTTAAGGGAATTCAGGAAAGGGAACAATTAATAGTATGATAATGGATGTTTGAAGGAAGGGGATCATGAATGAGGACCTAAACTAAGGAAAGTCTAGGTCTTGGGGAAGATAAAAAAGAGGATGTTCCAAGCTGAGATCACAAAATGATCTGAGGCCCAAATGCACATAGCCTAGTGACTGAAGCTGTAGGTAACAGTGAATAATAATTGGATGTATGAACCAGTGAACAAATTAGTATATTCTGAGTAGAGCAAGATGGCCAAATTTACTGGACTGTTCCTTGTAAGTCATTCGTTCCTCACACATTTTTTAGTTCTCTAGGATATAAAGATGAAAAGATAATATTTATTTTCAGGAGCAAATTCTAATGGAACAGACAGAACTTATTAAAATATGTTACCTGAAATAAGAGGTATGCCCAACACCTATGGAAACACAAAGGAGGAAGCTGCTAAGAGGAAATTTGTAAGACAGGCCAAATCCTCAAAGGCCTTAAATGCCTGACTCAACTGTTTGGACATTATTTTGGTGATTATTGAAGCAAGATGCTACATCAGACCACTTTGTGAAGCTGTAGGACAGCAGTGATCCTTCCTAAGGTTTCTGTGTGAGGCTTAGTAATAGGCACCTCTGAGAGTTTTCCTGCCCTGGCCCCATAATTATACTTCAAGTTCAGCTGAAAGCAAAAGTCAGGGTATGGTTGGGAGAGTTGGCCATCTCTAACCTGTTTGGAAATACCATCTCAGAAGGTAGTAACCCTTTAATGCTAAAATTTAGTAAATATCAAATTGAGATGTTCTAGTTATTATAGAGACCTGAAATATCTACCTTGAAAGAATAGTGTTTACTTTGAGAGTGATAGTTGAGTATATTTGTAATCTGAAAAGCAAGAGCAAGGAAACAAGTTTGAATTTTGCTGATTTTTTAATGGTATATAATTTCAAAGATCTATAACTAAACATAGCTATTTCTGTCCTTAATTATTATTTATTTCCAGTCATTTGATCCTTCAAAAATCACAAGGAAGAAAAGTGTTATAACTTATTCTCCAACAACTGGAACTTGTCAAATGAGTCTATTTGCTTCTCCCACAAGTTCTGAAGAGCAAAAGCACAGAAATGGACTATCAAATGGTTAGTTGAACATTCTTTTCTACTTATTGTAAGGTTTTTCTAGTTATTGGCCAAATCAAAATTGTGATTTAATTATGTATGGATCTTGCTACAGCTGATTTTTCTCTTCTCTCAAATAATTTAATACCTTAATATAGGTATTACTTTGGACATAAATGTAAACTTTTGGCACTTATTTTAAAATGCAACTGCAGGCTTTGTTCCCTTACTATCCCATCCATTAAATAGAAATTATGGCCTGACTTGCCTTCAGCTACTATCAATTATAATGGTTACAGATATGCCCCTTAACAAGCTATCCATCATGTGCATAAATTAAAGGGAGCATAATTCAGGTGCTGCTGCACTACAACTTAAGAGTGATACTTCTAAATGTTATTTTTATCCATGGTTTCCATTGAGTTTTACCCACATTTAGTATATCTTTATATAGCTTATCTTTATTTATTATATTTCATTCCCTTCTTTTTCTTGACTATTTCAAATGTATTTACAAAAGGTTTGTAGAATTTTTCCATAGAGAAAAATCTAATTTTAATATGAAATTCTTTATTTTAAAATATTATTAGTTTAATTTTAATTTTGACCATACATATTTGTTGTCCTCTGGTAGTTCATTGCTAAAATATTGATTTAAAAACACAAATCTCGATTCCGTGGGGTTTTTTTTTTTTGAGAAAGGTTATGAATCAGTGACATGTAGTTTTATAATTAAAATTTTAAATAGGCTCAAATTTAATAGTGTATCCTTTAGATATACTGTGATTAGCCTAATTCACATTTTATTGTTTAACATTTAATGAGTGCTAAGCATATACTAGAAGCTACCCAGAAAAAAGAAGTCTCATTTTACCTGATTTGTTATAATGTAACACATAATGAGATCTTAAAGTTTTGAATGTCTTTAATTTTACTTTAATCAAATGCTTTTTATCCTAAAGCTGTTACTATTAGGTTCTCTTTCCCTAAAATGTATGAAAATGTATACACTTTAAGTTTCATAGTTCTATTTTTATATGCATGATATATCTTTTTAATTAAAAATAAATGCCTTAGAGATTGTACATCCCTATACTGAAATGTGAATAGATTTTAAGTTGATATGTACTCAATTTCCATATTGAAATTAAGTATGGACTTAAGGGGACATTCCTTTTGCCCATAAAAAGATTGGTCACATGATTTCAGTTGGCATTTAAGTAGATAATTATCACAGATTATAGTCCTAAGTAAGCTCTTTTTTAAAAAGTCAGATAGCAAGGGTTTCAGAGGTGCTGGCAATGTTCTGTTTTTTGACCTACATAGTGGTTACACTGATTCACTCTAGTTATTCATCAGACTGCACATACATGTTTCATATGTGCTGTAATATATATATCTCACATATAGAAGTCTCGAAACAGAATTTTGTCCAGAATTCTGTATGAGATTATGTCATTTGTAATCATTACATTGCTTATCCTAATATGTCATCTTGTACATGTTTTAAAAATAAAAAAGCTTGATTTTTAGGAAGTAACTTAAGTTCAAAATAAATGAGAAAATATGACGTATGAAGTCATTTAAATTCTAAATGAGGTCATAATCTCTTAACAACTCCCACTTTTAAAATATTATACAAAACATAATATAAAATTTAAATTACATTTTCAAGGACATTTTTGGTGTTACTCACTTCCCATCACACTTATGATAAGATCCAAAACCCTTATCATGACATGGAAGGCCATATATCCATCTAACACCCAAACACCTCATCTGCCTCATTTTCTACCCCTTTTTTACACTACTTTAGCCACTCTTACCTTCTTGCTATTTGTCAGTCATGCTGAGCCCCTTCTTGCCACAAGGTCTTGCAGTTCTCTCCACCTGGAATAATCTTCCTCCAGATATTTATATGTACTTTCTATGTACATTTGAACCATGTACTATGTGAACAGAAGACTTAATATTATATTTAAATCCATTTGTAGTTATAAAAGGATGAAAAATTTAGTTCTATGTCTTCCTTCTACTTAGATTCTACATTGGCCAAACATGGGATTTGTTTCAACTCTTTAGTTTATACATTTAACAGATGCGTTCATGCAGCACATAATAACATTTCAGTCAGTGACAGACTGTATACACATCAGGGGTCCCCCAAGATTATAATGGAGCTGAAAAATTCCTATTGCTTAGTTGCCCGGTAGCCGTCATAACATTGTAGCACAACACGTTACTCACATTTTTGTGGTGATGCCAGTGTAAACAAACCTAGCTCGCTGCTAGTCATATAAAAGTGTAGCATGTACAATTATATGTAGTACATGATATAGTCGTGTACTACATAATGATGTTTTGTTCAACAAATGACCACATACAATGATGGTCCTGTAAGATTATAATACCGTATTTTACTGTGCTTTTTTATGTTTAGATATGTTTAGATAAACAAATACTTACAATATGTTACAATTGCCTACAGTGTTCAGTACAGTAATATGCTGTACAGGTTTGTAGACTAGGAGCAATAGGCTATACACTAGGTGTGTGGTAGGTTATACAATGGAGGTTTGTATAAGCACACCTACGATGTTTGCACAACAATGAGATCACCTCATGATGCATTTCTCAGAATGTATGTCCATAGTTAAGTGACACATAACTCTATATGTATGTGTGTATGTTATGTATCATTTATGTATTTTTTAATTTGTATGTACATTATTTTGCTGCCCTCCTCCAACCCATAGCAAGTTTCTCCAGACTATTACAGTTGACCCTTGAACAACATGGGTTTGAACTGCACAGGTCCACTTACATGAAGATTATTTTCAAATAAACATACTGGAAAATTTTTTGGAGTTTTGTGACAATTTGTAAAACCCTGCAGACAAACTTTATAGACTGTAAATATAAAAAAAAAAGTTGGCTATGCCATGGATGCATAAAATATATGTAGCTACTAGTCTATCATTTACCATAAAACATACACAAATTTATTATAAAAAATAAAATTTATCAAAACTAATGCATACAAACACTTAGACCCTACACAGTCCCATTTGCAGCTGAGAGAAATGTAAATGAATATAAAGATGCAGTACTAAATCATAACTGCATAAAATTAACTCTAGTACATACTGTGCTACTGTAATAATTTCATAGCTACCTCCTGTTGCTATTGTAGTGAGCTCAAGTGTTGCAAGTATCTGCTTGACCATGTGATGCTGATAATCTCTGCACAAGTAATGTGTCTCTCAAGTAAATTGTGTATTGCAGTAAAAAATGATCTCATGGTTCTCGTATGTTTTTCATCATGTTTAGGGCTATGCTGGAAACCTTGACTAACACCATGAAACCCACATAAAGTGCCACTAGTGATGCTGGAAGTGCTCCCAATGAGCAGAGAAAAATCATGACATTACAAGAAAAAGATGAATTACTTGATATGTACTGTAGATTAAGGTCTGCAGCTGTAGTTCCTCACCATTTCTGACAGTTCATCTTGTAAACAGATGACAAGCTTATGGTATTAATACTTTACAATACTGTAAATATTTTATCTTCCTTATGATTTTCTTAATAACTTTTTTCTCTAGCTTTATTGTAAGAATACACAATATAATACATATAACACACGAAATATGTATTAATTGACTTTGTGGCATCTGGTCAACAGTAGGCTATTGGTAGTTAAGTTTTTGGGGAGTCAAGAGTTATACTTGGATTTTTGACTACATGGGGGATTTGGCACTCCTAACCCTCGAGTTCCTCAAGGGTCAGTTGTATGCATTTTAGAAAAGAAGAAAGAGAAAATTTTTCCCCTTTCCTCCCATGAACACTTCGGACTTGTTATTTAATAATGAAAGTAGAAGAATAAACAACAAATTTGCATAGTCGAAGAGAGTACTTGTTAACTGGACAATAGATCTGTAAAAATCACTCAGACTATAACAATATAATAGTACAGAGAGATAAAAGGAGAATGTGATAAAACAATAAAGTGAAATGATAGGCAGAATAAGACTCTCCAACATCTGCCAAATTGGAGTTCTACAAGGAGGAAATACAGAGAATGGTCCATAGGCAGTATTCTAAGATATAAGGACTATCAGTTTTTCATAATTAAGGAAAGATAAGAATTTGCAAATTAGAGTAGCATGCTAAGTCTGGGCAGGGTAAAGTAAAACAGATCCACATCTAGTTATATCATGATAAAACTGTATGTAGAACATCAAAGACAAAATTTTAAGGGCAACCAGAGAAAAGATAGTACCTACAAGAGAGTAACAGACTGATAAACTTATCTATATCAGTAGACTCCAGCAGAAAATGCAATAATAGTATCAATTAAGAATCACAGTTGAGTTTTTATCCAGGAAGTGAGGATGAAATACAATTTTTCAGACAAAGTCTCAGAGAGTTTGCCACTCACAGATTCTCTTAAAATAACTACAAAATAAGTTACTTCTCTAAGAGGTAAAGTGAACCTCAGATAAAGGAGTGGAATTGCAAAAAGCAATGATGAAAAAGTGAATTAGCAAACATGTTAATCTAATTACAAGTTTTGCTGACTATAAAGCAAAAGTCAAACAATTGGAGGGCGGGTGAAAAAAAAATTGGAGGGCAGGTTAAAAACAAACAATTGGAGGGCGGGTGAAAAAAAAAAGTCAAACAATTGGAGGGCGGGTGAAAAACTATCATGGAAGGTGAGGAGGCAACAGATAAGAGTTACGATGTTTTAGACAATATTTTAAGGTCCTCGTATTTTCAGGCAGACAAGATATCTATCAGTTGACTTCTTCATTGTATTTTTTGTTTTCTTGCCTGTAAAATGGGGAAGATAGTAATTCCTACCTCAGAATTGTGAGGATTAAATGAATTAATACACAGAAAGCACTTAGAATGGTACTTGACGTATATTAATAGTATATGTTCCATACATGTTCTAGCCATTTTCATTAATAGCATTATTAATTAGACTTTAAGAAAAGACATAAGACAATTAAATCTGAAGGAATAGAAAAAGAAAACAAAGCAAATACTAGCTTTTTAAAAAAAGCTAGTAGTTGATACAAAAATAGAAAGGCTGAAATAGACTTTATGCCTAAAAGGATTTATTGAAAATAATGAGGCTCTTTACATAAGAGATAGAGAAAGATTCACCACTACAAAAATAAAAGGATCCTGAGCCATATGTGCATCTAAAAAACTCAAAACATAATGAAATATGACAGGATAACAAGGGAGAAACTGATAAATCCACAATCATTGTAGGAGATTTTAAACTACCTCTTTCAGAAACTGATGAAGCGGTTAAAAAGGAAGGACATAGACAAGTTGTACACAATTAGCAAGTTTATCTAATGAGCTGTGGTCAAAAAGATATAATACCCATATAATAAAGCACATGTAGAATGTTCACAAAAATGTAACCAGCTTGGAGTTACAGAGGAAGTCTCACTGTACTAAAAATTACAGTCATACAGCTCACACTCTAAAATTTCATACAATTAGGAATCAATAATGAAAAGGCAGCCCTCCAAAAATTTTAACCTGTATGTTTGGAAACCAAGAAACTTCTAAATAATTCATTGATCAGAAAAATTATAATGGAAAGTATAAAATATTTAAAATTGAATGATAATGAAAACATGTCAGCACTTAGAGGAAAAATTTATACCTACATTATACTAAAGCAGTTCTTGGTGGAAGCTTTATACAGTCGTCCCTTCCTATCTGGGGGATTGGTTACTGGATCCCACTCAGTTTCCAAGATCCACAGACTCTCAAGTCCCTTGTAGAAAATAGTATAGTATTTGCATATAACCAATACACCCTCCTATATACTTTAAATTATCTCAGGATTACTTATATACCTAATACAATGTAAGTGCTATGGAAATAGTTGTTATACTGTATTGTTTAGGGAATTATGACAAGGAAAAGTCTGTATATGTTCAGTACAGATGCAACCATCCTTTTTTTAAACAAAGTATTTTTGATCCATGGTTGGTTGAATCCACAGATGTGGAATCCACTAATACAGAGGGCCAACTGTACTTACAAATGCATATACAGTCCTGTGTCACTTAACAATGGGGATACCTTCTGAGGAAAGCATTGTTTGGTGATTTTGTCATTGTATGAACATCATAGATTGTACTTACACAAACCTAGATGTCATAGCCTACTACACATTTATGCTATATGGTATAGCCTTTTGTTCCTAGGCTGCAAACCTATACAGTGGACTACTGAATACCATAGGCAATCAAAACATAATGGTATTGGTGTATTTAAACATATCTGAGTAGAAAAGGTACAGTAGAAATATGGTGTTTATAATCTTATGAGACCACTGTCATATATGTGGTTTGTCACTGACCAAAATGTTGTTATACTGCTCATGACTGTATTTAAAAAGGAAGAATGATTGAAAACTATTGAGTCAAGCATTCAACTCAGAATGACTGAAAAGGAACAACATAATGAACCCCCCAAAGTAGAAAGGAAATAATGATATGAAGATAAATTACAAATTGAAAACAGGGCAATAATAAAGAAAAGCAACAAATCAAAAGCTGGTTCTCAGAAAAGTCTAATGAAATGTTAGCCCTCTGGCAAGACTGATTTTTTTTCAAGTAGCAGAAGGAGCAAACAATATGTAAAAGAGCTGATAAACTAATATACTATCTCCTTAAACCTGTGATGAGCAATCTGAGGTGTGGGCCAAATGCTAAACATTTTTATTATTGTGAAAGAACTAGTCAAATATCTTACCTGTAAAATGTAGATCAATAATATTAATCTCAGTCTTTTCATGGAAGGGCTTATGCTTTTAAATACTTTTCAGCTTTTAAATATGACAAGGTTTAATATTTCTAAGAATAACACTTAAATCAGTTATCAGACTGTCAAGTACCCAGTCAACACAAAGTAATCTGAATGAAAGATGTAAAAACCTGTATTTTTGTTACTGCTTCCCAAATATTACTGTTTTAGTAGATTAAAAAGTGATTTCAATTTTCTCAGCGATAACCTTCTATTCAATAATGTAAGTAATATTTTAAGAATATTATTATATTTCTATCTATGGGACTTAATAAAGGTATTTTCATTTTGAGTGAAAAAGAACCATTGAGCTGGGCGCAGTGGCTCATGCCTGTAAATCCCAGCACTTTGGGGGGCTGAGGCGGGCAGATCACCTGAGGTCAGGAGTTTGAGATTAGCCTGGCCAACATGGCAAAACCCAGTCTCTACTAAAAATACAAAAATTAGCCAGGCGTGGTGGTGCACGCTTGCAGTCCCAGCTACTCGGAAGGCTGAGGCAAGAGAATCACTTGAACCCGGGAGGCGGAGGTTGCAGTGAGCAGAGATCGCACCACTGCTTTCCGGGCTGGGCTGGCAAAGTGAGACTCTGTCTCAAAAAAAAAAAAAAAAAAAAATTAACATTGTTATTTTTTGTGAGTTGATCCTCCAAAGAGGTTATTTACCCTCCACTCTATTAATATTAATTTGGTTTATTAAAAGAATAGCAGGACTGTATCAGTATCTCATTCACCTCTTTGCCTACAGGCCTCAACTTGATCTACATGCAAGTAACCTTTTTAGAAAGAAGTTACTAACTTTTGTTTGACCACCTTGAACAAATCACTTGAACCTCTGTGGATCAAGGTTTTTCCAACTCTTAACTTTTGGTTTGAGACCAAAATGATTGCCTATAGTATTTATCAACTATAAAGTATGGGTACCTAGAAGCAGCATGATACCAGCCTAAACCTGTTTGGGCTTTACATTAATCTTTTTTTTTTTTTTTTTTTTTTTGAGATGGAGTCACTCTGTCACCCAGGCTGGAGTGCAGTGGCGTGATCTCGGCTCACTGCAACCTCTGCCTCCCAGGTTCAAGTGATTCTCCTGTCTCAGCCTCCCAAGTAGCTGAGATTATAGGCACACACCACCAGGCGCGGGTAATTTTTTGTATTTTAGTAGAGACAGGGTTTCACGGTGTTGACCAGGCTGGTCTGAAACTCCTGAGCTCAGGCAATCCACCTGCCTCAGCCTCCCAAAGTGCTAGGATTACAGGCATGAGCCACCGCACCCAGCCTACATTAATCTATTAATAAGCATTGCATCATGGTTAAGAGCACAGTCTTCAGCTAAATGTCTGGGTTTCAATCCTCACTCACTAACTTTATGGGCTGGGATAAGTTTGTAACCATTCTGTACTTCTATTTTCTCATCTGTAAAATGGGAACAAGAGTGACTATATCAGAGTTGTGCAAGTTAATTAGATATCATATGTAACATATTTAAAGCAATGCCTGGCCCTAATTAATACCATGTGTTAGCCGTTGTCATCACTATTGATTGTGTTTCCAAGTATTAACAATTTGTTGAAAGCTATCTTCATTTGTTAGGGAAAGAGCTCCCTGGAGCCTTACCAGAAAGCTCAAATACAATTATGAATGTAGTTCAGATTCAGTGATGGTACATTTATCACCAATGTTTTGTGAAACTGCACTTGAAGAGAGTCAAATACACAAGTGTTTGGTCACTTTTACATATAATCTCACAAGAAAAATACCATATAGACTCTATAGTGCTTTTGTATATTTTCATTGTGCTTACTTTTTTTAATAGAATGGAATGAAATAAAGGAAAGTAATTATTAAGTAACTGGAAACCTCATTTACTACATTTACTACTCAATATGTTGTATTACTCAACAGTCTAGTAACTGATCTAAGTATTACTCTTAGAAATATTAAAACTCTTCATATTTAACAGCTGAAAATTATTTAAAATCATAAGTCCTTCCATGAGAAGACTGAGGTTAATACTATTGATCCACATTTTTACAGGGTGAGATATTTGACTAGTTCTCTTATAATAAAAATATTTAGAAAGGCATTGAATACCTAGTGAAAATTCAAATAACATTCTTTACTATTTATTACCTAACATTTTTTGCTATTAGTGCTGAAATGTGAAAATGAATTACAAGTTAAAGGAGCAAAGTAATTTTAATACTTAATTTTGGAGCCTTACTGAATGCAAACAGCATAGTACAAAATTCAGGAAACTAGTATTGACCTTTAGGCAAAGATTTTCTGAAATAAAGGTTTAAGGTACAATTTGGGTTTTCATTTGTGGTTTTCCACAAAACATTCATTTTCAGCTTTTTTTTAGAGACAGATTTTAATTTATTACTCCAAAACTCTCTAAAATCATAATATATTGTTATTCTTTTCCCCTTACATTCTTTACTAAATTTTTAACCATATTAATTTATTCTGTTTGGAACTTAAGGATAAAGACTTGTCAAATAAGGCATAGTTCATAAACAAGAGAAATAACTAGTGCTTTAACAAAATTTCTGTAAGTTTTTTCTCCTTTTGCATTAGAGACTATTTTGGGGTAACAATTTAATTGTGATAGGGTTTTTTTTGTTTTGTTTTTTTTGAGGAAGACATAGGTCCAAAGTAACAATGAGAGGAATTATTATTAATCAGTTTCTGAACCAGTGGACTCAATGAAATTGAGTTTCGTTTGACTGTTTTTCATTAGTGGTGAACAGTTTGGGTTATTCATTCATTTGCTTGTTCATTCATAAACATCAAAAGCCAGTATATTTAAGACACTGAAAATCTTAACTCTACTAATATGTGTCCTCAAATACTTGCTAATTATATATCAAATGTGTTTAAAGTACATAGTGTATATGGTAGTATAAAGTACTCTAGAACAAACAACTAAATAGCTCATAAAACAGTTATCTACTTGACCATTGATAAGTACAAACATTATGTTCTACTAGAGCTATAAAATCAAACAAACTTACATTTCAACCCAGTGGGCATATGAAGGATTATGACTTAGTTACATCCTATGTCTTCACGTGTGCATCTGTCAATTTGTGAAACTTGTAAAAGTTTAGATAAGCCATGACCTTGGATAACTACATGGCATTTTAAATGGAAGGTAACCATTTATTTATTTTATTGTTATCTTAAATAAATAATGAGTGATATACTTAGATCTTTCCAAGGATTTACTAAATAAATATGCATTTAAAGATTCAGGTCCTCAAAAAATTTAAATAAAACTACCATATGACCCAGCAATCCCACTACTGAGTATATATTCAAAGGATATTAAATCAGTATGTCAAAGAAATATCTGGACTCCCATGTTCATTGCACCATTATTCACAATAGCTTAGATACTGAATCAACCTAAGTGCCCATGAACACATGAATGGATAAAGAAAATATGGTATATATACTCAGTGGAATGCTCTTAACCTTTAAAAAGAGGGAAATCCTGCCACTTGGGACAACATGAATGAACCTGGAGAATATTATGTTAAGGGAAGTAAGCCAGGCACAGAAAGACACATACCACATGATCTCACTTATAAGTGGGATCTAAAAAAGTCAAAATCATAGAACAGAAAATAGAATGGTGACTACCAAGTTCTGCTGGTCGGGAGGGCCGAGTGATTGGGAACATGTTGACCAAATGATAAAAAATTTCAGCTAAACAGGAGGAACAAGTTCAATTATTGTATAATTGACTGTAATTAATAACAACATATTATATACTTGAAAATTGCTGAGAGAGTAGACTTTCAGTGTTCATACCATAAAAAATGATAAGCATGTAAGGTAATAGATATGTTAACTAGTTTGATTTAGCCATTTCACAATATATACATATTTCAGAACATGTTATACACTGTAAATATTGTGTCAGTTTAAAAATAAAATTAAAAGGTACTTTTACCCCTAAAATCAAATTTATTTTACAATGATATTACGAGGAACTTAACTATTTTCTGAGTATCGGTATCACCAATCCCTTGTTGTTAACTTGAGAAAAAAAATAAAGGTGGAATAATGCAAACTGGAAGCCTTTATATGATATCATTGATTAAAATATTTGATGAAAGTATCCTTTATCTAATAAAGTTTACTAATGCATTTTAACCTAATTATAGAATCATATTTGATTTCTCTTTAATATACCAACCTTCAGTGGAAATTTTATTCAAAAGATTATTTTTTCTTATATGGTATTGTGAGTAAGAAATTAGGAAAATGGGAAATGAAAAAAAACAAAATAGGATACTTTTTCTTTGCCCACCTCCCTTCCATTTGTCCTTTTTACTTTCTATTTAAAATTTGACAAACTAAATTCTATTTAAAATTTGATGATTTCTCCTTTAACTTTATGTCCTTTTCTTTATTACACATATATAGAAAAGAGAAAAAAATTGAATCACCCCAGTTTAACTGAAAGCAAAGAATCTACAACAAAAGACAATGATGAGTAAGTTTGTTATTTTTGAAATTATATATGTGTATCTTGCAGAAAGACGTTCATATTTGTTAAAGTGACCGTTTAAAAGCATTTATTTGTAGAAATTAATAGTTTATACCTGACCTGAAATATTCTTTCTTAAGTAAGTAGAATACCTTAGTTGTGATGTGGTTTGTGATGTTCTATAATGGTTATATATGATGCCTTAATTTTAATACTCATTGAGCCCTGTTCTCCGAGCCTATGCGTAATAGACCAGCGCAGGGTAAAACTGAGGAAGACACTTATTTCAGATTTACATGGATGGAGAAGTAATGCGTGGTTTAGGAACAAAGTGTCTTAACAAATAGCTGGTTCAGGATGGAGCTAGAAACAGTGAAGCCAGCAGAGTGAGAGATCTAGAGGAACCTGGAAGGCCTACATGCGAGCAACCAATCATTTTCAAATTGTCCTGCTGGTGGTTCCTTTGAATGAAGACATTATCTGCAGAAAGTCTACGTAGGAAAAATCTGGGAAGAATACAGATGGCTCTCCATGTCTGTGTATTACACATTTGTGGATTCAACCAATGACAAATTGAAAATATTTCGAGAAAAAAATGAATGGTTGCCTCTGTCCTGAACATATACAAACTTTTTTTTCTTGCCATTATTTCCTAAACCAATATAGTATAACAACTATTTATATAGCATTTACATTGTGTTAGGTATTATAAGTAATCTAGAGATGATTAAAGTATATGGGAGGATATGCATAGGTTATATGCAGATACACCATTTTATATAGGAGACTTGAGCCTCCATGGATTTTGGTATCTGCAGGAGTCCTGGAACCAATTCTCCACAGATATTGAGGGACAGCTGTATTTGTATCTTCTTCCTGGAAGGATTGAATTAAGCAGAACAGGGGTTAAATTTTCAAAGTAGTGCATATGTTTAGCTCATTTACCATTTCAGTGTATCTTCTATGTACCACACCAATGGACACTAAAGAGTAAAGAGAAGGAAAATGAAGTTTTCCCCATTGGGAGCTTATGATCTTTTTTTTTTTTTTCCCTGATTGTCTCACTCTGTTGCCCAGCCTGGAGCACAATGGTGTGATCGCCATTCAGTGCAGCCTTAACCTCCTGGGTTCAAGCAATCCTCCCACCTCAGCCTCCTGTGTAGCTGAGACTACAGGTCCACGCCACCACGCCCTACTAATTTTTGTGTATTTTTTCGGAGACGGAGTTTCGCCATGTTACCCAGGCTAGTATTGAACCCCTGGGCTCAAGCGACCCACTCGCCCAGGCCTCCCAAAGTGCTGGGATTACAGGTGTGAGATACTGCATGCAGCCTGGGAGCTTATGATCTTATGCTGTAAGTTAATATACCTTCCTCAATTTAGAAATGGGTTATGTTTACAAATGTTTTTGGAGTCATTTACATGGAACTCAGAATGCATTTTCCATGCAAATAGTGTTATAATCTGTGGCTACAGCCCCAAGTCAGGGCACAGATCTATTTATTTCATAATATAGCTGAACTATATAGTTTTGGTAGTAGTCCAGATTAAAAGATGTGGAAACTGAGTGCCATTTAAAATACTTTAGGGACAAAGAGAAGAGTTTTTCAAAGAAGCCTCATTGTTTGGCATCTCCTCCATCTGTCCTCTGTTTGCTTTTAGTAGCTGTTTTCCCTCGACATGCTGCTCCTCCAGCTCCAAATATTTGCGTGTTTCAGTCTTTTCTGCCCCACAAATATTTTTGTTGTAAATTATTTCTTCCTACTCCTAATCAAAGCTTTTGTTTCCTCAGTGAACTGATCTCAACTAGATATTAACAGGAAAGCATTCTTTTTTGTTTAACTTATTTAATGTTTTTTAACATAGGAAATATATGTACACAGGAAAAAGTTCAAATTATACAAAAGGATATACAGTGAAAGCAAGTAGCAAGTAAAAATTTAAAAATTACAGATAATCTTGTATTTGACAGCAGGTGCCTGCTAAACCAAATTAATTTCTGGTGCAGTTATATAAAATGTAAATAGGCAGCAAAGGAGGAAATGTTGTTGGACAAAAGTGATACCAGATAATCAAGCCTGTTGTTTTTCTCCCTGAATCAGGTCCACTTAAACTTAATAGTGTCTTTCCTTCTTTCTTCTTGTAAACCCATCAATTTATTTAGAGCTTAGACTTTTAAAACAATAGCTCCCATGGCAGTGGGCTTCAAGGAGCAAGGGAAGAGCAAGAATCATTGTTATGAGTCACATAGGAATTTGCCTATGTTTACTTAATTTATTAATTTCTCTCCATATTTGTTTCTAAAGATCTCTGTTATTTAAGTATATCACTCCATGAATTGGTGTTATAATTAGTGAGTTTAAGTAAGAGCTGAGACATTTTACAACATATAAAAATAATAGGCCGGGTGCCCATTATTATCTACTAAAAATACAAAAATTAGCTGGGCATGGTGGCAGGCGCCTGTGGTCCCAGCTACACAGGAGGCTGAGGCAGGAGAATCACTTGAACCTGGGATGGGGAGGTTGCAGTGAGTTGATATCGTGCCACTGTACTACAGCCTGGGTGACAGAGCAAGACTCTGTCTCAAAAAAAAAAAGTATTTCTATCAGGAGACTGAGGAAAGAAGATTGCTTGAGACCAAGAGTTCAGGGCTGTAGTACACTGTGATCCCTCCTGTAAATAGCTGCTGCACACCAGCCTAGGTAACACAGTGAGACCATCTCTTAAAAAAAAAAAGAAAATGATACGTTTCTTTTTTTTTTTTTTTTTGAGACAGTGTCTTGCTGTGTCACCCAGTCTGGAATGCAATGACACAATCTCATCTCACTGCAACCTCCGCCTCCTGGGCTCAAGCTGTTCTCCTGCCTCAGCCTCCCTAGTAGCTGGGATTACAGGCACCCGCTACCATGCACGGCTAATTTTTGTATTTTTAGTAGAGACCGGGTTCTGCCTTCTTGGCCAGACTAGTCTCGAACTCCTGACCTCAGGTGATCTGCCCGCCTCAGCCTCCTAAAGTGCTGGGATTACAGGCATGAGCCACCGCACCTGGCCAGGATGCATTTCTGATTGTTTTTTTCATTCATTAAAATAACTCAGTTCTAGCTAATAAAGCCATTTTTATCTTTAGTAATAGGTTCTTTATTCCATTTGTTTAGATTTCTTTTATTTTTTAAAACCACTGCATAAAGACTTGGATTTTTTGTTTTTCTTAAGAAACAGAGTCATGCTCTGTCACCCATGCTGAAGTGCAGTGGCACAATCATAGCCCACTATAACCTTAACCTGTTGGGCTCGAGTTATCCTCCCACCTCAGCCTCCTGAGTAGCTAGAAGTACAGGTATGTTACTACCCCTGGCTAATTCTTTTATTTTTTTGTAGAGATGTTTTCTTGCCATGTTGCCCAGGCTGAACTTGCACTCCTGGGCTAAAGCGATCCTCTTGCCTCAGCCTGAAGACTTGGATTTTGTAAATCTCAAATTAAATGGAATATTGCCAGGCATGGTGGTTCATGCCTGTAATCCTAGCTCTTTGGGAAGCTGAGGCAAGCAATTTGCTTGAGCCCAGGAGTTTGAGACCGGCCTGGGCAACATGGCCAGACCCTGTCTCTACAAAATTTTTTTTTAAATTAGGTGGGTGTGGTTGTGCACACCTGTGATCCCAGCTACTTGGGAGGCTGAGGTGGGAGGATCACTTGAGCCTAGGAGGTTGAGGGTGCAGTGAGCTGTGATAATGTCACTACTCTCCAGCCTAAGCGACCGGGTGAGACCTCATCTCAATCAATCAGTGAATCAATCAATAAACAACATTTCACATTTGTGGATCAGTTTTTGTTTTTGTTTTGTTTTGTTTTTATTTTATTTATTTATTTTTTTTTTTTATTGATCATTCTTGGGTGTTTCTCCCAGAGGGGGATTTGGCAGGGTCATAGGACAATAGTGGAGGGAAGGTCAGCAGATAAACAAGTGAACAAAGGTCTCTGGTTTTCCTAGGCAGAGGACCCTGCGGCCTTCCGCAGTGTTTGTGTCCCTGGGTACTTAAGATTAGGGAGTGGTGATGACTCTTAACGAGCATGCTGCCTTCAAGCATCTGTTTAACAAAGCACATCTCGCACCCTTAATCCATTTAACCCTGAGTGGACACAGCACATGTTTCAGAGAGCACAGGGTTGGGGATAAGGTCACAGATCAACAGGATCCCAAGGCAGAAGAATTTTTCTTAGTACAGAACAAAATGAAAAGTCTCCCATGTCTACTTCCATCCACACAGACCCGGCAACCATCCGATTTCTCAATTTCTTCCCCACCCTTCCCGCCTTTCTATTCCACAAAACCGCCATTGTCATCATGGCCCATCCCCAATGAGCCGCTGGGCACACCTCCCAGACGGGGTCGTGGCCGGGCAGAGGGGCTCCCCACTTCCCAGTAGGGGCGGCCGGGCAGAAGCGCCCCTCACCTCCCGGATGGGGCGGCTGGCCGGGCGGGGGGCTGACCCCCCCACCACCCTCCCGGACGGGGCGGCTGGCCAGGCAGAGGGGCTCCTCACTTCCCAGTAGGGGCGGCCGGGCAGAGGCGCCCCTCACCTCCTGGATAGGGCGGCTGGCCGGGCGGGGGGCTGACCCCCCCACCTCCCTCCCGGACGGGGCGGCTGGCCGGGCAGAGGGGTCCTCACTTCCCAGTAGGGGCGGCCGGGCAGAGGCGCCCCTCACCTCCCGGACGGGGCGGCCGGCCGGGCGGGTGGCTGATCCCCCCACCTCCCTCCCGGACGGGGCGGCTGGCCAGGTGGGGGGCTGATCCCCCCACCTCCCTCCCGGACGGGGCGGCTGGCCGGGCGGGGGGCTGACCCCCCCACCTCCCTCCCGGACGGGGTGGCTGGCCGGGCAGAGGGGTCCTCACTTCCCAGTAGGGGCGGCCGGGCAGAGGCGCCCCTCACCTCCCGGACGGGGCGGCCGGCCGGGCGGGGGGCTGACCCCCCCACCTCCCTCCCGGACGGGGCGGCTGGCCGGGCAGAGGGTCTCCTCACTTCCCAGTAGGGGCGGCCGGGCAGAGGCGCCCCTCACCTCCCGGACGGGGCGGCTGGCCAGGCAGGGGGCTGATCCCCCCACCTCCCTCCCGGACGGGGCGGCTGGCCGGGCGGGGGGCTGACCCCCCCACCTCCCTCCCGGACGGGGCGGCTGGCCGGGCAGGGGGCTGACCCCCCCTCCCCCCTCCCAGATGGGGCAGCTGGCCGGGCGGGGGGCTGACCCCCCACCTCCCTCCCGGACTGGGCGGCTGGCCGGGCGGGGGGCTGACCCCCCCACCTCCCTCCTGGACGGGGCGACTGGCCGGGCAGAGGGGCTCCTCACTTCCCAGTAGGGGCGGCCGGGCAGAGGAGCCCCTCACCTCCCGGACGGGGCGGCTGGCCGGGCGGGGGGCTGACCCCCCGCCACCTCCCTCCCGGACGGGGTGGCTGCCGGGCGGAGACGCTCCTCACTTCCCAGACGGGGTGGCTGCCGGACAGAGGGGCTCCTCACTTCTCAGACGGGGCGGTTGCCAGGCAGAGGGTTTCCTCACTTCTCAGACGGGGCGGCCGGGCAGAGACGCTCCTCACCTCCCAGACAGGGTTGCGGCCCAGCAGAGGCGGTCCTCACATCCCAGACAGGGCGGCAGGGCAGAGGTGCTCCCCACATCTCAGACGATGGGCGGCCGGGCAGAGACGCTCCTCACTTCCTAGATGGGATGGCGGTGGGGAAGAGGCGCTCCTCGCTTCCTAGATGGGATGGCGGCTGGGCAGAGACGCTCCTCACTTTCCAGACTGGGCAGCCAGGCAGAGGGGCTCCTCATATCCCAGATGATGGGCGGCCAGGCAGAGACGCTCCTCACTTCCCAGACGGGGTGGCGGCTGGGCAGAGGCTGCAATCTCGGCACTTTGGGAGGCCAAGGCAGGCGGCTGGGAGGTGGAGGTTGTAGCGAGCCGAGATCACGCCACTGCACTCCAGCCTGGGCACCATTGAGCACTGAGTGAACGAGACTCTGTCTGCAATCCCGGCGCCTCGGGAGGCCGAGGCTGGCGGATCACTCGCGGTTAGGAGCTGGAGACCAGCCCGGCCAACACAGCAAAACCCCGTCTCCACCAAAAAAAAAAAAACGAAAACCAATCAGGCGTGGCGGCGCGCGCCTGCAATCGCAGGCACTCGGCAGGCTGAGGCAGGAGAATCAGGCAGGGAGGTTGCAGTGAGCCGAGATGGCAGCAGTACCGTCCACCTTTGGCTCGGCATCAGAGGGAGACCATGGAAGGAGACCGTGGAGAGGAGAGAGGGGAGAGGGGAGAGGGGAGAGGGGAGAGGGAGAGGGAGAGGGTGGATCAGTTTTAAATGATCATAACATTTTATGTTTTGTTTTGGCAATATTCTTTTTTTTTTTTTTTGCAAAAATATCATAGCTAGGAGAGATACCAGAGACGAAGCAAGGCATCTGCTTCTAGAATAATTCCTGTAGCTTCAGTACCTTGATGGAGTCACTGTAGATTCAGTGTTTGGTCCTACACTATACAAATTTAGAAACTCACCATGAGATGTTGAAGCATAAGGAATTAATGAATACTAATCAGCCTTAGGACAAACCGAAAAATAATGGAAATGCCAATTTATTATGAGAACTTTATTGATATCAGTAGTTTTCTCAGGACAGCCTCTTCTGAAAGTCAGTCTGTTCAGATTTAAAAAAAAAAAAAAAGGTTATTCACTTTGGGAGGCTGAGGCGGGCGGATGACGAGGTCTAGGAGCTTGAGACCAGCCTGGCCAATATGGTGACACCCCATCCCTACTAAAAATACAAAAATTAGCCAGGCGTGGTGGCTTGCACCTGTAGTCCCAGCTACTCAGGAGGCTGAGGCAGAAGAATCCCTTGAACCCAGGAGGCGGAGCTTGCAGTGAGCCGAGATGGTGCCACTGCACTCCAGCCTGGGTGACAGAGTGAGACTCCATCTCAAAAAAAAAGAGTTATTTAAAGATATTCCACAATCTAAGAAGTAGAATTAAGGGAGTAAGAAGTTTTAACAGATACCTTCATTTAGCTGAATTAGTTGTATATATCCTTTTCTCTACAAAAGATAGCACTGTTATTTGTTATCAGCATGGGAAAAATTTTATCTGGACCCTTACCCTCACACCATGCACAAAAATCAATTCCAGGTGGATTGGAAGTCTGAATATGAAAGGTAAAAGAATAAAACTTTTAGGGGCTGGGCACGACGGCTTATGCCTGTAATCCCAGCACTTTGGGAGGCTGAGGTGGGCAGATCATGAGGTCAGGAGATAGAGACCATCCTGGCTAACACAATGAAACTCTGTATCTATTAAAAATATAAAAAAATAGCCAGGCATGGTGGCGGGCGCCTGTAGTCCCAGCTACTTGGGAGGCTGAGGCAGAAGAATGGCGTGAACTTGCAGTGAGCCGAGATCGTGCCACCACTGCACTCCAGCCTGGGTGACAGAGCGAGACTCTGTCTCAAAAAAAAAAAAAAAAAACTTTTAGAGGACTGGACCTTGGATTAGGCAAAATGCCAACAATAAAAGGGGAAAAAATGGATAAATTAAACAGCTTTAAAAGTCCTTTTTATAAAAAGAAACTTTTTAGAGTGTGAAAGTACAGCCCAGCGTGAAAAGATTTGCAAGACAATCCAATAGAAAAATGGGCAAAAGACTTTAATTGGTACTTCACAAGAGCAGATTTTCATGTAAACCAGCAAACATATGAAAAGGTACTCAGCTGGAAAGTGTCATCTGGGAAAATGCAAATTAAAACCTCCATGAAGCACCACTACATCCTCACTAGAATGCTGAAAATAGAAAAGAAGGAAAATACTGGGTAGATCTTCTGGAGTGAGAATGTGGAACAACTGGAACTCAAATAAACTGCTGGTGGGAGTATAAGTAGATGAAAACCACTTTGGGAAACTGTTTGGCAACATCTAAACCAGGATATATGCATACCTTATGGCACAGAAATTCCACTTCAGGGTATATACCCAACAGAAGTGTATACATATATTTACCCAAAGACAAATACCATAATGATCATTGCAGTCTAATTCCTAGTCACCTCAAATTTGAAAATATCCAGATGTCCATCAACAGTCAAATGGATAAACAAATTATGGTATTTATCTAATGGACTACAGTGAAAATTATCTATAGCTAACAACAATGGCTGAATATCACAAACATAATGTTGGATGTGGAAAAAACTAGACACAAAAGGTTTCATAGTGTATAATTCCATTTGTATGAAGTATAAAAATAACCAAAACTAATCAATACTGCTAAAAGTTAGTAGTTATTCTTAGTTTCTGGGATGTTGTCAGTGTTCTCTTTCGTGATCTGGGTACTAACTGCAATTGAATGAGCTGTACACTTATGTGTACCCTTGTCTCTTCTTTTATTTCTATACTAATAGACTCCCAAACTCTCATGTAAATGAAGTCTTGTGCCGAGACCAGCTCGGTCGGGGAGACCCTAACCCAGTGGCGCTAGAGGAATTAAAGACACACACACAGAAATATAGAGGTGTGAAGTGGGAAATCAGGGGTCTCACAGCCTTTAGAGCTGAGAGCCCTGAACAGAGATTTACCCACGTATTTATTAACAGCAATCCAGTCATTAGCATTGTTTCTATAGATATTAAATTAACTAAAAGTATCCCTTATGGGATGGGCTGAATTAAAGGAATTAAAGGAATAGGTTGGGCTAGTTAACTGCAGCAGGAGCATGTCCTTAAGGCATAGATCGCTCATGCTATTGTTTGTGGCTTAAGAATGCCTTTAAGTGGTTTTCTGCCCTGGGCGGGCCAGGTGTTCCTTGCCCTCATTCCGGTAAACCCACAACCTTACAGCGTGGGCGTTACGGCCATCATGAACATGTCACAGTGCTGCAGAGATTTTGTTTATGGCCAGTTTAGGGCCAGTTTACGGCCAGATTTTGGGGGGCTTGTTCCCAACAGTCTTGAACAACACCAGCAATTTTTTCAGACATGTTATATGATTAAGTAGATTTTTAACTTTTGGACTGCATGGCCTTGCCTGGGACATTTTCCAAACTGTGTTCTATAGGACATTTGTATCTTTAGATATGCCCATAAGTGTTCATGGGGTTAAAACATAATTTTGGGTCAGGCATGGTGGGTCACGCCTGTAATCCCAACACTTTGGGAGGCCAAGGCGGGCAGATCACCTGAGGTCGGGAGTTCGAGACCAGCCTGACCAACATGGAGAAACCCCGTCTCTAGTAAAAATGCAAAAATTAGCTGGGCATGGTGCCCATGTCTGTAATCCCAGCTACTCGGGAGGCTGAGGCAGGAGAATTGCTTGAACCCGGGAGGCAGAGGTTGTGGTGAGCCGAGATCGTGCCATTGCACTCCAGCCTGGGCAATAAGAGCAAGACTCTGTCTCAAAAAAAAAAAAAATAATAATAATAATAATTTATGGTCAAGTAGGTATAAGTAAAGGAGATATCTTCATCTTAAGGATTTACAAAGCATAGTAAGTAAACATGGGTAATAATAGCTAGTAATTATTGAATATTTGCCATGTCTTAGGCATATATTATCACATTTAATCCTCTTAACAACCCAGTGAGGTAGATAATGTTATTGCCCTAACAACGGTGAAGAAACTGACATTTAGAGAGGTAAAATAACAGCTTAAGCTCACAAAGCTTTATGTTGGGCAGACTTTTTTTTTTTTTTGAAACAGTCTCACTCTGTTGCCAGGCTGGATTGCACTGGCACAATCTTGGTTCACTGCAACCTCCACCTCCCTGGTTCAAGCAATCCTCCTGCCTCAGGCTCCCGAGTAGCTGGGACTACAAGCACACACCACCACGCCCACCTTATTTATTTATTTATTTATTTATTTATTTATTTATTTATTTTGAGACAGAGTTTTGCTCTTATTGCCCAGGCTGAAATGCAATGGCACGATCTCTGCTCACTGCAACCACCACCTCCTGGGTTCAAGTAATTCTTCTGCCTCAGCCTCCTGAGTAGCTGGGATTACAGGCATGCGCAACCACGCCTGGCTAATTTTGTATTTTTAGTAGAGATGGGGTTTCTCCATGTTGGTCAGGCTGGTCTTGAACTCCCTACCTCAGGTGGTCCGCCCGCCTCGGCCTCCCAAAGTGCTGGGATTACAGGCGTAAGCCACCACGCCTGGCCAATTTTTTGTATTTTTAGTAGAGACGGGCTTTCACCATGTGGGCCAGGATAGTCTTGATATCTTGACCTTGTGACCTGCCTGCCTCGGCCTCCCAAAGTGCTGGGATTACAGGCGTGAGCCACCGTGCCCAGCTGCAGACTTCTTTTAATCATTGTACTAGAGTAACTGACACTATGGTTTACTATCTTATTTTGTCTGCCCAGCATCTCTTCCTGCTGGGATTAACATTCTTTAAATCACTCGTTACCCCATTCCAATAATGTGGCTCTTTATTTAAAGACTACCAAAGTCTTACATGACCCTACCCTGGACAGTTGATTGGTCCAGGGGTAGGCACCTGACCTAAACACAGTCAGTCAGTTATTTCACAGAATTTATAAAATTGGAAGTAGGAAAAGAGACTACTTCTCAGATGGAGATCTTCAAGCAAAGATGATACTGGCAGCCATGTTTTTTACTATGTATTAATAGATGAACTGGTTTGCAGTGAGAGAGAAAGAAGCCCATAGCCAGAGAGAAGAGAGGCATTAGGCAGGGTCCTGTTTGTCTTCTGGCTTCTTTCTGTTGCTCCTTAAGCCTTGCTCAACCTCAGCTTCCCTTTGATTATGGGAGATACTCTAGTATCCCTCCAATAAGTGCCCCCTTTTTGTCTTAAAAGATAAATATGTTTACCTTCAGTCATTTACCAATAAAAGAAGATACAGTATGTAAGATTACTTCAGGGTTTCTCAATCTCAGCACTGTTGACATTTGGGTTGGGTAATTCTTTTTGGTAGAGGCTGTCCTATACATTATAGATTGCTTAACAACATCCTTGGCCCCTACCCATTAGATAAGTTGTTAGAACACAGTGTGGTATTATGATGGCCAGTATGACCTATAGATATGTCTAATAGAGTCTATAAAACTAGAAGATACAGTGGCTCATTTCTGTAATCTCAGCATTTTGGGAAGCCAAGGTAGGAGGATCGCTTGAGCCCAGAAGTTCAAGGCCAGCCTGAGCAACATAGCGAGACTCCATCTCTACATTCAATCAATCAATCAATCAATCAATCAGCAAGCAAGCAAGCTGGATGTGGTGGTGTGCCTGTAGTCCCACTACTCGAGAGGCTGAGGTGGGAGGATCACTAGGGCCCAGGAGGTGGAGGCTGCAGTGAGTGGTGATCATGCCAATGCACTCTAGCCTGGGTGACAGAGCGAGACCCTGTCTCAAAAAAAGAAAAAAAAAACCCTAGAAAATAACTATAATTTAGAAAGCAAGATGCTTTTAAAATACATTCTTAGCCAGTTAGAACAAATAATCTATTTTCTGATATGAGAACACTAAATGTTAATGATTATAAACTACTACAAAACAAGTTTCTAAATAAATTTTCTTATTTGCAAAAGCTAGTGAATAGTCAATATCCATCACTGGCCTGTAATCCCAGGACTTTAGGAGGCCAAGGAGGGAGGATCACTTGAGGCAAGGAGTTAGAGACCAGCCTGGGCAACAAAATGAGACCCCATCTCTACAAAAACTAAAAAAATGAGCCGAGCATGGTAGTGTGCACCTGTGGACCCAGCTACATAGGAGGCTGTTTGGAGAATCATTTGAGCCCAGGAGGTGGAGGCTGACATCTGCAGGCCGAAAGAGCCATGGCCTTGGAAGGGCCATAAATTCCACCACACTCTTGGTGGCTCTCACCCTGCAGCTTGGAGAAGGCGCAATACTCCATTACCACTAATATAAATAATGTTTGTAAAATTCTTACCTAATAAAACATTTAGGACAGGCATGTCTGCTTACAAGTAAGGTATTTTTTGTCTGTTAAAACTAGTCTGTAGCTTGTTTCATGAATGCTTTGTCAAATTATGGAAGTTAAAGTGCAATGATATTTGAAGACTATAAGTGATGGTGTATCTTGTTTCTAATAAGATAAAACTTTTTGCCTTTGTTTTATCTTATTAGGGAATTATATGTCAGTGTTTGAAACATGCTGTGTGGTATAATAGGTTTAAAATAAATTCTTTAAAAGAAGAATACTGAAACTAGCCTTGTAGATATGTCTGGTGCACGTGATGAAACGTACAGCTTTATTGGGGTTGGTGGCAATGCCCTGCTGGCTAACTTTCAAGTGACTGGGTTTTTTAAGTTTGGCAAGTACAAAATTCTAAAATTGGGTTTTCCTTTAGAAATGTGTAGGGTCGGGGGAGGATGTCCTAACCGTATGTTGTCGTCATATGTAGTTTCATCCAGTGTTCCACATGTGTGACTGCTGTTTCTGAGAGAAGTTTCCAAAATGTCACCATTTCTCAGAACTGAATAAACGTATTGCCAAGAGGCTTTTCTTAGGAATGAAACGTATCTGGGTAAATGTAAACAAAATTGTCTCTGTCTTGACAGTACCAAAGTTCACATAAAAGGTGAAAGCTCCTGGATCAATGCCATGGCTCCATGGAAGGCGATGGATAGTAGATACATATTAAAATATCTATCTGTAACACTAATTTGTTACCATTATGAATCCTTTCAGCTGCATTTGAGGAAAAAGTAGTTGGCTATTTAGAAGTGTGTACATCATTGTTAGTCATTCTTACAGATAAAAACATCTTGGGTCAGCCCACTCTGTCCACTCTTATAGGCTACAGAGAAAAGTCATAATTGGTGTCAATACAAGTTGATGGTTTCCAATCTTAAAAAAAAAATTTAATTAAAATAAATAAAAAATAAATGTTAAATGCAGTAAAACTACGAATTTGAATAGAAACATGACTCAAATCATTTTTACAAATACATAGTTTTGTTTATTCAAACAAAAATCTTGAGACCCTTAAAAACACAAAATTTATGAAGTAGAGTTCATGGAGAAAAGATGCTTAAGAACTGCAAACAAAATTTCCCACTGGGGCTGGATGTGGTGGCTCACACCTATAATCCCAGCACTTTGGGAGGTCAAGTCAAGCAGATCACCTGAGTTCAGGAGTTCAAGCCTGAGCAACATAGGGAGATCCCATCTCTACAAAATTTTTTTTTTTAATTAGCAAGCCTGGGTGGTACATGCTTGTAGTCCCACTACTGAGGAAGCTGAGATGGGAGGATCACTCCAGCGCAGCAGATTGCACTCTAGCCTGGGAGACAGAAAAATACCCTATCAAGAAAAAAAAAAAGAAAAAAATCCCACGGGTAAAATATCTATAAATACCTTTTGTAAGCTTTTAACAGTTTAGAGACATTTTTTAAACTTTAGATTCTTAAATAATTTTAAATTTACAGAAAATTTGCAAGAATATTAAAAAGAATTCCTGAACACTCCCCCAGAGTCGCAAATTGTTAACATTTTGTCACATGTACTTTCATTCTCTCTTTCACACATGTGCACACACATACATAGGTACTCAAACTTTTCTGAATATTTGAGAAGTTGCAGACATCCTTTTTTACTGCTAAATCCTTCAGTGTGTATTTCCTAAGAATAATATTATTTAACCATAGTAAAAATATTAAAATCAGGAAATTTAACATTGATATAATTACTGTTATCTAGTGTATAGTCCAAATTCAAATTTTCCTAGTAATGTTCTTTATTGCAATTTTTCTCTTGATGCAGGATTCAATCCAAGATTACATAAATAGTTCTTAAAGTTTCCTTCAATCTAGAACAATTTTTTTAACCTTTTATTGTCTTCTCTGACAGTGATATTTTTAAATAGTGTAGACTGTTTTTTGTACGTCATTCCTCAGTTGTGTTTGCCTGATATTTTGTCATTATTCATGTTATGTATTTTGGGGCAAAAATATAGAAGAATGTTGAATTACATCAAGAGATATTTTGTCCTATTATTGATGAATTTTAATCATTTGATTACAGTGATGTTCACCAGGTTTATCTATATTAAAAGTAATCATTTTCCCTTTGTAATTAATAAATACTTTGTGGGGAGGTACTTTGTCATGTTTCACCCAGTAGTTTTAACATACATTGATGATTCTTGCCTGAGTCAGTTATTACTGTAATGATTGCCATAGTCATAATTTTCTAACTCCATCATATCTATATTTATTAGTTGACCTTCTGCTGGTTGGCCATTTAAAAATTCATCTGTTCATAGTGATACAAGGTTTTTCCTTGACTTCCCCTTTTCCATATTTCTATCCCATCTCAAATCTAAATCTCTGTCTCCTAAGAGCAGCAATAAATTTGCACATTTGCTTAATCCTACATCATACACAAAATACTTGCAGAATTCCCATGCTCACAGCACTGCTAAAAACAAACCTGCAAAGCATTCAAGATTTGTTTGCAGTTTTTTGTCTCTAAAGATATATAGTCAAATTACTGTTTTCAAAAATTATTTGGATTAGTTCTTCATTTGAAGAAGTATTCATTTGAAATAGGTTTTCTTGTTCGTGAATTTTACTTTTTTCTCATCCTTTTTGACTTTTTAAAATGAGATAAGCCATCATTATGGTTCTAAAAGTCAAAACTGTTGCCAAAAAAGGATACTCAGAGTAGTGTTAATCCCTCCCTCATTCCTTCTACCTATTTCTTGTGGGTAACCAAATTCATTAGTTTCTTATTTACCTTTCCTATGTTTATTTCCATAAAATTAAGCAGTTTCATTTATTTTTTCTTATTTTTTTATACAGATAAGGTGGCACACCATATGTACTCTTTTCACTTTGCCTTTTTTACTGATGAATACGTCCTGAAATCAATTCCTATTGATCAATTTGGAGAATTTTAAATGTAAGAATCCTCTCAACAGGAAAATACAGTTCCATGTTCTAGGTTTAAAAATGTTTTTTTCTTCACAAAACAAGTAGTTAATGGCATGTCAATAAAGCCCATTTGTAAAAAAACAGCTACACGTTAATATTTTATGTGAACTTCCATATCCTTTATGTTTTGCAAGGAATATATATAATTTACTGCGATTGGCTTTTCTTCCTCTTGGCAATTTGCTGCTGCTGTAGCTGGCATTGCTATGAAAATGCAGTAATGGTGACTGTCCTGTAAGTTTTATTTTCAGATAATTGTAGATTTACTTGCCATTGTGAGAAGTAAAACAGAGACATCATGTGTATTGTTTTCCTAGTTTCCCAACATAACATCTTACAAAACTGTAGTACAATATCACAACCAGGAAATTGACATTGACTCAATCCACTGATCTTATTCATATTTCCTGTTTTGCAATGAACTCATTTGTGTGTGTGTATTTAGTTCTGTGCAATTTTATCACGTGTAGATTCTTGTATCTACCACTGTAGTTATGTTACAGAACAGTTCCATCACCGCGAGGATCCCACCTGTTGTATAGGACTTTTTTTTTTTTTTTTTTTTTTGAGACAGAGTTTCGCTCTTGTTGCCCATGCTGGAGTGCAATGGCATGATCTTGGCTCACTGCAACCTCCACCACCTGGGTTCAAGTGATTCTCCTGCCTCAGCCTCCCAGATAGCTGGGATTATAGGTGCACGCCACCACCATGCCTGGCTAGTTTTTAGTAGAGACGGGGTTTCACCATGTTGGCCAGGGTGGTCTTGAACTCCTGACCTCAGGTGATCCACCCACCTCAGCCTTCCAAAGTGCTGGGATTATAGGCATGAGCCACTGTGCCCAGCCTAGGACTTATTTTTAGTCACTAGCTCATTCTCTCTTACAGGCAGAAGAGTAACTTTTTTAGATGTGTATTTTTTGTTATTTCTGCACTAACCCAAATAAAATCTTTTTAATAGTAGTGAGTTATGCCAGAACTGGTTTTTTAAAAATTTTTGTTGTTTTGTTTTGCATTATGTATGCAATTTAATTGTGACAACCACTGGTCAGTATTCTAAATTCCTCTTAACTGCTCAAATGATGGTCTCTAGGGATAAGTTAGTTGAAAATGTTTATCAGAATCTTAGGATGAAGATATAAGCCTATATTCCATATTAGGCCTATTCTGTAGGTGAGCAAAGGCTAAGAGGAAAGCCAATCTTAAAAAGAGAATTATTTTCAACTGTTTAAAATTTTAGATATGGAAGACTGAAAGCTTTCCCCTAAAGATCAGGAGCAAAACAAGGACACCTGCTTTCACCACTGGTGTTCAACATTGTATTGGAAATTCTAGCCAGAGCAATTAGATAAGAAAAAGAAATAAAAGTCATTTAAATTGGAAGGGAAAAAGTAAAACAATCTTTATTTGAAGACAAGATGATTCTCTATAGAGAAAATCCCAAGAGTGCACAAGAAGCTACTAGAGCTAATAAACAGAGTCAAAAAAAGTTTCAGGGTATAAGATCAACACACAAAAATCAGTTTCCATATACCTGTAATGAATTTGAATAGGAAATTAAGGAAGCAGTCCATTGCAGTAGCATCTGAAAGGATAAAATACACAGGAATAAATTTAACTAAAGAGGTAAAAAACTTGTACACTAGAAACTACAATTCATTTTTGAAAGAAATTAAAGAAGATCTAAATAAAAGGAAAGATATTCTGTATTCATGGGCAAGAAGATTTAATATTGTTAAGATGTTAATGCTACTACCCAAAGCAATCTACAGATTCACTGTAATTCCTATATTTCTTTTGCAGAATGATTAAACAGCACTTTTTGCAGAAATGGAAAAACCTGTCCTTAAATTCATATGAAGCTACAGGAGACCCTAAATAGCCAAACAATCTTGAAAAAGGACAAAGTTGGAAGACTCATATTTCCTGATTTCAAAACATACTACAAAGCTACAGTCATCAAAACAGTATGGCACTGGCGTTAACAGTAGCCATAGAGACCAATGGAATAGAATTGGGGGTCCAAAACAAATGCATACATCTATGGCCAGTTGGTTTTTGACAAGGAGGCCAAGTTTATTTAATGGAGAAAGAATAGTCTCTTCAATAAATGTTGCTGGGAAACAGGATTTCCTTACAAAAAAGAATGAAGTTGGATTCCTACCTCACAGCATATGTAAAAATTAAATCAAAATGGATCAGTGACCTAAATATAAGGGCTAAAACCATTTATAACTATCTTAGAGGAAAACATAATGATAAATCTTCATGACCTTGAATTTGTTGATAGATTCTTATATAACAACACCAAAAGCACAATGAACAAAAGAAAAAATAAATTTGACTTTATCAAAAGTAAAAGCTTTTGTGTTTCAAAGTACACCATCAAGAAAGTGAAAAGGCAAAGCACAGAATGGGAGAAAATATTTTCAAATTATATATCTAATAAGGGTTTAAGGTCCAGAGTAGATCAAGAGCTTCCAAAACTCAACAAGAAAAAAGACAATCCAATTTTAAATATAGGCAAAGACTTGAGTAGATTTTTTTTTTTTTTTTTTTTTTTTTTGAGATGGAGTCTCACTCTGTCGCCCAGGCTGGAGTGCAGTGGCGCAATCTTGGCTTACTGCAAGCTCCGCCTCCCGGGTTCACGCCATTCTCCGGCCTCAGCCTGCTGAATAGCTGGGACTACAGGCACCCGCCACCATGCCTGGCTAACTTTTTTTTTTTTTTTTTTTTGTAGTTTTAGTAGAGACGGGGTTTCACCATGTTAGCCAGAGTGGTCTCGATCTCCTAACCTCGTGATCTGCCCACCTCAGCCTCCCAAAGTGCTGGGATTACAGGCATGAGCCACGGCGCCAGGCCTTGAGTAGATATTTCTTGAAAGAACTTATATAAATTGCCAATAAACACATGAAAATATATTAAATATCATTAGTCATTAAAGGAATGCAAATCAAAACCACAGTGAGACCTTACATCTTAAACCTTACATCTACGAGGATGTCTATTTAAACAAACAATAAAAATGGAAAATAACAAATATTGGCAAGGATATAGAGAAATTAAAACCCTTGTACATTGTAGCTCCTGTGGAAAACAGTCTGGCACTTTTCTCAAAAAGTTAAACATATAATTACCATAAGACCAAGCAATTTCACTCCTAGGTATATGCCCAAAATAAATGAAAACAGTGACTCAGATATTTATATACCAATGTTTATTCCATCATTATTCACAATAACCAAAAGACAGGAAACAACCCAAATGTTCATCAGCAAATGAATGGATAAAGTGTGGTATGTACATGCAGTGGAATATTATTTATTTATGAAAAGGAATGAAGTTCTGATACATGCTACAACATTGAAGAATCTTGAAAGCATTATGCTAAGTGAAATAAGCCAGACACATAAGGACAAATACTGTAAGATTCCAGTTGTATGCAATGTCTAGAATAGACTAATTCAAAGAGATAGAAAGGAGATTAAAGGTTACTAGAGGCTGGAGGTGGGAAGCATGAAGAGTTACTGCTTAATGGTTATACAGTTTCTGTTTGTAGTAATAGAAAACTTTTGGAAATAGATAGTGGTGATGGTTGCACAACATTGTGAATGTAATTAATGTCACTGAATTGTACATTTAAAAATGTTTAAAATGACAAATCTTGTATATAGTTTATCACAATAAGAAATTTTTTTAGAAAAAATTTTAAGCTGAACGGAATGCAGAAAAGCTCCTTGAGACAGCCTGTAAAAATGTAATGAAATAAATAGAGCTAAACACGGGGGGGAATTTTTTTTTTTGACAAAGAATGTCAATTTTATTTATATTGACCAGATTTTTTTGTGATCAGTCTTCAGGAAAAATGTTTTTAATTAATTTTTATGTGCATAAGAATTGCCTGGAAATGCATATTTCTGACCTTCTCTGTTAGTAGTTCTTGGATGCAGCCCAGAAATTTGTATTTTTAACCATTTACCAAGGAATTCTGATGCCAGTTGTAACTGAATTACACTTTTGGAAATATTATATAATGGTTGAGAACATAGGTCAAACACACCTGGGTTCAAGTCCTGACTGTGCCCCTTGTTATAAAACCCGGATAATTAAATAATTTATTGGTACTTCAGTTTTCATAGCTGTAAAATGGAGACAGTATTTCCCACAGACAGTTGTTTTGAAAATTAAGTAAGATATAGTTTGTAAAGTAGTAAGTATAGTGCCTTAAACTAAGAAAGCATTAAAAAAATGTTAACAATATATTTCATTGTTTTCATAATTCAACTGTCATCCAAAATTATCAGTTTAGGTCAAGGGAGATGGAGATTCAGTGACCTATTTACCTTTTTCTGCGTGAATCATAGTATTGTAAAGATAAAGAAAACCTAAGGAATTCATCCCTGTTATGTACATTTTAATGCACAAGTCTTGAGATTTATAAAAGTACAATTTCTTAGAGGTAATAACTTTCAGATAATAGCTTTTAGTAATAGAATTAATTAGTAGTGTATTTGTGGCCTTTGAGAATGCTGTATTAGAATACTAAGGCAGAAATCTAAATACAAGAGTTTAATTTTAATATGGAGGAAGTGGAGATTGGGTTAGGCTGTCATGTTGAGCAGAAATTTGTGAAAGAAGATTCATTAAATTAGGTACATGGAGAGTTAAGCAGCATTGGGTGCTCAGCAAAATCATACTTCTAATATTGACTGTCAATTCTACTGTGAGACTTTTTTTTTTTTCCATAGTACTGACAGCTTAGACTAGGAGCAATGAAAACAAATAGGGACATCCAGGGTTACATGTGAGAAAGACATATGTGGTGGAAAGTTAGGGAACTGAATTAATTAACTTTGTCAGCAATATAACTGATGAATCATGGAAAATATATAAGACAATATGAGAAGGAAGTAAAAAAATGAGAAAACTGCAGGATGGGCATACTTCACTTGAATCTAGGGATGGATGGTCACTGGACCAGGTCTTTTTTATTCTGTTCATTGATCCATCAAATAGTTACTGGGTCCCTCCCATAACTGCAGGCACTTTATTAGTTAACACAGGTTGTAACAGTAAATAAGGTAGATACCGCCCTTGCCTTCACGGAACTTACAATATGGTAAGGGAGACCTATGTCAAACAATTGGAAGTTACAAAAAAGGAGGGAAATCAAAAATTTTTTCAGGCCATTATCATGGCTTTTACAGGGTTTCACTCTTCTTCCACTATATCCACAATGCCTACACAGTACAGTAGATACCATGGCTTGCATCCGAGGGAATCTATAAATCACTGGGTTCCTTTTTCATCTGCTCTACTCCTTTGCTTCTCATTCTTTCACATCTAGGATGGCACAGCAGGAGCTGAGTTAATGCTTGCTAACACCTGCTTCAATAAATCTGAATTAGAAGCACCAATTTAATACAATTTCTCTTTGTTCTTTTAGTTCTCTCCTCAGAATACATCTGAGGAACTTAATAGAGAAAAAGTAAATGATGAAACTACATTTGAAGCTAAGAATGGAAAATAATTGAAAGAATTGAAAGTGGCCAAGATAGGAAGAACCCAGAACTGGTACAGAATGATAGTTTTGAAAGTCAAGTTACACCTGACTTGAGACTGAAGAAGTTAATGTAGAAGGAAGGAAAAGCAGAATTAATGGATACATCCAATGCTTCTCATGGATTTTATTTGGCTGATGCACCTAATTTCAGTTGTTTTTCAGAATAAAGACTTTTTCTTTGAGGAATGTGAGAGAACTCTGAATTTCACAATGCAACTCTTCTAAGCAAATTGGAAAACTGCACTGAAAATCCTGAATTTTGACATGTAGCTCCCTCAAGAGAAAAACTACGAGATGCTTTAAAAAAATGCTGCTGGGTTTTTACTCTACGATGAAAAAGAAGGTTAATTCAAGGAGGACCAAGACTTCAGATTTCTTAGGTTGTGCTACAGTAGTCTTTGACCACAATGCAGATTTGATTAAATCTTGTAAGGATGCCGTAAAACTGGCAACAGTCACTGGATACCTGGATGTAGTGGCCCATTGACATCTGGATGGCTCAAAGGGTCATTATAAGATAAAGGATTTGGTCCAATTTAGTCTAGCGAGAGGCAAATCTATTTGAGAAAGAAATACTATTCTGCAAAATATGAATGGCACCCAATGATGATACTTTTACTCACCAACTTGAAAGAGCCACAATAACTTTGAAATTTTGTACCATAATGAACTTGAGAAATATATTCTTCAGGCAGCTTGAAAGAAATGAAAGATCGTTGGTTTTCAGGAATAAACAAATTAGTAAAGGAACATCAAGATGATATTAAAAACCAAGGGTCTGTATGCAAACCATAATGCTATGTTAGGGCAACAAAGTGAAATTTGAACCATGCATTGAAAATACAGAAAAGGGCTCTCAGTAGCAATGCATATCTACTTTTCAGCACAAGTAGGATGTTTATGAGAATTCCATTTTGTCTAGGATGAAGAAAGTGGTAGAATTATTTCTCCCAAAATCTGCTCAGCAAATAGTTTATCTCCAAAGATTATGAAGGCTTCTTCAGTGATTCAGAAAGTGTGGAAAAGAATGCCTTGAAAAAAAAGAATTTTTCAGGATTTAACAGTTGTATAACACTTAAAAAACCATTCATGGGAATTTGGTTGCCTTCAAGGTGGGAAAAAGGTGATTTCGTCTAGGGAGAAGAAAAGGAGGAGGAGAGGAAAGGGAATCAAAATAGTAATAAGAAGAGCAATGGCATGTCTACTAGTCCTACTACTTGATCCTGCAATGGATACAAGTGTCCTTGAGAAAGCACCTTCAGCATATCAAAGATGTTTTGAAAACAACTTCCCCAGATAATTGATATTTAATCCATACAAGTCTCCAAGATTGTTAAAACAGTTTGTTTTAGCTTAGCCCCTCAATTACTATCTTAATTTAGGAGAGCTGCTAGTAGGTCCTTTGGGGATGCTACATTATACAACTTTGGGGGGCACCATTTACATCTAACTCTATGTGAACAGAGCCCCTTGGAGACATTCAAGATGGCAGTCCTGCGGGACCTAATCCTTCCCACACAATTCCCTATGGGTTAACAGGGAGTACCATCAGCTCATTAAGATAGGGTAAGACAGTTTGAAAAGGCTCTACTATTCCAGTTCTCCCAGGAAAGGGATGCAAGGTATAAGGCAACAAGCCCCTCAGATTATTTCTCGTAGCAAAGTAACTTATTTGCCTCCACTTTGTACTCCTAGGGCACTCAGTAGGCTTTGGCATCATATATGAGAAGCTAGAGGATCCAGCCTTGGTGGGAGTCCCTTAAGTCCTTGTTTCTTCAGGTCTTTGGATCCAATTTGAAGAAGCAGGAATTCCTTTATGATACCATCTCTCAAACTGAGGTTCTCCTGTTAAGCAATCAGGGCCTCAGACAGATGACTTCTGATTGAAAATACGTAATAAAGGAAAACTTTTAAAGAAAAAAAACACCCAAAATTCCACTGTCCTCATAATTTTTAGCTTTTTCATAATGCTATCAAAAGTCTCTTGTTTCTTGTTCGCATACTTAGATAAAATTTTACTTAGTTGAAACTTACTGTACATATACATTGTATATCAAAATTTTAACATATTTGTCTTATTTTTAATAACAAAAATGTCAATGACTAACACTGATGTAATCTTGAAAAAGCATTTAAATAGAATTTCTGGTTTCTCTCATAAAATCTATATGGATTTATGCTGTTTGAAACAGTACGCACTAGCCATACATGGCTAATGAGCACTTGAAATGTGGCTAGTATGAAATGAGATGTGCTGTTAATATGTAAAGTATACCTGGATTTGAAAAAAGTATAAAATATCTCAATAATTTTTATATTCATTATATGTTGAAATATTTTGAATATATTGATTTAAAATACTTAAACATGAAAATTATTAAAGAAAATTTACCTTTTTATTCCTTTTAGTGTGGCTACTAAAAATTTTAAATTACATATATGGTTTACATTATTTTTCTATCAGACTGTGTTGATATAGATTATCACAAACAGCTGTGGGGTCTTAAAATTGGAAAAGCAACTAAAATTTTAACAATAAGGGAATGTTTAAATCATTTTTAGTATGTTTACTAAATAGAATATTGTGCAGCCTTCAATATGTGGCCCCCCAAAATGTATATAATATTGTATTAAGTAAAGAAAGCACAGCCAGACACCATGGCTCACACCTGTAATCACAGTGCTTTGGGAGGCCAAGGTAAGAGGATCGATTGAACCCAGGAGGTTGAGGCTGCAGTGAGCCATGATCACACCACTGCACTTCAGCCTGGGTAACAGAGGTAAACCCCATTTCTTTATAAAAAGGAAAAAAAAAGTATGATAACAAAGTTACACAATTTTTTTTTTTAAACTAGAAGCATTTTTCCAAAAAGCTAACTGGAGATATGTTCAGAAGATTGAATTCCAAGTGATGTTTTCCTCTTTTCCTTTTCTTTATTTTCATATTTAAAATAAAGTCATAAAACTTTTTTTATTTTAAAAAGAAGTTACTAGGTGATACTGATTCATAGACTCAGATCAAGGTAAATGAAGGAATGGTGGTGTATTAGTGTTCTCAATGTGGCATTGTGGAGAAAGGAACAGCCAACTATGTCTTCCATCCCACTGCTCAGTGGGAATCGGAAAGTAAAACTCCAAAAGAGGGGACAGTTGATAATATATATTGTGTTTGTAAAGAATGAAAGAACCTAAGTCTAAGGTCCTTTAAAAAGAGTTAAAGCTCTGAAAATGATTTGCCATGTTTAAATGCTTCCCCTTGCTAAGTATTGTCTTTTTCTTTATTACTAGATTCATGATGTTGCTATCAAAAGTTGAGAAATTGTCAGAAGAAATCATGGAGATAATGCAAAATTTAAGTAGTATACAGGTTTGCATTTTTTCATACTTCTACCCTGTTTGAAAAGGATAAAATGAAAGAAGTGTCCCAGATTGGAGAATCCAATCCAGGAAAGAGTTTGCATAGAGTATGTTTAATTTACTTTTCATGGGAATTTTTTTTTTAATAGGAGAACACTATTTAACCATAATATTTTAGTAATATCTTGCTTTTCACATTTAAACATAAATTTATAGATTACATTTAGTCTTTTTAGTTAATTATAAATTGTTTTTTTTCAGGCATTTTTGGGCTTGAAATAGTTGGCCTGCCAGAAACAGTTAAATATCCTAACATAAAGTTTAAGTTTTTCAAATGAAGGAAACAATATACTGTATTTTCACTAGACATGTCAGTAATCTCATGTGTGTAGAGAACTTAACTCATTCAAGATGACTTTCTTGTAGGCTTTGGAGGGCAGTAGAGAGCTTGAAAATCTCATTGGAATCTCCTGTGCATCACATTTCTTAAAAAGAGAAATGCAGAAAACCAAAGAACTAAGTAAGAATTTTTGAGTTTTCAATGACAGTAATTTTAAAGATAAACCTATTAATTTGTCTCATTTACATTTGATAGACTTCTTTATATATACCATTACTGGACATGTGATAAAAATACTATTACCTTCTTTAAATAAGAAGCCACATGTCTTTTATCAGGATGTGTTATTTTGGGGATTCTTCTTGAATGTGAATGAAAAGAATGCACCTTGGAAACTGGTAGTAGGCATTTCAAATGTAATGCCCATTTTTATAATATATAATAAGGTATTATATTTTATATTTGGTACTTATAAATATGTATTATTTTGAATTATTTTTTTCTCATGAAGTTGTTTGTTGCAAGTATTGAGAAATTATCCATATTCTATGTTAATTCTTGACATGGGATTTTTACTTCTTTTAGTGACAAAAGTGAATAAACAAAAACTGTTTGAAAAGAGTACAGGACTTCCTCACAAAGGTAAGTAGTTGTGTTTTAGTTTATTACATAAAGATGCTTTCATCCCATTTTGCCAATTAAAACTAATCATCATGAATCCTTTTTAGTGGTTTTCTTTTTTCCTCAGAGATCCCTGTTCTGAAGTATGTTCTTTTAGAAGATCACAAATCTCATTTGAAAAGCTTTATATTGCATTTAGCAGAAGATGATATCTGATGAGATCAACTTCTCTGATGATTGAACTTTTTAAATGTCTTTTGAAATGCAATCTTCAACATAAGATTTGAATTTTGTCTTTTTATTAAAATTTCTTTTTGAGAATACAAATAGGAGCAACAATGCATTAATATACTGCAGTTTTTAGTGTTGCACTAGAAGCATTGAAAGTTACTTTCTAACTAGTATTCTGGAAACTTTCAGATCATTAATATGCTTTGTTCTACTATGAACTCTTATGTCTGAGCATTTCACAGTATGGAAAACTAAATAAACAGTTTTTAGGTTTCCATAGGAAGTACACATTCACACCTTCACACCTCAATAAGCAAAGTAATCATGAACTGTAAAATAGCAAAACCTTTAGACTAATACAGGAGTGATTAATAGTACCTACATGAATGCCATTTAGCAATTTCTGCAAGTGGAATTAGGCCTTAAAATGGGTGGCCGTGTTTTCAGCCTACCACTTTTAAATACCGATGACTGCCATTTATTGAGTAACTATAATTACAAATATTCTGAATACTAGGATCAGCAAATCTTTACAGCAATGTGGAAAGATAGCTACACTGTATTATCATTGTCATTATAGACAAGGAACGAAGACACAAAAAATATTAAGTAACTTGCCCAAGACTTCTACTTAGGTAACAGAGCAAGGATTCCAACCAAAGACCAGTCTGGCCTCAAAAACTCTGGTCTTTTCATTATTCTGTGTTATCTCTTCCTAAAACAAATGAAATCATCCAATCATCTTAGCTTTTAGATTCAAACATGGCACATAATTGAAACTGCTTCACCCAATCTGGTATGTTAGCCTGGGTTTAGAACCTTTAATAAGCCAGTGATCGGTTGGCAATGGAAAGTGCTGGGATTGCCAGCCAGTCAGATCTAAAGGCCAGCTGGGTCATGGCAGGGCTGCAGCCATGGCAAGACTCCTCCAAAGCTCATGTGGGAAGGGAGCTGAATAGGCTTCCTGAGCTTTTCAGTTGAACAACTAACGTCTACTGTGATGCCAAGAATTTAAGAACATGAAAGGTGGCTTTTTCTTGGATGTGGCTTGGGATCTTTTAAAAAAAAAAAAAAGAAAGAAAAGAAAAAGAAAAAAGAAAAATTTAGAGGCAGGATTGTACCCTGTCACCCAGACTGAAGTGATGATTAGTGAAGTGGGATTACAGGCATAAGCCAACACGCCTGGCCTCTTGTCTGTTACTTTAGTTGTGTAATTTGATTAGAATGTGTAACTGGGTTTCAGTGGTTTCAATCTCTCCTAAGTTGACAAGTTTTAGAGGATCACAATAGGAAAGCAAAGTGTTTATTATTTCCCAACTGGAAGAAATCTTGCTTCTATATATTCTACACCAATAGTGTGATTTCCTTAAAAATCTGTAACTTCCTAGAACTAACTAGAATTAGGCTTAATATAGTTGGCCTTTGCAAACAGCTTTGAGAAATAAGGAAGAGGAAAACTCTGGAATAAATAAGTGAACTGTCAATGCTAATAATATAAAGAAAAATTTTTTTAATTTATATTTCATTAAAATATTTTTCCTTCCAGGGGAAACTTTTTTCATTTCCTTATGGACATCTAAAATACATAACTTCATTGTGTGTTTATGCATGATCAGCCTTAAAACTGTTTTCTATTATTTTAGGCATTAAGGCTGACTTGCCCATTACCAGATTTTCCCAAAGGACCGAGTTCCTGCATAGAGGAGACTGTTATCACTAAACCATGTTTGTAAATTTCTAATAATCATTGATTTAAATGAAAACTCAGTTTAAAAAATATATAATACATAGTATCTATATAAGTATGTTATATACTACTGTGTGTTATATTCTATTCTACGTAGTCATTGTCCAATTCTGTTTCTTGGCAGGAGCTACATTAGCTCTTTATATTTCCTGAGGTATTAAAAACTTCATTAGCTTTTTAACTAATTTTGGGAAATTCATATTGCCTAAAAAATAGATTAAAGCTTATTTTTGTTGTAATTTGATTTTGAGCTATATAGTTTTCCTGAGTGCTTTTCCTACCTCTTTCTCTGGTTCCTAACATACATATTAGTTTTGGGGGTTTTTTGTTTGTTTTGTTTTTTGGTTAATGATTATGTACACACAAATGTGCACACACATGCAAATTTTTTGTACTAAGCTAACAACTTTTACCCTTTTCTGCTCATATTCATTTTAAGAGGATTTTGCTAATTCTTTTGACATCTCAAACTAGTTTGCTTTATATGTCCCTCATTTTGCAATCTGGCCTTGAAATTTCCACTTTCTTTTATTTATTTATTTTTATTATGCTATTACACAGAATTGTTTAAATTTTAAAATGTTTTGGGAGTTTGTCATAATATTAGAAAATAAGTAAAATAAAAATCATCCCTATAATATGTATAGGATTTGTTAAGGTAATTATGAAAATTAGAATAAGCCAATTACTTGTTTCACTATCAAAAGAATGTCCTTCAGATTCTTCTGGGTTTTTGGTGGGTTTTTTTGTTTGTTTGTTTTTTGGTCTTTCAGATTCTTAAAAAATTTTCCTGGAATAGTTAAAATAGACAATACCATGAGAATTTCAATATTTATGCTATCATTGCCTCTTCTAATTGGTCTTTTAGTTCTAGTAATATTTATTTTTTCATTTCAGTGGGAATTTCAGTTAATGTCAGTTACAGTCTTTATTACAGGAAGAGTAGAATTATAAAAATAACACTCTAGTGTTTTAAATAAATAGACATCTGACACACATTCTTAAGGCTTTATATAACTTATTCAAGAGAAATTTAAAACATACACAATAAAATTAAAAGGCACACTGAGATTTTCATAGTGTCATAAGAACTGGACCTGGTAAATCAGGGGATGCCTTGATGAGAGTATATGAATAAAAGAGGATCTCCTCTGCTAAACACAGATTTCTTAAACAAAGGAAGGCTTCTTTCTTTCTTCAGTTACTTAGGAAATAAGCCTAATTTTGCTTTCTTCAATAACACTGGCTTTATGACTATTAGGAAAATAATGAAATGAAAGGTTCTTTTTCTGTAAGATTTGGATGTGAATTTTCATAATTATTTTAAATTTGTTATGCTGAAGACTTAAGACATATGACCATTCAGTGGGCTGATACAGATGAAATGTCACATTATCATCACATGGTGAGGCATGAAATTTATTTACTTTACATAATCAACCTCTACTTAAAACAACTTGTTACAGATATTCCTTAGTCAATAGATGGCATTATATAGTAGTTAATATTTTCAGTTTTTTCTGAAGATAATTAAAAATACCATCGTTAGTCTATGACTAGTACTTCCAATAAACAAAATGTTTTTGAAAAGAATGTAAGCAAATTGTAGAGCAGTTGCCAAGATATGAAATCTAGACACTTAGCTTCAGTCCAAAACATATTTTATCTGTTTTGAGAATAATTGTGTAGGTTGCAGTATGCATATTTTAAATGAAATGGAACCATCTGAACTTTACATTGTTCAGTGTTTCAGCTGTTTGTAATAGAAAATATTTCAGAATTTCCAACTTTGGTCTGTTTTAAAAAGCATAAACTACAATGTTCCTGTATTCTTTAGTTAACTTTCTGTATTCTTACATAGTAAAATTCGTCTTGGTTATAGATTTTAAAGTTATCAGATTCTTAGACAACAGGACAAATTTAAAACTCTTTCTGTTCTAACACTATAAAATAGTTTGATATTGCCTCTTCATTCTAACCACCCACTGAAGTATTTTTTAAACATAAAAATATGTTGTTCTTTCCCCAACTCAGGCTTGAAAAAGTATTCATCATATCAGCTGAATAATTTCACTCCCAGAAGACTACTACCCTTTTAGTTTTCTATTTTATCTTAACATTAAACAATATATTTTTTTCAAACAGATACTTCAATTTTAAAAGCACTGAGGTTTGAAGTTTAGACGTGACGACTTTTAGGAGAAACAACAGAAATTCCCCCTATGCTTTAACATTCTGGGTTTATCTGGAGATAAAAAATGAAGCCATTAATTTTGATAGCACAAATATACATTAATGTACAACTATAGTCCTCAGCTCTTTATAATGATTCAGCTATCATGTATGCCATATGTGAATCATAACCTTTCCTATTAATAATGTTAATGCTCTTGTTTTACACGATTCGTCATTGTTTTGGGGTATGCATTTCAGCTGCTAAAAATGCTTACTTGAGATTTGTCTAGGATTTAAGTAAAAATAAACTGATTTATTACTTTTCAAAGCCTTTTAAATAATTTCTTTCATGATTTAAATTTTTTATACTTTAACAGAAGTATGATAATTTTTCTTTCAAATAAAATCAGTAGAAAAAATTTTAAACTATAGATTTGGACTCACTTAATAGCAATTAGGTGTTTAAGAGGTGTAAATAACTTGCTATCAGACATTACAAATATCCAGGTGCTCAGTATGTGCTGATGACAACAAAATTGAAAAGAAAGACTGTAATAATTCTGACTGGTTTTCTCTGCAGAAGATATTGATTATTTGTGTGTGGTGAGAGATTTGGAAAATTCAATTAAAGGAGTTGTGCAAAGGTTTCATAAATTTTCCTTCTACAGCGTGTACACAGACATTGTTGCGTATTAAATCAGTGCAGCACTTCACAATATATTTTCTTTGAAACATAAAAATAAATAACATTTAAACAGTTCTGCTTACTACAGAAACAAATTTTATTTTCTGTGAAGCATTTAGTCATGTGCTATCACTGACTCATACACATTTGCCAGCTGTAACAAATTTTATAGACATTTTCCCCAGAGACATATCTCACATACTATGAATTTTTAAATGAGCAAACGGTGAAGAAGGGATGTCAGCAATATAAAAATTGATCAGTTAAAAGATAAAAGCATAAGTAAAGAGATTTGTATGGTAGTCTTAATAGGTTTTATTAAATAAAAATACTGTAAAAAGACAGTAATGAATAGACTGAAGACTATTCTTGAGGTGGAGAAAAATTATTCTGGCACATTTAGTAGAAATTGGTTTTGTGTCACCTGACAGGTGAACTTTTTTTTCCCATTTTTTACTCTCAGAGTAGTCAAAAAAGCCCCACAAAAAAAGAGTTAGATAAATTATCTAAGTGGTTTACATATTTTAAACACAATAAAGCAAATGTTTATAGTATTATATAACTAGTTATATAGTTAAAAGCAGGACTTGGTAATTATTAAATATTAGGTGATTTTTCCTCCAGTTCAGACCTCAGATAAGAGGAGGGTAGTCATTTTTATTCATACTATTCACACCAAGTGCTTCAGCCCTCTGGAACCTCTCTTTCAGGACCCCAGAACACTTTGCTACCTTTCCCTCTGCCTAGATTGCTTTTTTTTTTTTATTTTTTATTATACTTTAAGTTTTAGGGTACATGTGCACAATGTGCAGGTTAGTTACATATGTATACATGTGCCATGCTGGTGTGCTGCACCCATTAACTCGTCATTTAGCATTAGGTATATCTCCTAATGCTATCCCTCCCCCCTCCCCCCACCCCACAACAGTCCCCAGAGTGTGATGTTCCCCTTCCTGTGTCCATGTGTTCTCATTGTTCAATTCCCACCTATGAGTGAGAACATGCGGTGTTTGGTTTTTTGTCCTTGCAATAGTTTACTGAGAATGATGATTTCCAATTTCGTCCATGTCCCTACAAAGGACATGAACTCACCATTTTTTATGGCTTCATAGTATTCCATGGTGTATATGTGCCACATTTTCTTAATCCAGTCTATCATTGTTGGACTTTTGGGTTGGTTCCAAGTCTTTGCTATTGTGAATAGTGCCGCAATAAACATACGTGTGCATGTGTCTTTATAGCAGCATGATTTATAGTCCTTTGGGTATATACCCAGTAATGGGATGGCTGGGTCAAATGGTATTTCTAGTTCTAGATCCCTGAGGAATCGCCACACTGACTTCCACAATGGTTGAACTAGTTTACAGTCCCACCAACAGTGTAAAAGTGTTCCTATTTCTCCACATCCTCTCCAGCACCTGTTGTTTCCTGACTTTTTAATGATTGCTTTTTTCTCTGTCTTACAAACTCCTGCTCATCCTTTAAGGTCAGCCTCAGATGTCACAACCTCTGTGAAGCTCTCCCCAGCTCTCCTAGGTAAAGCTAAATTGCTTCATCTTTGAGGCTCCCACAACACTTGTCTGAATATTTTAAATGTATCATGTTGTAGTGCATTGTAATTGCCTGGTTACAGGACTCTTTCTGGGCTCCTCTTTGGCAGACAAACAAAAAGTCTTATCTATGTATGATAGTTCCAGAGCCTAGCACAGTGCCTGGATAGAGCCTGGAAAGAAGTTCCACATGCAGTACAGCCAATGTGTGATGAATGAAAAGAACTTTTTTTAAAGAATTATCTAAGTATTTTCAAATACTTATAAATTGCTATTTTCTTACCTCATTAATGTTTATTGAGTGCCTACCATGCTCCAGGCATTATTCTAGCATTGGGAACACACTGACAAACAAGGCAGACATAGTCCTGCCCTCAGGGATATAGAATCTAGCACAAATGACAGTCATTTTAGTAACCATAAAGAGTGTACTAACAATGGTAATAAGCATGTATTGTAATAAATGTCTTGGAAGTTTTCGTAATAAATTTGAAAATGTATATTCTGAAATAGAATCAGGCTAACTATAGCATGTTGAAATGAGAATTTATAGCCTTAGAGCTGCTATTAGTATAAAACAAGACTTCAGGTTGTTTTAATTTCATTTTGCTTCAACATTTATTCTGCATCATATACTGTGGCAAGTTGCTTTGAATTGTTTTCTGAAAAAAAAAACCTTTCTTCTTTCATATAGCATCACGTCATCTTGACAGCTATGAATTCCTTAAAGCCATTTTAAACTGAGGTACTGTTTCACCTTTCTAATTTAGTTTAACCTTGTGAAATTTCACTGTGTTTTGTTCAGGTGGAAACATTTTATTTACATTATCAGATTTGGTATTGTCTTCCTGTAAGAAAATAGGGATATAGCTTTGGAGCTTTAGTTGAACTTATATTAATCTAGTCTTATCAACAACAGGAGGGCATCTGACATCAGTTAGAGGCTGATTGGAAAGAACTGTTGAGCTGACGACGCTAACTTTAAAAGTCAGAGAGGACACATTTTTAACTGAGTGTAAAAGGGTCCTTAATCAAGCATCTTTCATATAAATAGCTAAATAGACTAGCTAAATAGATGCTGACAAGTGGACTATAGTTTCTGTAGGACACATCTGACTGAACAAGATATAACTAGTCTGTTAAATTTGGAAATGTGCTAAATTAAGTAAATAAATCTATATTTATTAGTTATACCTTGCCTTCAGAACAATTCCTATTGATTCAGCAATACAAGTAAAAATGATGTGTTTATAAATAGCTTATTATAACAAATAAGCCAAAAGCAATATGAGTCATGATATATTAGTGTTTAGTATACCTATAACTGAAGGTTCACATTAAGAACTGACATTGGCTGGGCATGGTGGCTCACGCCTGTAATCCCAGCACTTTGGGAGGCTGAGGCAGGTGGACCACTCGAGGTCAGGAGTTCGAGACCAGCCTGGCCAACATGGTGAAACCCCGTCTCTACTAAAAATACAAAAAATTAGCCGGCTAGCTTGCGCCTGAATCCCAGCTACTCAGGAGGCTGAGGCAGGAGAATCGCTTGAACCCAGGAGGCAGAGGTTGCAGTGAGCTGAGATCACGCCACTGCACTCCAGCCTGGGCGACTGAGTGAAACTCTGTCTCAGGAAAAAACAACAACAAAAACTGGCATTAGGGGCTAGGCATGGTGATTCATGCCTGTAATCCCAGCACTGTGAGAGGCCAAGGTGAGAGGATCGCTTGAGCCCAGGACCAGCCTAGGCAACACAGTGACAGACCATGTCTCTACAAAAAAATAGAAAAATAAGCTGGGTATGGTGGCGCATGTCTGTAGTCCCAGCTACTTAGGAGGCTGAGTTGGGAGGATCACTTGAGCCCACGTGGTAGAGGCTGTAGTCAGCCATGATCACTGCACTCAGCCTGGGTGACAGAGCGAGACCCTGTCTCCAAAAAAAAAAAAAAGAATTCTTAGCTTACCAGGTGTTTTGCCTGCTATCTCTTAGGGGAAAAAAAATCAAAGCACAATTAAAGAATTATATTCTACCTCCAAGATACTTTTCTTTGGAAATGGTATCTCAAGTGATTAATATTAGCTTCCTGACAAGCTAGTCTTAATATTTGCAAAGCATCTTATATAGAAAATTGTGTCCGTTTTTTATGAAAACGTTTATTCTGTTGTATGTAGTAACAATAGCTTATATTCTGTTGTTTGCAGTGAGTAATAGCTTATAATAATAGCTAATATTTATTGAGTACTTTCTGTTGTTTTGTTTGTTTTTTGAAATGGAGTCTTGCTCTGTCACTCAGGCTGGAGTGCAGTGGCACGATCTCGGCTCACTGAAACCTCCACCTCCTGTATTCAAGTGATTCTCCTGCCCCAGCCTCCCGAGTAGCTGGGATTACAGTTGAGCACCACCATGCCCGGCTGATTGTTTGTATTTTTATTAGACATGGGGTTTCACCATGTTGGCCAGGCTGGTCTTGAACTCCTAACCTCAAGTGATCTGCCTGCCTCGGCCTCCCAAAGTGCTGCAATTACAGGAATGAGCCACCGTGCCCAGCCCTATTGAGTAATTTCTATGTGCCAGCAGTGTTATAAACACTTTATACGTATCCCATTTAATCTTCACAACAACGTATGAGGCAAATACAGTTATTACTTTTATTTTATAGGTAAGGCAATTGAGGCACAAACGAGGTTAAGTACCTTGTCCCAGAATCACCTAAAACAGGGCCAGGATACTAAACTGAGTAGTCTGGTGCCAGTGCCTGTGCTCTTGCCACCACCCAGTAGTAATCTGTGAATGTCAGGTTTCACTACTGGCCAAGGTTTTTATATCCTGTTAAGTAAGGATAATATATAAATATTATCCTTATAAATCCTATATGTAATAGGAGATATATATATATTGTAATAGGAGATATATATATATCTCCTATATGTAATAGGAGATATATATATATTGTAATAGGAGATATATATATATCCTATTATGTAATAGATTATATATGTCCTATATGTAATATCCTACATATATGTACATATATACATATATATCCTATATGTAATATATATATCCTATATGTAATATATATATCCTATATGTAATATATATATAGGATATATATATCTTATATATATCCATCCACATACACTTATATTCATTCATTATAAGGTTACCATTTTACAAAATTTCTGACCCATGAAAATCCAACAGAGAACATATTAGGTGGTGATCATAGATACATCGTCACAGTTACACATTTAGTAAATGAACGTGCAACATTTAGTGTTTGATAATCTCTGTAATAAACTTACAGGGAATTCAGAGTACTGAGAATAGCTTTGTGTTAATGGATTTTAGTAAAGATAACCACATTTTGGGGTGTTCTTTTGAGTCTTTGAGTAATACTTTCAAGAAACTGGAAAGAATTAAGGTTGAGCTACCAGTCAACTTCCCTTTCAGTGAGAAGCAAAAGAGCAATGACAGTGAAATTAAGTGACTTCACCTTTGAGGCATTTCCCTCAGTTCTGCCTTTCACCATGTTTTCATCTCACTTTGAGCATTTCCTTCATTATCTCCTTCGTTCCCTGACTTTTCACTTTAGTGTATATGGTTTCCAAATTATTATAGTCTCCTGGGCTATAAACCCACAATCTCAGCTGCCATACAATGTCCCCCAAGTATACTGATTTCATCATTTCCCCTCCAAAGATGTTTTTCTTCTACCTTTCTAGGGATTATATCATTCCATTGGTCAAATTCTCTCTCTCTTTGTCCCCACATCCAAACGCTGCCAGATTATATTACTTCTGAGAATGCTTAATTCTCCTTTCCACACCCACTGTACCAGTTTATTTCTCCATTACCTCTCTTCCAGATTATCATTGTCCCTATTGTAACCTACCTGTCTGCACTTTGGTCCCTTTCCCCTACAGCCTATCCTGCTACTGGACAAATGTATGCTTTAGAAGGTATCACTCTACCATATGTATGATAAAATCCAAATTTAAACTGACATTCAGGAGTCTCCCTGATCTGCCCACAGCTTACCTTTCCAGTTTCTTCATTGTGCCTTATTCATTCCAGATTACTTGCCATTTCTCAGACACCTTCCCCAGAAAGTGCCTTTCTCATGTCCTTACCTTGGGTCTTGTCTGCTCAACCTAGCATGCCTTTTCCCTCATTATTGTCAAAATTTTACCCGTCTTTCAAAACCTGCTTAGAACTCATCTTCTGCATAAGCTTCCCCAAATCCCTCTCCCCCATATTCTCTCATTGCTCTTTTGTATATTTGTCATAGCTGCCTGACTGGTATGCGTAAGGGAGGATGTGAATGAAACTCCTGATTTTGTCCTTATGCCCTAGAAACCTGACAGTACTCCTGATATCACCGTGGCCAACTTCCCTACCTGCACAACTGCTCCAGCCCTCTGTCACACTTCAGTGATTATTCCTCTTGACCTGTAATTGTTCAGTGGGGAGGACTGTCCCATACAGATTCACTCCCAGAGCCTTTAAAAAGTGAAGCCTTTGTGAAACAATGCTAGAATAAGAGAGAAAGTAAGGGTGACAGCAACCCAGAGGCCACAGCCAGAGTGCTAAGACCATCAAAAGATGGGAAGAGAAAAACATTTTGGCTAATGATAACGGGATATTGGGATACTTTAGTAACAATGTGGATGAATCACTTGGGTAACACAAGGATGAGGCTTAGTATGAACAAAGCGCTGTGTATTATGACAGTTTGAAACCTAATAAGGACACAAAATATAAGGCAAGTTATGATAAATGATACAAGTTCAGACTCTTCTAAGTTCTGGCCAATAACAAGTACAAACAAGGATTGTGCATCCAATGAGGATCAAAGTATCAACTTGATTGGTGGTGGAATTGATAACCCCCAACATGGCAGGCTCTCTAGTAGAAGCTTGGGGTAACTAAGGTAGATTGCCTTAAAGCAGAAATGCAACCTCTTCTTTCTCACACTAAGTTTAAATCTTGAATTCTGTGCACTTTACTGAACCTAAAAGCTGGATCTTTTAAATAGACCCCCAAGTCCGTGTGACTGTTAATGCTGTGAAGACCACAAGCCTGCCTTTTACATGCTTGACTGCAGGTCAGCACAATAGAATGGGTTGGTCTCCCTACTACATGAAATTAGGAAGTATTATAATAAAAAAGGTCCACTGGGATTGAGAGTAGACAGTGATAGGGAAACTACAAGGAGGGAAGAATTTGTGTAATGTTACTAGTAAAATGTAGACCAATGAATGTTCTGGACTTTGGCCAATCAAATTTGTCACACTTCCATGGAGTACAGAGGAAGAGTTGACAGAAGTTTCTTCCCCTTCAGACTGAGAAGTATTATTCTCTACTGTAAGTACCAAATGAAGAATAAGCAGTGTTATGGGAATTCACAGCAGACAGATCACCTCAGGATGGGATTATCTGTTTGTTTGTTTTTGTTTTTTAAAGACAGGGTCTCGTTCTGTCGCCCTGGCTGGACTGCAATGGTGCAATCATAGCTCACTGCATCCTTGACCTCCTGGGCTCAAGCAGTCCCTCTGCCTTGGCCTAGGAGTACAGGCATGAGCCACCACCCCCAGCCTTATTAGGTCATTTTTAAAGATCTCTTCCCACATGCCCTGTGGTAATGTATGCCATTAGTTGCCAAAGGCTGCTTCCTTCAAGGGCTTTCTCTCACAGAAGGATTCTAAGGCTGAAGAGACATGAGCCTCTACCACCACTAGGAGTCCCCAGAGGGACATATTCTGAATAGGAATCTGTCATAGTAAATACTGTCTTTTGGGCGGGGGGCAGCTGTTGGAGGAAACACCTGCTGAAAGGCCCCTAAGGCTTATAGACAAAGGCATGTAAATAAGTTTTCTGTAGGCCCTGTTGGAGTTTTAAAATTCTCTGAGAAGTATCTCATGTAAGTATGGTCACATAAGGTAAAGAATACTGAGTGCTATGTCAGAGTAGTCATATTGACAGTTACTAGTGAAGATAATCAAAAAGCAAATAAGGCCGGGCACAGTGGCTCATGCCTGTAATCGCAGCACTCTGGGAGGCCGAGGTGGGCAGATCACGAGGTCAGGAGTTCAAGACCAGCCTGGCCAACATAGTGAAACCCCGTCTCTACTAAAAATACAAAAATTAGCTGGGTGTGGTGGCACACACCTGTAGTCCCAGCTACTCAGGAGACTGAGGCAGGAGAATCACTTGAACACGGGAGGCAGAGGTTGCAGTCAGCCGAGACCATGCCACTCCACTCCAGCCTGGGGGAGAGTGAGACTCCGTCTCAAAAGAAAAAAGCAAATGAGAGGTTGCCAGCAGCATCTAACTAAACTAGGTACCAAACTAGATTGTTATTAGGTGTTAAAATCACTTCTTAAGTCATGTATGACGTGCATGTTAACTAATTCTTGATAATATAATTATCTTTTATATCTCACAGGCATTAAGAAGAAATGCACTCACCATGAGCACCAACTTCTGCATCTGCCTGATCATATTTAAAGGAACAGAGAAATATTTGTAATTAATCTGCCCAGTAAATACCAGCTCGTAGCAGTTGGCAGGTGCATGTCTAGATAAAATTTCTTGCAGCTAATTTAAACTTTCTACACGCACCAGTAGATAATCTCAATGTAAATAATACATTTCTTCTTGGCTCTTTAATGTAAGCCAACATGGAGAGGAAGATCTTGACTTATATTCTGTACCACATACACTTCTGTGGACTTTTAGCATTTGTGGGTAGACTTAATAAAGCATGTATAAAAGTGGCACCTTTGGTAGAACTCTGTGTTTTTCTGAAATTCAGATTAAATGTAATGATGAGTGGAATTAAGTACCAGTTTTCCCATTTAAAGCCCCAGCTGCTTATTAATTTATAGATTCTGTAGAAATTTTTTTAAAGATTTATCTAGTCTATTGTGTAGCCTCTATCTCAGGAGTGAGTTTTTATTTTCCTATGCTTATAGAGAAAAAAACATTTTCAAGGTTTTAAAATTTTACACCATTTATAAAATATTAGAGTGTATTTTTTCAGTACAAATGTTTAAAATATGAAGTTTTTTTTGAACTAAACTACAAAGAGTACTGAATTTAAAGAAAAGACCTTTATTAAGGGGCAATATGTGATCCATTCCAAATTATTTTGAAATATTAAATTTCAGTTATTCTGTGGTGTTTTCTGTCATCATCATGTTTTTGTTGTCACTCCCAAAATAAAGGGGAGGAGGGAATCACAGAGTATGTTATCTTGATAGTGAAACCTCTGCTTTTCTTGACCATTTCTGTAAGGAAAACTGCTACTCCTTTGGTACTTGCCCTAAGTTTTAACAAAATTAGTAGAAAATATTACCATGTCATTTGAATATATCATGAAAAATGAAAACTACATGAAAATCTGAAACAAAATATAACAAGTTAAGGTTGAAAATTTTCCACTGCGTGCAATGGCACAAGCCTTTAATCCCAGCTACTACTCTGGAGGCTGAAACAGGAGGATTGCTTGAGCCCAGGAGTTTAAGACCAGACTGGGCAACACAGCAAGACACCTATCTCAGAAAAAAAGAAAATAATTCACTTTCCACTTAGAGAAATTTTAGATTCACCTTTTTAAAATGAAAGGTTTTTAAAAACTGTTACTATAAATTATATAAATTACCTTCATTAATTATGTTCTTCATACTGTTTAAGAAATTTATTCTGATACAGTGCTTATAATAGGATGTTACCAAAAATATACTAAAAAAGGATTATTATAGCATTGAAAACTAACCTTAGGTTATAAGCCAAAACATTTTATAAAGTAATCTATGTTAGTCAGGTAATACAGAGTTAAGAAGTAGATTGGTTTCATATATAATTCAAGTTATATAGGTATGTGCTTAATGCTATTAAACCAGTTACTGTATGTTTGACCTCTTGATATACTAAGCTTTTGCCTTTTAGAACAGCTGGGTCTGCTGAGAATCATTTCCCAGTTCTTTTCATTGTAGATCAGATGACTCTCACTTTATCACCCTTGGAGGCCACATGAAGGACAAAGCAGAAAGATCCACACACACAACTAATGTTTATATGAGGGGAGGGGGAGTTGCAGGGGATATACTTGCCCTGATCTTCCAATGAACATAACAGAAGAGAGACCAATTGAGACTTGAAACCATTGCGTTACTTTAACCATTATTTAGTTATATCCTATCCATCTCTTTCTCTCTGTTGAACAGAGAGGTTCCTTTGGCTGCCCTGACTTTTGTAAATGTTTCACTCAATTTGTTGTGGTTTATCATTTGGACAGAATGCTACATTGGGGATTTTTCGCCCCCACTAAGTCCTCAAGGGAAAATGACTTCTGTATGCCTCATATATGATACATGAACATACACCCTATTCTCTTCATTTTAAGAAGCAAACCTAAGTTTTTTGGCAGCTGAGAAAACTGCATTTCTCAGAAATACCTCCTCCATCTAAAACGTACTTGAACATAACTTTGAAGGGCTTATTTTTTGACAGGTATATTAATGAAGAAAGTGAGGAATCTATCTTTAATATTTTTGCATAACCTATATGTATTTATATGAAAACATCCCTATAGCCCTGAGTTTAGCTAAGAGAAATGCTTTGGACCTTGCCTACTTCTGTGATAATTCATCACTGGATATTTTTGATATTTTGCTTTTTTTTGAGATGGTGTCTCACTGGTCTCAAGCGATCATCCTGTGTCAGCCTCTCAAATACAGACCGCTGTGCCTGGCCTCTGTTTCTGGTATTTTGTTTTGGTATTTTGGAACCTAATCCCTCTAAGTTCAATATAAACTCTTAAACCGGTTTTTAATAGATACGAGGGATACTTATAAGATAACTGCTACAAGTCTCTATAAAAACTATAGTGCAACTCAGTATGATTAGATTAAATCATCTGAAAAATGATTTAAGAATTTACCTATATGGTACCTTACAGAATTTACCTAGATGATACCTTGAATCAGGTGCATTTCATTTTACTAATATATGTACATAATACTTTTATTTCCAAATAATAAAGTTATGCTACTCCAATTATTTATAACTTCCTCATCATTTATCTAAGTCAACATTCTATGTTAAACACAAGTGTACTATTACAAAAAATATTTTTAAAAATAAAGCTACACCAGCCAGCCAAGATGCTGACATTTGGGCACAGTGATTACAGATGGTGACCATGGACAGCAATGTTCTTGCTGATTCGGCAGTGATTCAAGGCTGCTATTCTGCGTTGACCTGCCCTTTGAGTCTTTATGCACATTTGCTTTGAGAAAGAAACCTTTCTAGATTTTTGCTTTGTCTAAACCCACTTCCTTTACCAGACTTAGAAACACATACCTTCTTATATCAGCCTGTGACTGTCCGTGTCTAGAACCAGTTTTTTTTTGTATGTGGTTTGATTTGCACTATATTAAAATATACCACCACTTAATATAGTTTAATGGCTATCTTATGAAAGAAGAAATATATTCCTTAAAAAATGTTGATGGGAAAATGATTATCTTTATTACAGAGGCTAAAGAAAACATATCTTTATATGAGAAACTGCAACATGGATATCATGTATTATTTTTACCAGTTGAATACTATAATAAATATTGGCTTCTGCTAATACAGGGTGATACAGTATTAATAGGATGAAGTTAACATGAATCAATGCTCTGGCAGTGGTAACCCTGAACCATGTCAATAATAATATATATATAATATAATGTTTAATTAAACAGAATGGTTCTGGAAGTTTAGAACCAGTGATTATGTGTAATTTAGAAGACTTCACTCAAACCACTTAAAGTTAAGTTAAAGCTTACATTTAAATTCAGGAAAATTCATTTTTAATTGTATTAAAATATGCATTCTTGGAAATAAATAAGATTATGGTTTATTTGCCTTGTTAAAACAATCAAATTTGCATGTGTAATAAGGCATATTCAAACTTCAAGCAGTTTAAATTGCCTTCTCAGTAATTAAAAAGATTATCACAAATTTAATTCCCTAAGATATGACTTCTAAACAGTGAAATACACACTACTTGCATTCTAAAATGTAAGTTTGAATACCAAAATTAGTGATTTCCATTAAAAAGAAGGGGCTCAATTCTCCCATGAAGCTCACTATATGGTCTGATGAAGGAAGTAGGTTTAGACAAAGCAAATATCAAGAAATATTTCTCAGTTTTTTAAAGACATTTAAAAAGTGCATTTCCTGAGTAAACAATGGGATTAAGGACATGTTTCTCTTTTTTCCCCACTTGAATAGCTGTGAATAATAAAACCACATGTTTTGGCCAAGCAGTACTTAGACAAGCCTCCATTGGTCTTTGGTCTCCATATACATTTATTTTGTGTAGACAACAATGACTTTTCACCATTTCCTTTCCTGTGGTTCCATGGTTCTCAAAATGGTAATTTCATTTATACATAGCAAAAAGTTCACAAAACCTTTCAGCACTGTTCACATTTTCACATTTGTTTAGGAAACAATTTGTTTAGGAATACAGCTAGCTGATTTTCTTCTGATTTCTTCCACTTTTGGAATCCCACATAATAATAATGTTAAAGTATACCAAGAAGAACAGGAAGTTCAAGCAAGATACAAAACACACCAATACAGAAAACAAGTCCGGTAGTTTCTGAGGAGGATCCAGTGTGACAGTCATCAACGTCAGAAGCACCATAGTGATGACTGAGATAAGAAACTGCAAGGAAAAAAAGGATTACTGAGTAGTATAAAAGGTGAAATTTAAATGTGCTGGAAACATTGACTTGTAGCTATTAAATGAGCAGAATTAAAGGTGAGGGTTGAGGGTCTAATTTATTCTGGTGTATCTCAACTTTGACTTCCTATTAGAATCATATGAGGAGTTTTTAAAATCTCAATGCCCACATCACACCCCAGACCAATTAAATCAGGCCTCAGTACTTTTTAAAGCTCTCCAAGTGATTCCCATGTGTAGCCAAAACCTGAGGACCCCTGTCTTCTTATACTTCCTACCACCAAGGCACTGAACAAAGGTATCTGGGACAAATATTAATGCTAGTCAGGGTTAAATTTATAACATCCCCTGGGGTCCAACAGGATATAAAATTCTAAGCTAATGGGTACAAATGTATAGGTAGCTAGAAGAAATAAAACCTAGTGTTTGGCAGGTCAGTAGGCTGAATATAGTTAACATTAATGTACATTTTAAAATAGCTAGAAAATAATAAGTTGAATGTTCCTAGCATAAAGACATATTTTTAAGGTAATAAATAGCCCAGTTACCCCGATTTGATCTTCATGCATTACATGAATGAATAAATGAATCAAATTATCACATATACCCCCAAAATATATACATCTATTCTGTATCAATTTTTAAAATTCTAAGCTAACCTTGAGAACCCATCTGTGAAAAAGTTTTCCATGGCAAATGGAAAATTACATTTCATATTCGCTAAATGCTTTCAATGAGTAAAGCACACGAAGGCACATGAAAGAAAATGAGGTCCTCTGGCCTCAAAGAGTTTTCCATCTACTGAGGGGAATGTTAAATAAAATCACAAAGTCACACTGGCTTAAATACCAAGCTGAGTAGTAAAAATAATTAGCACATTTATTGTAGTTGTGTGGTCATCAGTTAGTGTGGTCTTCTCTAGGCCAATGTGCTATACAATAGAACTTCCTGCAGTAATGAAAATGTTTTGTCTGCACTCCAGTATAGTAGCTGCTAACCACATGTGGCTATTGGGCATTTGAAATGTACTTACTGTGACTGAGGAACAGAATTTTTATTTAAATTTAATAAGTTTAAATTTATATATATGTCTAGTGGCTACCGTACTGGACAGACTGTGACTCTAGACTGTGAGCTCCTTTAAGACAAAGACCAGCAAGATCTTACTCATTTTATCCCTAGCACAGTACACAGGTATACAAAAGCAGTATAAATAAATGTAGAAAGCAGTGAGAAACAGTAGTGACTTCCATGAAGTGGGTGGGACACAGAACCCTAAAGGATGCCTTAACTGCTGGCTACATTATGACAGTATTGGTAAGATCTAAATAGAGAGTAATGCAGTGATCATTCCAAATGGAAAAGCGAGGATAGGCGCCAAGAAAGCTTACAAGCAGATACAAACAAAGGCTGCCAGTGTCGTTAAAGGAAAAATTCCTGAGGCAACCTTAGTGGGAAGTGCAAACATCTGGAATGAAATCTTTAAAATAAAAGTTTCAAACTTAAGAAATATGGGACTGGTTGAAATGTCATAATACCACGATCTTGAGTCAGTGTTAAACAGAACAAAAACCCTCTCTTGCTCCAACTATTACCCCATTTGTCTGCTCCTATTTACACTTGTTTCCCAAAACAGTTGCCTATAAACATGCTGTGTCCAGTCTTCATCCCATTCACTAGTGAACCCATACCAATTGGGCTTTCACCCTAATCACGATGAAACTGCTATAGTCAAACATCCATAATGACCTCCAGTGTAGTAAATCCCATGGTCAGTTCTTACTGCCTTACTTGATTCTCTCATTAGCATTTGAAATCACTCTCCTCTCACTGAAACACTTCGTTCACTTGGCTTCCATGACATCATACTCTTCTGGTTCTCCTATCTCACCCAGTTAATTCTTAGACATCTTTGCTGGTTCCTCATGTCCCCTACGTCTGCATTCTGGGGCTTCGTACCTATTCCTCTTATTAATCTATACTCATACCCTTAGTGAGTCATCCAGTAATATGACTTTAATTACCAACTATATGTAAAGACTCAACTTCGTCTCCAGCCTGGCCCTTTCCCCTAAACCAGGGTTGTCCAATCTTTTGGCTTCCCTGGGCCACACTGGAAAAAGAAGAATTATCTTGGGCCACACATAAAATACACCAACACTAACGATAGCTGATGAGTTTTTAAAAATATCGCAAAAAAACTCCAGGTTTTAAGAAGTTTATGAATTTGTATTGCACTGCATTCAAAGCCAGCTTCAGTTGCAGATTGGACAAGCTTGCGCTAAACTCTGGACTCATATATCCAGGTACTTCTTAATATCTCTACTTGGATATCTAATAGGTATCTAAAACTAAACATGTAAAAAACTCTTGGTCTCCTCATACTCCCGACTGCCCCCACCACACACAAAGTTCCTTCAACATGCTTCCTCCAATTCGGTAAATGGCAACCCCACCCATTCAGTTATGTATGCCAAAAACCTTGGAGTCATCTTGAACACCTCTCTTTCACAACCCCAGCAATTCCTGTTGGCTCTACCTTCAAAATATATAAAAAATCTGACCATTTCTAACCACTTCCACTGCTACCCTGGTCCACAGCACCATCATCTCATGGATTCCATTATCCACAATCTGTTCTCCACATAGCTACCATAGGGACCTTTTAAAAATGTAAGTCAGATTCTAGTCCCATTATAAGAAACTACACTGTTACCTCTCTAATCTTAGGTCCTATTATTTCTTTCCCTCACCCAGCTCCAATCACTATGACCTCCATGATGTTCACTGCATTTGCAGTTTTTCTCTTCTAGGATGTTCTACCCTCAATTATCTGCAGTTTACTTCCTTTGGTTCTTTGCTCAAGAAAGCCCTGCCACTTTAAAATTGCATTCATCCCTCCTGCATATCATATCGATTTCTCCCTTGCTTTGTTGTTCTCCATAGCACTTATCACCCTCTGACATGCCATATATTTTACATATGCTGGTGCTGGATTTCTCCACTAGAATGCAACCTCCATGGGAGCAGGGATTTCTGTTAGTTTTGGTCACTACCGTATCCTCAGCCTCCAGAACAATGCTTGCATATAGTAAGTGCTCAAAAACTATTAAAGAACAAATAAATCTGGGAGCCCATAGCGGTCCTCACCTTAAGATTACTGGACCAGATTGTGAATATCACAATAGGGCTAGATTTTGACATACACTCAGGAATCTGGGCCTATACTAACAAAAAATGAACTTTATATCTACTTTCCATTTGAACCCCTGAGTAAAGTTAATCCTCTCCTTGTCTTTCCTGTTCACCTCTTAACTTCCTACCTCCCACACCACTATCCTCCATGGTCATTACCTAAAGTGCAAAACCCTCAGGACACCCATTCAACTCTGCCCTGAGAATACCTGCCTTGTCTTCCTACAAGATCTAAATATAAAATATCTCCTTTGAAACCTTCCCCTACACTCCCCTAATAGAGTTAGTCATTCTTTTCTCTTTGTTATCTGGGTACTTTGGGCAATCCTCTATGTAGTACTCAAAAATATAAATAAGTATAGCCTGTTGGGCTGGGCGCGGTAGCTCACGCCTGTAATCCCAGCACTTTGGGAGGCTGAGGCGGGTGGATCACGAGGTCAGGAGTTCGAGACCAGCCTGGCCAATATGGTGAAACCCCGTCTCTATTAAAAATACAAAAATTGGCAGGGTGTGGTGGCACGTGCCTGTAGTCCCAGCTACTCAGGAGGCTGAGGCAGAAGAATTGCATAAACCCAGGAGGTTGAGGTTGCAGTGAGCCAAGTTCGTGCCATTGCACTCCAGCCTGGGCAACAAGAGTGAAACTCCATCTCAAAAAGAATAAAATAAAAAATAAAAATTAGGCAAGCATGATGGTGCATGCCTATAATCCTAGCTACTCAGGAGGCTGAGGAAGGAGGATCACTTGGGCCCAGGAGTTCCAGGTTGCAGTGAGTTAAAAATGCACCACCGCACTCCCGCCTAGGCAACAGAGTGAGATCCTGTCTCAACAACAACAACTTCATAACATTTGTAGTAGTTGTCAAATATTCCGTGGAGCTTATATACTTATTCATGTATCATTTTTCAACTACTGGATAATTGAGCTGCCTCTAATTTTTCATTATAATAATTAGATGAATATTCATTCATTCAACAAACAAAAATCAGAGCACCTATTCTTTGTGAGGCACTGATAGATGCTACAGATAAAATGGCATGTATAAAATGCAGAGTTCTTGACCTCAAATACATTGCAATCTAGCATTTTAGCCTTGAATGTAATGTGATATGCCTTAAATATATGAACTTTATGAGTAGACAAAGACGTCACATGAAAACTACATGTTAGTGTCTCTTATGAATATAAATGCAAAAATCATCAACAGAATACTGTCAAACTGAAGCCAGTGGCAGATAAAAAGAATTATACACCATGATCCAGTAGGATTTATCCTAGGAATTCAAGGTTAGTGTAACATACAAAAATCAATCAATGAAATATGTCATATAATAGAATAAAAGAAAAAAAACACACATGACCAAAGATGCAGAAAAAGAATTAGACAGAATCCAGCATTTTTTCATGAGAAAAACATGTAAACTAGGAATTGAAGAGAACTTCCTCAACCAGATAAAAGACATCTATTTTAAAAAGCCCACAGTTAACATCATAGTTAATGGTGACAGACCAGATGCTTTCCCTCTAATATCAAGTAAAAGAGAAGATGTCCACTCTTGTTACCTGTATTCAACACTGTCTTATAGGTCCTAGGGCAATTAGGCAAGTAAGAGAAATAAAAGATAAAAGTCATCCACATTAGAAAGGAAGAAGTAAAACTCATGGTTTGCAGATTACATTATCTTGTATATTGAAAACTGTAGGAAATCCATTAAAAACCTATGCCGAAGAATACAAGTTGAATATACAAAAATATATTTGTATATAGTAGCAATGAACATTATGAAAATGAAATTAAGAAAACAATTCCTTTACAATAGCATCATAAAGAATTATGCTTTAGGATCATTCGTTATACTTAAGAATAAATTTAACAAAAGAAGTCCAAAACTTATACACTGAAAACTACAAAACATTGTTGAAAGAAATTAAATATCTAAATAAATGGAAACACATCCTGTGTTTGTTCATTGGAAGACTAAATATTAAGACGGCAATATTCATGGTGAAACTCCGTCTCTAAAAAAATTAGCCGGGTGTGGTGGCACAGGCCCATAGTCCCAGCTATTAAGGGGGCTGAGGTGGGAAGACTGCTTGAGCCTGGGAGGCAGAGGTTGCAGTGAGCCAAGATCACACCATTGCACTCCAATCTGGGCAACAAAGTGAGACCTTGTCTCAAAAAAATAAAGCAATATTCCACAAATTGATATGCAGAATCGACTCAGTCCCTATCAAAATCTCAGCTGAGTTTTGGGAGAAAACTGATGAACTTCTAAAAATAATATGAAAATAAAGGGATGTAAAATAGATAAAACAATCTTGTAAAAGAACAAAATCAGTGGACTTGCATTTTCAATTTCAAAACTAACTACAAAGCTACAGTAAACAAGACAGTATGGCAGTGGCATAAGGATAGACATATAGATCAATGGAACAGAACTGAGATTCCAGAAATAAACCCTTACATTTAAGAACAACTGATTTTCAACAAGAGTGCCAAGACAATTCAATGGAACTGAAATAATTGAATAAAGTCAGACTCCTACCTCACACCATATACAATATTAACTCAAAGCAACTCAAAGGCATAGATTTAAAAACTATAAAACTCTTAGAAGAAAATACAGGGGTAAATATTTGTGACCACTGGTTATACAATGGTTTCTTAGATATGACACCAAAAGCACAACAAAAGAAAAAAATAGATATACTGGATGTTATCAAAATCAAAACTTTTCTGCTGCAAATGATACCATCAAGAAAGTGAAAAGGCAACACACAGAATGGGAGAGGATATTTGCAAGTTAAATATCTGGTAAGGAACTCATATCAAGAATATATATTAAAAAAACTCTTACAACTCAAAAAGACAACCCAGTTTAAAATGGGCAAAGGATTTGAATAGGCATTTCTCCAAAGAAGATATACAAATGGCCGATAAGCACATGAAAAGATGTTCAACATCATTAGTCATTAGGGAAATGCAAGTCAGCACTCCAATGAAATACCACCTCACACCCACTAGGATGGTTATAATTAAAAAGACAACAAATGCTGTGAAAGATGTGAAGAAATTAGAACCCTCACACATTGTTGGTGAGAATGAAGAATTGTGCTGCACTTTGGAAAACAGTTTGGCAGTTTCTGAAGATGTTAAACATAGAATTACCATATGATCTAGCAATTCTACTCCCAGGTATACACATAAGGGAAATGAAAACATATGTGCACTCAATACCTTGTAAACAAATGTTCACAACAGCATTATTATATTCATAACACTAAAAAAGTAGAAACAACTTCATGTCCATTAATTCATGAATGGATAAACAAAATGTGGTATATCCATATAATGGAATATAATTTGGTAATAAAAAGGAATAAAGTACTGATATATGCTATAACAAATGAACCTCAAAAATATGCTAAGTGACTGGGCGCAGTGGCTCATGCCTGTAATCCCAGCACTTTGGGAGGCCAAGGCCGGCAGATCATGAGGTCAGGAGTTCAAGAACAGCTTGGCCGACATACTGAAATCCCATCTCTACTAAAAATACAAAATTTAGCTGGGCATGGTGGCGCATGCCTGTAGTTCCAGCTACTAGGGAGGCTGAGGCAGGAGAATTGCTTGAATCCAGGAGGCAGAGGTTGCAGTGAGACAAGATCATGCCACTGCACTCTAGCCTGAGTGACAGAGCAAGACTCTGTCTCAAAAAAATAAATAAATACACACACACACACACACACACACACACACACACTAAGTGAAAGAACCGAGTCATAAAGACCACAATTTTATTATCCCATGTTATGGACTGAATTAAAATTCATATGTTGAAGCCCTAACCCCCAATGTGACTGTTATTTGGAGATATAGCCTTTTAGGAGGTAAATAAGGTTAAATTAGATGATAAGAATGGGGCCCTAATCCAGTAGTACTGGTGTCCTTACAAGAAAAGGAAGAGACAACAGAGGTCTCTCTCCATGTGTGACACATAAAGCAGAGACCTTCTACAAGCCAGGAAGAGAGGCCTCACCAGAAACCAACCCTGATGGTAGAACCTTGATCTTGATCTTGAACTTTTAGTCTCTAGAACTGTAAGAAAATAAATTTCTGTTGTATTTTGTTATGGCAGCTATCACAGACTAATACATTCCATTTATATGCAATGTCCAAAGTAGGCAAATCTAAAGAGGCAGAAACTGGCTGTCCAAGGAAGGGAGTTAGGAGTGAGAATAGAATTGGGAATGAATGCTAATGGGTACAGAATTTCTTCTGGGAGTGACAAAATAATGTAAAATTAGATGATGGTGATAGTTGTGCAAATCTGTTTACATACTTAAAACCACTAAGTTGTATACTTTAAATGAGTGGATTTATGTGAATTATATCTCAAAAAGGTATAAAAGAAAATCACTACTTCAATAATTTTTTAAAATAGTGACATGCTGAAAAATGTGTCATTTCTTAAAAATTGAACTTACCAAATATTGTATAATTCTGGAAAGAAATGTAAAACATGGAAGATATTTCCTCACAGAAATGGAAAAGGATTTCAACTGCAGTTCTTCTTCAGAAGTCTTTTCAAATATTGAAAAGGAAGTTACACAAGCTATAAAAAATGCCATTGTTGTCACAACAGAGGGCATTAGGAGTTCATCCTTCAATAGAAGAGGTAGCATACTGTAAAGGAAAATTTTTAAAAATCACAAGAGAATTATCAATTCAAACCATAACCACTTCATAAAAAAGTTTTAAATTAGTTTACAAGAATTATACTGAAAATATATGGAAATTGATATGACTTACCTAAATGTTGACACAAGTAAAAACCAAGTAGACATAAAAGGAATTTCACTTAAAACTAAGCAGACTGGTCTAAAATCGTAAAGAAAAAAATATTTTAATATTACAGAATATAACTTCAACTCCTAATTGTAAAAAATATAAATACATTTTATCTGTCTGATTTTCAGCGGTAGCTTAAAAACAGCCAGGAAGGTCTTCATATGGACTACTGATTCATTTTGTTAACAGTCCAGACTAAATTAGCCTAGACACAGGCACAGAGGTGTCAACTCCTCATAATAATTGGAAAACTGCTGCTTCCAGTATGCCGTTAATGGAACTTTTTTTCTCTATCATACAAACAAGTAGCTTAAGAAAAGGATCAGATAAACAAATCTGAGAAGGCTTTGTCACATATTTCGTAGTACTTGGTAAATATGAATTCCCAGTATTGTTTTCAAACATCTCTTTTATGTTCTTTCATGTTACATATTACTCCGCTAAGTTAAAACTAAAGATATGGCAGACAACATCATCATGCCACTGGAGAGGACAAGAGAGACAAGAGGATAAAGGAAAACAAATTGATAATAATAAAATTAAAAGGAGGAAGAAATTAGTAGGAAGAGCTACATAAAAAGGGAAATAGTATAGGAACAGGAAGCACAATGCCAATAAACAGAACCACTGGCTTTATCAAAGAATTGTTTAGGGGCCAGGCACAGTGGCTCAGGCCTGTAATCCCAGTACTTTGGTAGGCCAAGGCTGGTAGATCACTTGAGGTCAGGAGTTCGAGACCAGCCTGGCCAACATGGTGAAACCCCATCGCTACTAAAAATACAAAAAAAATTAGCTGGGCTTGGTGGTGCGTGCCTGTAATCCCAGCTACTTGGGAGGCTGAAGCAGGAGAACTGCTTGAACCCGGGAGGAGGAGGTTGCAGTGAGCTGAGATCACACCACTGCACTCCAGCCTGGGCAACAGAGTGAGATGACAGGGCGAGACTCCATCTCCAAAAAAAAAAAAAAAAAAAAAAAGTTGTTTAGGGTCATAGCTCTAAGCCCTGTAACCTCCTTACCACAACTCCTGCTCCAGTACCTTTGGGATTCAATTGTGGCAATGCTCAAAGAAGGAGCATTGCTAGTGTGAAGCCCTGAGTCCTGGTCCCCATGTTTGCCCTTTATTTACTGTGTGACCTTGAGCAAATGATTAATCTATTTTCTTAAGTGGAAATGGAAATAATAATAATACCCTGTATTCTTAAATAGTTGAAAGAACTCTTTGCAGGTATCATCTAGTGTTTACTTTTTTAAAATACAATAAACTTTCCTAATGATGGTGGTTGTTGAATAATTGTTATCATTATTTTGAATCTCTTTATTTTAAAAAGTGCTCTATAAAGATTTGGGCATTCTCCCCCTTTCCCAGAAGGATGACTTTTTCCTATGTCAACTAATATATGAGATTTAAACCCTGGGATTATAAACTGAAAACTACTAAAAGAAATTACTAGGCCGGGCGCAGTGGCTCACACCTGTAATCGCAGCACTTTGGGAGGCTGAGACAGGCGGATCACGAGGTCAGGAGTTCAAGACCATCCTGGCCAACATGGTGAAACCCCGTCTCTACTAAAAATACAAAAAAAAAAAAAAAAAAATTAGCTGGACACGGTGGTGCGTGCCTGTAATCCCAGCTACTCAGGAGGCTGAGGCAGGAGAATTGCTTGAACCAGGGAGTCGGAGGTTGCAGTGAGCCGAGATCGTGCCACTGCACTCCAGCCTGGTGACAGAGCAAGACTCCATCTCAAAGAAAGAAATTACTAGAGGACTTTCCATTTCACTGCTTGAGAATGGACGCATATTAATAGCAAGCTCATTGAAGGTGCTCAATAAATACTGTTTTCTCTTTCTGGTTTAATTCTTTCCCATTTATGCATTCAATATTTATTTACCAAACACAAGCATTGACAAAAAATGTATTACAGCCGGCGCAGGGGCTCACAACTGTAATCCTGGCACTTTTGGAGGCCAAGGTGGGAGGATCACTTGAGCCCAGGAATTCAAGACCAGCCTAGAGAATATAGCAAGACACCACCTCCACAAAAAATTTACAAATTAGCCTGGCATGGTGACGCACGCCTGGGGTACTTGTTACTTGGGAGGCTGAAGTGGGAGGCTCACTTGAGCCCAGGAGTCCGAGGCTGCAGTGAGCTATGACCATGTCACTTTGCTCCAGCCTGGGTGACTAAGTGAGACCTTGTCTCTTAAAAAAACTTACTACATATAAGCACTGCTCTGAAAGGAATACAAAGATGATTATAACTCAGCTCCTAACCTCAAAGTACTTACAATTCATCACCAAACAGTGAAATGCCCTACATCCTCAACCTCTTCTCTGAACCCCTCCCTTTACCACCTTGTTTGAAACAATGCCTGGCTCTCTCCTCTGAGGACAGTACTGCCCTCTGCCCTCTCAACTGTGCCTGTTTTTGTTGTTTCCACAGTCTTCAAGTGACTTGGCCTGATGGTGGGAAGTAACCTCCTTGATCTTCCTCACTACTTTCCTACCAGTTCTCCCTCTCTCCACCCTAATAATCTCCAGCTTTGAAACTCTTCTCATCACACTTTATCCCCGATTATTCCCCATCTTGTAAATACTGACCAACCACAGGGCCGCTTCCTCCATTACCCAAAGATTTCAACTCCTTTCTCACTATCACTCTCTACAAACTGACTTAATTCTTGGCAATTTTAACATATACATAGATCTTCCCTCTCATTTGCTATAACGCCTCTCTTCTAGTGATCTCATCTTTAATCCTGTCCCTTACGGTCATACTTTAGACTGCACCTCCTCCATGACTCTCACCACTATCTCCTGCCTTTTGGATATTCCAACTCCGACAATCTTTTGATCCTACCGAGATCTTCAATCCATTGTTCCTACCACGTTTTCACTTTCCCTCATCGCTTCGATGGCCTTTTCCCTTTTTACCTACCTTAAATTCTAAGGTCAATCATTATAATCACTCCCATACATTCACTCTTAAGCCCTCAAGCAAGGGAGTTATCCTCACCAGACAAAACCATAAACCTGGAAATACTCAACTCTCCACCAGTGCTTACTCCAACCATACTGAACAACTGCTCAAGAGAAAAACAGCTACCCATACTAACTGGTCTCACTTTAAATACATGATCATGATATTCAAGTGCCCTGCAATTACTATATATTTCCCTGATCTGTTTACACTCTGTCTCTCCTTAGAAAATGTTTCACACTTCTCCCTCCTACTTCCAACAGCTTCAACCCACTCTTGGCTAATGACTTTCCCTCTCACTTCAATAAGAAAACTGAAGCAGTTAAAACAGAACTTTCACAGATGCCCACCATCACATTTACTCCCTTCCCAGCATCTCTACCAATATAGCCTGTTCACCCCTTTTACTAAAGAGGAACTCTTCACACATCTGTCCAATGCCAATTCTTCCATTTGTGCTCTAGATCCTACCCCATCTCCCTTTCCCAATGACAGTGCTCCAGCAGCTCCTCCTCTTGAGATCCTGTACCATCAGCTTTCCTTCTCTGCTGATCATTCCCCTGCCTTTATTGCTCCTCTCTTAAACAAACAAACCTATCTTGACCCCATTTTCTCTACCAGTTATTGCCCTATTTTTCTGCTTCCTTTTTCAACAAAACTCCTCTGAAGAACAGTCTACCTTCCTCACACCATATATAAAAACTCAACTGGGCACAGTGGCTCACGCCTGTAATCCCAGCACTTTGGGAGGCCAAGGCAGGCAGATCACTTGAGGTCAGGAGTTCGAGACCAGCCTGACCAACATAATTAAATCCCTGTCTCTACTAAAAATACAAAAATTAGCCAGCTGTTGTGGCGGGCAACTATAGTCCCAGCTACTTGGGAGGCTGAGGCAGGAGAATCTCTTGAACCTAGTAGGTGGAGGTTGTAGTGAGCTAAGATTGCACCACTGTACTCTAACCTCGGTGACAGACCGAGGCTCTGTCTCAAAAAAAAAAAAAAAAAAAAAATTAACTCAAAATGGATCAAAGACATAAATATAAGAGCTAAATCCATAAAACTCTTAGAAGGAAAATGAGGGTAAATCTTTATTTCCTTGAGTTTGGCACTGGTTTCTTAGATATATATCAAAAGTACAATCAAAAGACAAGATAGGTAAATTAGACTTCATCAAAATTAAAAACTTTTGTGCATCAAAAGAACACTATCAAGAGGGTAAAAAAGACAACCCAAAGAATGGGAGAAAATATTTGCAAATCATATATCTGATAAAGGCTAGTACCCAGGATACATAAAGAACTCCTAAAACTCAAAAAATGACAACCCAATTAAAAATTGGGCAAAACGGCCAAGCGCAGTGGTTCACGCCTGTAATCCCAGCACTTTGGGAGGCCGAGGCGGGTGGATCACGAGGTCAGGAGTTCAAGACCAGCCTGGCCAACATAGTGAAACCCCATCTCTACTAAAAATGCAAAAATTAGCCAGGTGTGGTGGCACGCGCCTGTAGTCCCAGCTACTCGGGAGGCTGAGGCAGGAGAATCACTTGAACCCGGGAGGCGGAGGTTGCAGTGAGCTGAGACCGTGCCATTGCATTCCAGCCTGGGTGACAGAGCGAGACTCCGTCTCAAAAAAAAAATAGGCAAAGGATTTAAATAGGCTTGTCTCTGAAGAAGATAGACATATTGTGCCAACAAGCACATAAAGAGATGTTCAATATCATTAGTAATTAGGGATATGCAAATCAGAATCACGATGAGATACCACTCATATCCACTAGCATGGCTATAATCAAAATGATGGAAAATAACAAGTGCTATCAAGGATATGGAGAAATTGAAGCCTTCATATATTATTAGTGGGAATGTTAAGTGGTGCAGCCACTATGGAAAAGTCTGGTGGTTCCTCAATAAGTTAAATACAGAATTGCCATGTGACTCAGCAATTCTACTCCTGAGTATAGACTCAAACAAAAACTTGTACATGAATATTCACAGTGGCACTATTCACAACAGCCAAAACATGGTAACAACCCAATGTCCATCAACTGAGGAATGATGAACAAAATGTAGTGTATCGATACAATGCAATACTATTCAGGCATAAAAAAGAATACAGTTCTGATACAACATGGATGAACCTTGAAAATATTAAGAAGCTAGACACAAAAGACCACATATAATATGATTCCATTTATATAAAATATCCAGAATAGACAAATCCACAGAGATTTGCAGAAAGCAGATTAGTGGTTAGAGGGACTCGGGGAAGGGAAAATGGAGAGGGACTGCTTTGGGTATGGGATTTCCTTTTGCGGTGATGAAGATGTTCTGGAGGTAGATAGTGGTGATGCTTGCACAACAGTGTGAATGTACTAATTGACAATGTAACATTTATGCTATGTGTACTTTAACACAATTTTAAAAATATAATTTTAAATATTTCTTTTAAAAAATGAATTATCAGCCAGGCGCAGTGGCTCATGCCTGTAATCCCAGCACTTTGGGAGGCCAAGGCAGGGGAATCAGTTGAGGTCAGGAATTCGAGACCAGCCTGGCCAACATGGTGAAACCCTTTCTCTTCCAAAAATACAAAAATTAGCTGGGCGTGGTGGTGTGCGTCTGTAGTCCCAGCTACTGGGGAGGCTGATGTGGGAGAATCGCTTGAACCCGGGAGGCAGAGGCTGCAGTGAGCAAAGATCACGCCACTGCACTCTAGCATGGGTGACAGAGTAAGACCCTGCCTCAAAAAAAAAAAAAAAAATTGCATTATCCCTACTTGTCTTTAGTTCTTCTCCTCTCATTTTTTCTATTTTTGTTTCCTTTGTTTTTTGAGACGGAGTTTTGCTCTCGTTGCCCATGCTGGAATGCAATGGTGCAATCTTGGCTCACCGCAACCTCCACCTCCTGGGTTCAAGCAATTCTCCTGCCTCACCCTCCCGAGTAGCTGGGATTACAGGCATGCATCACCACACCCAGCTAATTTTGTAATTTTAGTAGAGACAGGGTTTCTCCATATTGGTCAGGCTGGTCTTGAACTCCCAACCTCAGATGATCCACCCGCCTGGGCCTCCCAAAGTGCTGGGATTACAGGCATGAGCCACTGTGCCCGGCCCATTTTTTCTTAACCCTACCTAATCAGGCTTCTCCGTGCATTGCTCCACCAACACTGGCCCCACCAAAGTCACCAGTGACTTCCATATTGCTAAGGCAAATAATATATTCCCAGCCCTCATCTTATTTGACCTATAAGCAGCATCTGATGCAACTTACCACCTCATTTCCTTAATACACCTTCTTTTATATATATATATTTATATATATATTTATATTTATATATATATTTATATATATATTTATATTTATATATATATTTATATTTATATAGATATATATTTATATATATTTATACTTATATATATTTATATTTATATAGATATATATTTATATTCCTATAGATATATATTCATATATAGATATATATTTATATCTATATAAATATATATATTTATATATATATTTATATCTATATAAATATATATATTTATATATATATTTATATTTATATAAATATATATTTATATTCATATAGATATATATTTATATAAATATAAATTCATAGTTATATATATATTTATATTTATATATATTTATATATTTATTTATATATTTATATATATTTATATTTATATATTTATATATTTATTTATATAGATATTTATATAAATAGATATTTATATATAAATTATATATATACATATATGTATATATATATACTTTAAGTTCTGGGATACATGTGCAGAACATGCAGGTTTGTTACATAGGTATACACGTGCCATGGTGGTTTGCTGCACCCATCAACCTGTCATCTACATTACGTATTTCTCCCTAATGCTATCCCTCCCCTAGCCCCCACCCCCCAACAGGCCAGTGTGTGATGTTCCCTTCCGTTTCCATGTGTTCTGATTGTTCAACTCCCACTTATGAGTGAGAACACGTGGTGTTTGGTTTTCTGTTGCTGTGTTAGTTTGCTGAGAATGATGGTTTCCAGCTGCATCTGTGTCCCTGCAAAGGACATGAACTCATCCTTCTTTTTGGCCGCATAATATTCCATGGTGTGTATGTGCCACATTTTCTTAATCCAATCTATCATTGATGGGCATCTGGGTTTGTTCCAAGTCTTTGCTATCATGAATAGTGCTGCAATAAACATACATGTGCATGTGTCTTTATAGTAGAATGATTTATAATCCTTTGAGTATATACCCAGTAATGGGATTGCTAGGTCAAATGATTTCTAATCCTTTGGGTATATACTCAGTAATGGGATTGCTGGGTCAAATGGTATTTCTGGTTCTAGATCCTTGAGGCATCACCACACTATCTTCCACAATGGTTGAACTAATATACACTCCCACCAACAGTATAAAAGCATTCCTATTTCTCCACAAACTCTCCAGTATCTGTTGTTTCCTGACTTTTTAATGATCACTGAGGCAGGAGAATCGCTTGAACTAGGGAGGCGGAGGTTGTGGTGAGCCAAGATCACGCTATTGCACTCCAGCTTGGGCAACAAGAGCAAAACTCCATCTCAAAAATAATAATAAAATAAAATAAAATTGCAACCGCTACCTGCATCCCATCCTCCAGTACTCCTAATTACTCTTGCTCTGTTTTATTTCTCCATCATGGTATTTATTACCTTCTAACACACTCACTTCTTTTTTTTTTTTAATAAGTGTCTATCTTTAAGAATGATAGCTAAGAAGGCAGGGATTTTTGTCTGGAATATATCCCATGTGCACAAAACAGTGCCTGATAAATAGAAGGCACTCAATAAATATTTACTGAATGAAATATTTGTTTAATGATATGATTAGCTGGGACCAGGTCAAAAGGAACTTTTATTTAATTTTTTTTTTTTTTTTGAGACAGAGTCTCAGTCTGTCGCCCAGGCTGGAGTGCAGTGGTGCAGTCTCAGCTCACTGCAACCTCCACCTCCTGGGTTCAAGCAATTCTCCTGCCTCAGCCTCCCAAGTAGCTGGGATTACAGGTGCCCGCCACCATGCCCGGCTAATTTTTTTGTATTTTTAGTAGAGACAGGGTTTCACCGTGTTAGTCAGGATGGTGTCGATCTCCTGACCTCATGATCTGCCTGCCTCAGCCTCCCAAAGTGCTGGGATTACAGGCTTGAGCCACCAGGTCCAGCCCAAAAGGAACTTTTAATGCAAACTGTAAAACCATTTACCAAAAATAGATTAAAGCCATGCACTGTTACAAATAATCTAGGTGCATTTGTAAAAAATGAACCCCTAGAAGTTCAGTGTCTGAGAACTAATCTGGTCAGATTATAGGTCCTGAATGAGCTGCCTTTCTATGAGTATAAATTCTGGGGAAATATATTAATACATGTTTGAAAGTAATGCCTCTCCACAGTTTCATCCCCTGGTACCAGTGATTTGTGTAGGGTCAGCCTAGCCTCATACAATAGTGGTAAGCTCTAACTCAGGTTTGGGCCTCAGAGGATGGCATTAAGCAGTCTTCCCAGTCTACAATGATATGAGACTGTTTTATTTAGAGCCAAGAAGCCTTCCACACAGGCCAGCCCAGCTCTGCACGAAGGTTTTAGTCCAAAGCTCCACCTAATAAAAGCAATACTGCCTGCCATTTGTCATTGGTCATTCTGTACATGTATCTTCCACAGGATCCTAGTGAACATAGGGTGAGGGGTAGAGCAGTAGTGGGTTGGGATTGACCTAGAGGAGGATTTCAGTATTCCAAAGGGTTCTATGTGAATACTATTTTAATATTAGGATATCATACTCCCAGCTGTCATCCACTGCTTTCTATGAACATCAGGAAAAAAATTTAATGCTTCTAAAACAAAGTAGTCTGGTTACAGATTGCCAATAGGGCCTAAACTAAGCTTGTGGCAAAAAAAGAGAAAGAAGGCAACATACAAAAGACCCCATGGAAGTAAATGGAAAGAAGAAGGCTACCGAATAGATGTGGAAATGAATGAAATGAAAAAGCAAAGATGACAAACAGGCTCCAATCTGATGAAAACCTCTTTGAAGGATATATTTTTTATTAGCATGTAGAAAATATAAGTGAAGGAACAGGAAGAAATTACTATTATGTCAATAACATTCTACCAAAATTTTTCAGTTTAAAATACACTTTATAAAGAAAATCAAAAATTCTGGAAAAAAACCTGACTATGAAATCATTTTATGCAAAGATATAACATTTGTGTAGTTTTGTTTTGCATTCAAATGTATATTTGTATGTAAATTATAAAGTTATATTATAAACAAATAAACACATATTTCAAATGTTTCTACTTACAGTGACACCAAGAGAATGGATTTTTCATGTACTTGGAAAGAAAATAAAAAGAATGATAGCGCACAGCTAACCTTTAAGAAAAAAGGGGGGGAAATGAGATATAACAACTTGTGAAATAGCATATCAAGTTAATTATAGAATCTAAATAAAAATCATTTCAAATGAAAGTTGAAAGTTTATTAAAGCTCTATTTAGAAGTAAAATACAAACAACACTAGTATGCATATTTTAATCAAATTAAAAAATTGACATATTTTTTCAAAAAACAATGATTATAAAGCTTTATTTAACCATCTAAGTTCATCATAACTCAGTTATTAATAAACAGAACTAGTAAATACCTCAGACACAACAATCATACATTCATCCTCCCCTGGAATCTCAGACAACTTAAATTTAAAACCATGAAAGACAAGAAGGTCAGAATCTAAAACCGGCAAAACAAATCTATTTTGGTGTTTTAAAACATGCACTTCAATAAAATATATTAATGTTTTATAAATTAATAATGTGCTATTTAGAGTTTAAAAAAAATTATCTATTTTGAGAAGTTTATATTCTGCAAATTAGATATGGATAACTATCCAGTTGCTCAAGCAAAAACCTTGAATCTTATCCATGCTACACATCTAACCCATCAGCAAATGCTATCTACAGCACCTCCTAAATACAATATCCATCCACTTCTCTCCATTCCCCTCTGCTAAGGGTGGCAGAGGAGTGGTCTAAGCCACCCTCCATCTTTGTAGTAGTGCAATAATCTCCTAATTGGTAACACTCCTGCCTCCTGATAGTCCATTCTCCAAACAGCTACCATATCAGATCATGTAATTTTCCTGTTTAAAATCCTCCAATAGCTTCCTATTATACTTAGAAAAAAATCCCAATGCCTACAAGATCTGGTTCCTGCCTTCCCTTCCAACTCATCTCTTGTATCTCCCTCACTCATTTTACAGCAGCCACTTCATTCATCTCCTTTTGCCAAATGTGTTCCTGCCTTAAGGAAAAATATGATTCTATCAAGTCAGGGCCCAGATCTTCTTGTGATTGGCTCCTTCTGGTTGGTCATTCACTTCTTGGCTCAAATACTATTTTAATATTTAATATTTATAAATATTATTATTTAATAATTTAATAATTTATTAAATATTAAATTATTAAATTTAATATTTAATAATAAAGCTACTCAGAAAAACCCTAAACTATAGAAACCTTCTCTAGAAAGGTTTCCTTTACTCAATCTAAGTGTCCCCTAACCTCATTCCATCAGCTCTCTTTTCACATAACACTACTTTTTTTTTTTTTTGAGATGGAGTTTCACTCTTGTTGCCCAGGCTGGAGTGCAGTGGCGCAATCTCCACTCGCCGCAACCTCCGCCTCCCAGGTTCAAGCGATTCTCCTGCCTCAGCCTCCCAGTAGCTAGGATTACAGGCATGAACCACGACGCCTGGCAAATTTTGTATTTTTAGTAGAGACAGGGTTTCTCCATGTTGGTCAGGCTGGTCTTGAACTCCCAACCTCAGGTGATCCACCTGCCTCGGCCTCCCAAAGTGCTGGGATTACAGGTGTGAGCCACCGTGCCCGGCCAACACTACTTTCTTCATAGCACTCATTACTCCCAGATGCTTTCTTGTTAATGGATTTATCTTGTTTATTGTCCCTCTCCTGCCACTAGCATGGAAGGCCCCAAGTAAGAGAGCAGGGATGTCATCTGTCATTCCTTTACATGCCAGTACCTAGAGGAGGACCTGGCATATGAGAAGGCACTCAATACCTGAAAAATTAAATATAAATCCTTTTGCTGCTATACATGCACCAGTATTCATGCTATCAGTTACCTCAATTATAGATTTATATTGAGATATAATTCAGGCAAACATGATTGAAAGGAAAATACTTTTAAAACAATTATAATGGGAAATGTTCTTAAAACTCTCAGAAGTATACAATAAGAATTCAAAGCATGATTAACAAAAACAAAATAACAAAAATCTTACATTTAAAAAGTTTTAACACAATGGCTTCTTTTAAAACATACCAAACTGAAAAAAATTACAAAACTAAGAAAAAGAAAATGTTTTTTCTGGCTTATAATCCTAAAAGTAATCATCTCTAACACTGCTAAAGTTACCCAAACTCTGAAATTCTATTCTATTATCTTTGAACTGTACATTTATTTAGCATTCTACTTCCTAGAAAAACAACAATCTATCACAAGCTTGGAAGATATTTCAGGTTAAGCCTAGTGAAGACATCAGAGCATTACACCATATCCATTCTGTTCTAACTATCCAATAGAATATTAACAACAGATGACTTGGTATGCTCAGAGTTCATTCACAGAATCAAACAACACAAATCATCAATAAAAAGATAATGAAAAAGAAAAGAGGAACATAAAGCTATCCTTTTTGCATTGTGGTAATGAGATGCACTTTTGAAGTATTTCGCTGTTATGTTCTTTTCTGGCTTGTTTTTATCCAACGTACTTACATGGCAGTCCCAGACTTGGAACCCTAATTTCTAAATGTTGCCTCACATAAGTCCAGTAGGACTTACTGTTTTCAGAAACTAAATGTTCTTGATAGTTTAAAAGGTTATTTTTTAAATGTCATTTTATAGACCATGGCACACAGGAACAAAATTTTAAATGCCATAGAAACACAACCAAGAAGACTTTGTAAAGCTACTCAGAAAAACCCTAAACTGTAGAAAATGCACCTAGTCCATCTTCAAACTGACACAAGTCATCCTCCTAAAACAGAGATCTGCCCCCTCTCCTTCTCAAAAATATTTTTTAGTTTCTCTTGCACACAAATCAAACTCCAAACCTTTTCAACCAAGATTTTCAAGGTCTTCAATAATTTGGTCAATTTTTACCCTTATCTTTCACTATATCCTCTCCTACTCTCAACACATACACACAAAACTCACACAAGTTATATTGTTTAATAGCTATTCCCAGAATATCCTGTGTCCTTTCCCACCTCTGGACCTTCAACTTCTTCCTTCTGTTTTGAACTTCTCTTCTGCTATATAACCTGCTGTTCTAACCTTGCCCCACTTTCAAATTTGGGCTCAAATCCCACTTGCCCTAAACAGCATTCTAAAATCTCCCCCCGAGATAATATCTCCCTTTCCCACACCATCATAGGACTTCATTTGTACCTGATAGAACTTAATACCATCTGTTTTATAGCATAACTATTTAAGCTACTTAAGTTCATTGCCACTGTTTTCTACTTTGTAGTCCCTCATTAACTAATACGAAACAAATTAAATAGTTGAATTAACTGAAAGAGTATTGATTGCTTAGCTTAGTGTCTAACACAGAAGCTAAGTATGGGAAACATCCAATAAATGTCTGCCAAATAAATGAATGTCTTGTTTCCCAACCCAATAAATCCTGTGCAGACCATGAAAATAATTTTTAAAAGATCAGTTGTGGCAAGAATTAAGTATCTAAAGTAATGAAAAACTTACCAGTGTAAATTTGAATCCTTTGGAAGAGGGCTGAAGTATTAATTTTATGCATGCAGGAAGCAGGCTCAAAAACGTAGAACAAAAGCTAAAAAATTAATACAAATCAAATATTTGTCTTCTTTGTAGAGGTATAAATCTAGCTTAAATAAGGAAATATTTTTTAAATATAAGGATCATATTATTTATCAACTTAAGTTTATTTCAAACTATATTTTTATTTATTAAATTTAAAGATGAAATAACATTTAAACAAAATCTACACATTGATATATATATATACTTTTATACACGATTACATAATATAGACCAAACATGATAAAACTAAATATTGCTTCTGTTATTTTAGTATTTAATATCATGTATAGAAAATATACAAAGATACATAGTTGAAGGTCAATTATCAAACACTCAAAATAAGAAAACATAATGAAGTATAAGAGATAATGCTATATCTGTAACACAAACATTCATAAACTTTACTCACAAAAGAGTCTCTCTAGCCCTCATTTCACAAACATTGATTATCTGATTTTCAAGCCCATGGTAAATCATAAAGAACAAGGTGGAAAGGGAGCAGGAAGCTACTAGAGCTTCTCCTAATGATGGCTAATGGGTGGGAGGAAAAAGAACTAGAAAAAGCAGACAGACTCAACAAGCAAAGTGGCCTGGAACCATTTAGTACTATGGGAAATAGCCCCTGAAAGCCCTGAAAACAAGTATATAACCTAATACAATAACTGATTTTTCCCAGTTGTAGATTTTGACTCATCAACTTGGCTAGGCTGAACTAATGTCCCTAGAATTCCCTTCCTGTATGCCTTTGTTAGGGTGGGCTACAAGGGAAATTCTCATAAGATTTGGAAGACAGAGAGGCCACACCCATCTCATCTCCCAGTTATTTGAACACTAATCTGCTGTGAAAGAATTTTGCAGATGTGAAACCCCTACTCAGCTGATTTTAAATTAATCAAAAGGGATCTTGTCCTGAGGCGCCTAACTTAATCAAATAAAAGCCCTTTAAAAGACGGCTGAGGCCTTCCCTAACAGCATCTGGGTCTGAATTGCTCTTCCTTCCCCCCTAGATATTCCCTCCTGACTGCCTGCCTTGTGACTTCTGTTTTGCTTAGCTAGGCCCTACAACTGTATAAGCCAATTCCTTGTCACGAATTCACACACACACAGTACACAGTGATCTCCTACTCCTACTTCTTGGATTGATCCTGACTGATACACACTGAATATCATGACTCTTCAACATAATATTAATCGTATTTAATGTACTCTCTGTTCAAGGAGAGAACAAGGTAACAATTCAGAAATTTTCACATAAAATAATTCAAGTTGAAGAGTTTTATTGTACAGAGCAATAGGTCTTTTATGTGGAAAATCCTCTAAAGAAAAACACCTCGGCTGGGTGCAGTGGCTCATGCCTGTAATCCCAGCACTTTGGGAGGCCGAGGTGGGTGGATCACCTGAGGTCAGGAGTTCGAGACCAGCCTGGCCAAAATGGTGAAACCTCATCTTTACTAAAATACAAAAATTAGCTGGCCATGTGGCGGGCGCCTGTAATCCCAGCTACTCCAGAGGCTGAGGCAGGAGAATCACTTGAACCCAGGAGACAGAGACTGCAGTGAGCCGAGCTCAAGCCACTGCACTCCAACCTGGGTGACAGAGCCAGACTCTGTCTCAAAAAAAAAAAAAAGAAAAGAAAAACACCTCATTCCCTAATGATGCCAAATAAATGAAATAATACCATAATGCTTTTAAAGAGTAACTTATAAAATACTACATACAAACTTTGTTTCTCTTACCTCATTATTAATTGGATGTGACGTGGCAAAATATCCTTAATCTTCAGAAAGACATTGAAGCTGCACCAAATATTGGCTACTTTATCCTTAAAAGAGATTTGTTAGCTTTACATTCTGGTATAATTGAAAGAAATATTAAAACCCATGAAGTACAGCCCATAATCTCTAATAAACTTTTTGAGATGTGAAACTTTTAGTCACAATTATAACTAAATAGATTAAATCCTCCAGGAATAAACATATACGCATACACTGTCTCAAGCATTTTTCATTTTTGTGCAGGGCAGTTGATCAAAAGCATTGGCCCACCATAATCCAGACATTCCCAAATACTTAATAGTTTTCAAAGAGCAGTGCACTATCCCTGAATACTAAAGTCCTTCATCTTTGGAAATTTTTCTAAGAAATGTTTTTTCTACAATTTATAGAATACATATTACATTTGACCCATTTTTATCACACAACTGAATTTACTTAGAGTAACAGAGTAACCTGCTAGCTACTAGCAATGACAAGAGCTAATTGCTAATAAATCAAAGTCTAAAGACATTAGCAGTTGTGCTAGGATCACTTTCAAAATTAAGTTTGTAACTACAGCTCTCCTGGTGGTGAAATCCGTTCTCTACACAGCTGCTTGACTTACAGCTGTGCAGACTTAACATCAAAAAAGTAACTATCACTGACAACTATATCATCCCACTTTCCTCTGCTGGATCAAAGAAAATGCTTTTCAGATTTTGAAGGCAAGAAGTGAATGGAAGAGACTGGCAACACCATCAAACATGTCTGATACTCATTTTTATAATTATCATGATAAATGCCATTTCTGAAATGGAAGGTAAGGCAAATAATTAGGCAGCTTACATAGAGAGTTAAACTTTTCTTTATGTAAGTGTTAGAGTTTATATAAAGAAGAGGTTAGGAAAACAATTTTCCAAGTTCAAGTCACAGTTCTGCTACATACTAGTTATAGGAATCTTTGACCTCAGTTTTCTAATCTGTAAAGTGGAGACAATAGCTACCACAAAGCTACTGTAAAGATCAAATAAAATTACATGGAAGTGTCTGGCACCTGCTAAGTGGTGGTTATAACAATAGTGATTATTTAGATCATCACTACCATCATCCTGTTGACATACAGTCACACATTTCTGTTCCTTCACAACACCAAACTCCCATCTTAGTCGCTTTCAAAATGCTGGTTCCATCTTCCTATAAGTCTACTGAAAGATATTCTATAGAAATTTATATATTCAAAACTTAGGAAAATATGCTTTTAAAATTATTTTTAAAAGAAATGCTAGCAAATTATCTATAAATATGTTGTTTCTGTCTAACTTTATTAAAAGGCCTTTTTGTTTCAGAAAAATGGTTTAATTTAATTACCAAATCTAAATGATCAAATTATTCACATAATAAAAGTTTAACAAGAGTGATTAAACTAGCATTAAATGAAATGAAATGAAAGATTCTCATTAAAAATTACTATGGATGAAGGTTATATATCTCATAAGAAATTATGAGATCTTCCTGAAGCAACATGATTATTAGTTTTACAAATAATTTCCTAAGACTAAAAACAGAATATACACCAAAAAATTACACAGCTGTTAAAATTGTAGCTGAAACTTCTCATGCTGTCTTTCATTACAAACCCTATTTCATTACAAAAACATATAATTCAATTATGGATCTGATGATGGCATGAATATTACCTATTGATGGAACATACTAAAAAATGCCACCTGAGCTAGGGGTTATATAATGGATTAAATAACTAGCAAGGTGCACACACCCTGTTGTCCCAGCTACTTGGGAGGCAAAGGCAGGAGAATCACTTGAGCCCAGGAGTTCAAGGCTGTAGTGCACCATGATTACCCCTGCGAATAGCCACTGCCCTCCAGCCTGGGCAACAGCAAGATCCTGTCTCAACCAATCAATTAATCAATCAAGCAATAACTGGCAAGGAATGATTACAGGAGGAAAGTAGCTGAAGTTCCTATTCCTTGTACCTTCTACATGAAACCCCTAAAGGTCACAGGTAAGGTACAGTAACAGAAAGGAGAGGAAAGTGTTTAAACATGCCTCAAATAATCCACGATCAACCGGGAAGAGTCTTCTTAGAACCTGCAGGGTTTGTTCCCTTTCTGTAAAGAATGGCAGCCAGCAGAGAACGAAGGAAGCCACAACAATACAAGCTAGCTTAACTAGCAACACAAACCTAAAACAAAAACAAAGGTAGGCAGTAAGATAGGGAAAGGTCAGTAATTCTGCAAAATCAACCTGAGTCTCACTGAACATAATACATGCACATGTATAGTAATGCCAAATCTATGTTACCAATATAGGCTTAAGATGGGAGTGTGCTCAAATCAGAGGTAAAAAATTCACAACAGCTAAGACGTGCACTTCAACAAAAGGACTGTTATCACCATCGTAATTAACATTTATGTTAGATGCCATTCCTATAGGAATAAGAGAGTGCATTCATGAAGAAAAATATCAAATGGGGATGTATTTCTAATAAGTATATAATGTAGTAAGCTCTAAAGTGATAAAATCCTACAGCAAAGTTCTAACTACCCAATCCACACTACCAGTAAATATACATGAATTGAAATATTTCTCTAGTTAGGAAAATTAAAAATAAAATACAGAACATGACTTAATCTCTCTCTTCCCACATACCCTACAGCCAAAATATTTATAAGAAATCACCAAAAGGCAAAGTGAAAGATCATCTTACTGCAAGTAAGTATGCCAAAAAAATTATCTGAAGTAAATTTTTGGATTCTAGTGTTTAAAAGTCACTCACCCCTTTCCTTTGAGGCCTTTTTTAAAACACTTGCCAAGTAAAAAGCAAAAAAATGGCAAGGCGTGGTAAAGTTCCATCTGTTTATAATTTATAGCTAAGCAAAATGCCAGTGACCCTAGGAGGTCGCAGTCACAAGATATTCCAAGAACACCCCACAAAGCAAAGCCAAGACTCACAGAATTATATATGTTCCTGTGTCAAGGAAATTATCTCAATAATCTTTTAAAAAGATAGAGCTTTTAAAAAGCAAATCACACAAGAGATATGCTCTAGGAAATGCAAGCTCATAGCATATCTCTTATGTGATTTTAAAATAACATATACAATGAAAGCTATTTCCCAATAGAAATTCAAAGTACTGAAGTGATAAACAAACATGAAATTATGTATAACAGCATCAAATACATTAAATCTACTGCTAAGCAGCAACTGATTTGTTTTGGTTTAAAAGAGCTCTAAAGATTTAAAACATAGCTTTGTTTCTGTTAGATTACTTCACAATATTATTATAACATACCAAAATCTAGAGAATAAAACAATGTTCCAACAGCAAGTTAAAAAAAAATTTACTGAGATCGCTACACTTCCTCTATTATATATATTAATAGTATAAAGTAATATATGTACTTAATTAGAAACTAACAACATTGTTAATTAAAACAATATCACAATTAGATTTTCAGTTCAAAATGGTGAGCTAGGCACTAATGTTTACCTCCTCTCCTTCCCGAGAGACTCTTAAAATAATAGGAAAAGGAATTTAATAGTATAAATTCAGGCCAGAAGTCGTGGCTCACACCTGTAAACCCAACACTTTGGAAGGCCAAGGCAGGAAGATTGCTTGAGCCAGGAGTTTGAGACCAGCCTCAGCAACATGGCAAAACCCCATCTCTACAAAAAAATTTTTAAATTAGCCGAGTGTGGTGGTGCAAGCCTGGAGTCCTAGTTACCCAAGAAGCTGAGGCAGGAGGACTGCTTGAGCCCAGGAAGTTGAGGCTGCAGTGAGCTATGATCATGCCACTGCACTCCAGCTTGGGCAAGAGAGCAAGAAAACAAAAACAAACAAACAAAAAGTATAAATTCACAGCCATAAAGAGAATGGGAGGATCTGTTATAATAGATAAAGATTTCAACATATTTCTGGAAGACAGAAGTGATAACAAATAAAATAGGATGAAGGAAGCCACAGCTTAGAGTATATACATAGAGGAGACTCAGGGTAGCAAAAAGCCAATCCACCCTGCAAGACCCTAGAGAACTTTGGAAACACCAAGTAGGTTACAGTCTTTGAGTAGTATGTGCAGAAGAAAACAAGAGATTAACTGAAAATCCCTAGAGGTAGAAGTCAAATCTTACCCCACTCCCATGCAAAGATTATCTGGCAGCCAAACATTTACCCCAAGGCAACAAAAGAGGGCATATTTTTCTGAAGAAATGAACTAAACTATCCAGTGTAGAGGTTAGCACTATAATGCAAACCCCTCCACATTCTGACATTTAAGCATCTCAATGCGTGGTGGCCAGCTTGCTCCCCACTTATCCTAGAGTGGACCAATGATATATAGAAGTCATATGCAGGTGTTCTTGCCTTATTCTTAAATAAAAATAGATACACTAGGATAAAATAAACATTTATAGAAAACCTATGACAGAAAAAGAATCGAAATGAAAGGGAAACTAAATGACCATGAAAGAATTAAAATCACTCAGGGAACAGTAGTGAACTTTACCAAAAAAACAAAAAGTAGTAAATTCTAATTAGAAATTAAAAATATACCTAACAATACAAATGAAATTCGATAGAAGTGTTGGGGATAAACTCAAGATAACCCAACCCATAAAACAAAAGAGAAAGGGATGCAAAAGATCAAACATCTGACTAATAGGCTCAAGAAAGAAAAAAGTGAGAAAATCATCAAAGAAATAATATAACAGAATTTAGCAGAACAGAAGAACATGAGTCTTCAAAACGTATGGACCCATATACGGTTTGGATATCCAAAACAATTGTGAAAAACACCTATGTCTAAACAAATCACTGTAAAATTTCAGAACCACAAAAATAAATTATAAAAATGGTAATAATAGCAACAAATGCCTATATAATGCTTAGTGTCTCCCAGGAACTGTCTTAAGTGCTTTACAAATATTAATTCATTTAATTATCAAACTAAGCTTACAAAGTCAGGGTTTCTATTATCCACATTTTGCAAATGAGAAAAGTACATAATGGTTAAAAAATGTGTCCTTAGAGCTAGGCACAGTGGCTCACACCTATAATCCCAGCACTCTGGGAGGCCAAGGTGGGTGGATCACTTGAGGTCAGGAGTTTGAGACCAGTCTGGCCAACACAGTGAAACCCTGTCTCTACTAAAAATACAAAAATTAACAGGGTGTGGTGGCACATGCCTATAATCCCAGCTACTTAGGAGGCTGAGGCAGGAGTATCGTTTGAACCCAGGAGGCAGAGGTTGCAGCGAGCCAAAATCACGCCATTGCATTCCAGCATGGCGGACAAGAGCGAAACTCCGAAACTCCGTCTCAAAAGAAAAAAATGTATCCTTACAAGATAACATATGCCTGAAAGCCTTCAGAGTTTAACTCAAATCACAGGGGACATACTACTACAAATTTTCCAGAATGGCTAAATCGAAAACCATTGACAGTTGGTCAAGATGTAGAGCATCTGGAACTCTTACACCATTGTTATGAGAGTCTTAATTGGTACATGCTGCTAAAAACAACTTGGGATTATCTAAAAATCGACATGTGCACACTCTATAACTCAACAATTCCACTTATAAGAAGAATGTTTATATATGTACAAGGAGATATTTATAAGATGTTCATGGCAGCATTATTCGTCATGGCCCAAACTGGGAAACAACCCAAATTACTCTCTCAGTGATAGAATTACATGTATTCATGCAATGGAATATCGTAAAGCAATGAAAGTGAACACTGAATTCACTTTCATAGTTTTTTAACAAACTGCAGCTACACACAACTACATGAATACATCTCATAAACAAAATGTTCAGCCCAAAACATCAAACACAAAAGAATACTTACTATGCTGTCCCTTTCATATAAAATTCAAAAAAGGGGAAAACTATAGGATTAGTAGTTAGTTCAGGGGTACCATTGGGAAAGGAGGAGGGAGAAGGATGGGGAGGTGTACAAGGGTAGTTTTTGGATACTAGTAATGTTCTATTTCTTGACATGAGTGGTAGTTTGCCAACTCACTGAGCTGTACATTTATATTTTGCATAGTTTTCTGCATGAGTGTCACATTTCAAAGTAAATATAGTTTTAAAACTCTGGTAGATAACATTTTTTCCTTTTCTATCACTGTTCTTGATATTATCAGAGTATCTGATAGCCATGATCCCATAAACAATGTCAAAATTTTTAAAAAACTAAATTAGTAAAGTGGACAGAATATAAAATATATGATAAAAACAACTACAGACTTGAATATCTTTTATTTGTAAGTCCTTTGACAGATATACCTATTAGTGTTATTATAACTAAAACAAGACTGGCATCAAAAGGAAAAGCTATTAATTAAATAATCATGTTGCTGTGTAATGTCGTCTTTTTTTCCTTTAAGAGAGATGGAGACAGGTAATAACATTCAATATATTATAAGACAAATTAGATAGATATATACAGATTTTTATCAATTTATTCTCATCTAAGCTTTGTTTGAATGTTCCTTATTTTAGGCATCAAAAAAATACACATATAAAAGCCATATTTTGATTATCAGTTTTAGTTTCCTGAAGCTTCTAGCTACTACTATCTGATAGAAAAAAAATTTTTAAACTCATAAAACTGTAAGATCATTCTCCTTTTTTCACGTCAGATAACATTTACAAAGGATAGAAGACATGTTACACTTTAGAATTACTAGAGTATAACCATACTTGGCACTCTTTTTCCAACACCCCAGAAAGAGCTAATCATTTACCAACATTTTGTTCCCAATCAAACAACATGAAAAAGCAATTCTACTTTTAATAAATCTGTACTTTACCTTTCAAATAAAAGCTTAGTGAAGAGATTCTTTTATATTATTGTGAAATAGTTTATATAAGCAAGCACTCTATCAAATAAGACATTACTAGATGACAGCAATGTACACATTGAGTCTAGATTTCACAATATGCAACTGACTTCATTTCTGCATTAGTAAAGGATACTGAAAATGTCCATAGTCTATAAGAATAAGGCCTGGATACAGCAAGATGCATAATGCATTAGCAATCTGTAAAGACAAATATTGTGAGATAAGAAAGTAATCTGTTACACAAATCAAGCAGGGTAAAAGTGTGGTTTTTATCTAACACATTAGCAAATGTTCCCCTTTTCCAGAGGTGTCACACTTTCTTTTCATAAAATATTCAATTTTTATAATACAACTCTTTAGACAATGAAGTTTTCATGAAGGTGACATTGGACACTTCCATAAAAAGGAAAAACAAAACCACTAAAAGGTTTTGTCAGAGGAAGTACTTTCAGATACACAAACTGGAGAAGTCAATCTAATGTTAACCTATCTAAAATGACCAAAAATAATATTTGATAACTATGAATTAAGAATATACAACAACTTTTCAAAATGCCTTTCAGTTTGGTCAATCTCACAAGCCAGCTCAAAATTCAGCTTTACCAGTAAAGTAACAAATTCAGCAAGGCATGTAGTTCAACAGTACATAACTTCCAAGATTCAGTGTATCTTAGTAGTACACTAAAATAATTAATTACTGTAAGATAAGTTGATGCTTTTGAAGTGAAAATTGATAGAAGATACAATATTCCTAATTACTCTCTTTCCAAAAGCATGGCTTCTCTAAGGTCTATACTTAATAGTTAGACTAATAAAGAATACATTTCAGAGACGAACTGTCAGGCTGCTTGAAAACCTACCTTTTTCTTAGTTGAGATTTCTTTTAAGCAACAACAGTACAAAACCACTGCAGGTATGTAAATCAGCAGATCAGCAATTAAAACTGAAAACACAAGTAAATAACTTTAAACATGAGTCCATCAGGATTTACAGCTACCCATTAACTGCCTCCCTTCCTCCAACATTGAGAATTCATTAACACAAGGTTCTTGCCCTACTATGGACAAGTCCTTTACACAGTCAGCACTTTTCAATCCCTTCACCTGTGACTAATTTCAATTGCTGTATTGCAAAGGAGTCTCTTAATTTTCTCTAACAAATTCACACATTTAATCAATCAGATGTATCTAACATTCTCTCTTTGCTCTAACTTGGACTTAAAAATATTCAAAGCAAGGAAATATTTTTTTCCTCAATCTATATACTCTGAATTTTCTAGTATAAAGAATAACTGAAATGTAGTGATGTGTAAGAAAATCTTTTTTAAATGTTGGTCTTTATTGAAAAAATATAAACTTTTGCTAATTAATGCATATAAAGAGCTTGAGAAACCCAGGTGAGGAGAAAACTGAAAAAAAAATCCTAAAAAAAGAAAAGCAATTCATAATTTTGAACATGCAGTCCTTTAGAACAAAGAAAAATAAATACATAAGTTCTTCAAATGTATAACATAGCTGTCTAAAGAGCTTATTTTTTTCTTATATCTCACTTAGTGTCAAGAAAAAGGTGACAGTAAACTATCAATCTATCAACTGAAATCTATCAATATGTTCAGCTCCAGATGCCACATTAAAGATGACACTGACAAACTGGAACACACCCAAAAGAGTGGCGAGAGTCCTCAAAACCATAATCACATTCAACAAATTGCTCATCTAAGGAATAGCTGAAGTATATAGGAATCTTTAACTTAGAGAAGAGGTGACTTCAAATTCCTGTAGGATGTTAGGGATACAAGGGATCAGACTTGTTCTCTGTAACCCTAGAAAACATAATCTGTAATGACTGGTGGAAGTTCAATTTAGAAAGTAATTTTTAATGACTGGAGCTCTCTGAAAACAGAATAGACTGTCTCTAAAGGTTGTGAGTTCCCTGCAAGTATGGATATTGGTTCAGAAGCCAAATAATCACATGGTGTGTATGTGGTTCAGAAAGGATTAAAGCATTGGAGAGGGAAGGGCAGTGGTGTGGGAGAGGGAAAGACAGGAAAAACAGGTTATCTCTTGGGCCTAAGATTCCATGACTGGATGAATTGTAAGGAGAACAAACTCTGACTACATTTAGACTAATTAAGGAAAAGGACTGGGCTTTTAAAGCATTAAAGCATAAGTCATGTAAAGCTCTTAAAGAAATCTAAGCTTATTACTTTCAAGCTCCTACAACAGCACACACACATGCTCAATAAACATTTGTTGTGTGGATTATTTAATTTAGAAACTGCACAACAATACAATGTATAAGATGATAACTGCAAGGTTTGCTTTAAGAAAAAATGAAAGAAATTTAGAATTAGGATATTAAAGCAGCACCCTAAAAAACTAAAGATTCAATTTATAGCTATCTTGCTTCATTTAACTATGCCTCAGTTTCCTCAGCTTAAAATAAGAATAATAGTATTTATCTCATTTAGGTGTTCAAAGAATTAAGTCAGATAAAAAATGTAAAGCACCCAGAATTATTCCTTTCTACTCTTTCAAGTTTTAGCTTACATATACATTTGGTCTTGGATCATGTATACAAATATGTATATTTGTAAATATATGTGTTTGTGTAATTGCACAATTTTAAAGTCAGTAAGAACAATAATAGTACCTTTACCAGTTTGTCCAAAATTTTTAAAAAATCAAATTTTATATTCACTACCCATTGCTCTTTTACCTGTTGTACGCATGAAGAGCTTATGTGCCTGACTCTCATATCCACGTGATGTATGGAGAGCAATCCAGTCTGGATTTATAAACTTTGCCCTGCAAATCAAAGCATATATACAGATACTTCATTCCTCATCCCTTTTAGCAATAAAGATATTGAAGGATATATGAATGTATTAATATTTTGAGAATTGGCCATTTCTCTTATAAAGCAACAGAGTCAATGCTTAAGTTTTACTCTTTTTATTTAATCATGTGAAACTGACTTAAGCTATAAAACAGCATCTACATTGCTTACCTTCCAACAAAACTATGTAAGGTATAACTACAAGCCCTATCTTCACAGTTCTTCCAGTGTAAAAACAATCTGGCATGTCACATTTCATTTACCAAACACATACTTTATAAAAAGCAATATGCTAGTGTTGACCAGAGGATCATCTTTACAATTTATAATATTTTAGTTATCATAACAATTGGCTACAATAAACAGCTATAATAATCATAAATCACTGCATAAAACTAAACACAATTGTTAAATGAAATTTTCAACCATATTACAATTACCCTGAATACTATAATGATGATGTTTGGGAGTTTATTTTCAATCCATGAAGCTTATTTTTGCAAATATTAAATACACTCATAACGACACCGCATAACGACATTTCAGTCAACAATGGACCATATGTAGGACAATGATCCCATAAGATTGTACTACCATATTTTTACGCTAGCTATGTGTTGATATGTTTAAATATACAAATACCATTGTGTTACAACTGCCTACAGTATTCAGTACAGTGACATGCTGTACAGGTTTGTAGCCTAGGAACAATAGGCTATGCTATACGCCTAGATATAGTAGGCTATACCATTTTGCCTACTAAAGTACCCTCTATGATGTTTGCATAATGATGAAATCACCTAACCACACATTTCTCAGAATGTATCCCCATCGTGAAGTGACACAGGGCTGTAAGTAGAAATTAAACAAGATGAGTTCACGAGATATTGTGAAGAGGTTCCTCAAATTTTTGCTGACATACTTCAAATCTAAGATGGAATACCACTACAGAGTAGAACTGGGTCTTTACCAAAACAGAAGTTCCTTATCTTCTATAACTATTCAATTTCTTTAAAAGGAGGAGGAATTCCCATTTTGATCTTCAATCACAAATGAAACACTACAATTATTCTAGTTTCTAACTTGACAGATTAGTTGGTAACCATCTGGATCTATATTTTTCATTTACTTTGAGCTGTTCCAGAAAAAAAACTTTCTTATACACAACACATATTAGATATATTTCTTAGTAGTCTACACATATGGATAACATCTCTACTTCAAAACAAAACTAGGTTTTTCACATTTCTTGCTAGATGTCCTCCAAAAAAATTATAGAAATGTTCAAACTTTGATAGTTCTTTTTTTTTTTTTTTTTTTTTTTTTTGAGATGGAGTCTCACTCTGTTGCCCAGGATGGAATGCAGTGGCGTGATCTCGGCTCACTGCAACCTCCACCTCCTGGGTTCAAGCGATTCTCCTGCCTCAGCCTCCCAAGTAGCTGGGACTACAGGCATGTGCCACCACGCCTGACTAATTTTTGTATTTTTAGTAGAGATGGGGTTTCACCATGTTAGCCAGGATGGTCTAAATCTCCTGACCTCGTGATCCGCCCGCCTCGGCCTCCCACAGTGCTGGGATTACAGGCGTGAGCCACCACTCCCAGCCAATAGTTATTTCTTAAAACCCATTTGTAATACACAATACAATAGCAGTGGCTGGGTGAGGTGGCTCATGCCTGTAATCCCAGCACTTTGGGAGGCTGAGGTGGGCAGATCACTTAAGGTCAGGAGTTTGAGACCAGCTTGGCCAACATGGTGAAACCCCGTCTCTACTAAAAATACAAACATTAGCCAGGCATGGTGGCGGGCACCTGTACTCCCAGCTACTCAGGAGGCTGAGGCAAGAGAATCACTTGAGCCTGGAAGGTGGAGGTTGCAGTAAGCCGAGATTGTACCACTGCACTCCAGCCTGGGCGATGGAGTGAGACTTCATCTCAAAAAAAAAAAAAAAAAAAAAAAATACAATAGCAGCTACAAGCAATCTCTCCTCTAGTCAAGAAAGCCCCATCACACTGCTTCTTACTAAATCTGCCAAGGGCATAAAAATTTAGAGTTACATTAAGAAAGAAAAACTTACACATATGCACATAGGAGACTATGATAAGCTGTAAGAGGTGGGTAATCCAATCCCCAATACTGTAAATTGTTATCACTGCTGTTAAAATACCTGAAAAAGAAAAAAAGAAGAAAGCACCATTCCGTTAATCAATATTCAAGAAGTAGACTTATAATTTAACATTGCACCTCACTTATCTAAGCTTAATAATGTAATTTACTAATTATTAAGCTATTAATAATTAAGCCATGTCAATAGACACAAACCAGGACTCTCCTAGGCAAACTGGGATTTACTGTCATCCTACTATTAGTAGACTTCATCAATGACTAACACTCATACAACAAAAAATATGCAACAAAAAGAATAGGATTGTTTGTAACCAATTCAACCAACATGTAACGAGAGCCTCGTTACGTGCAAGGCTCTCTGAATTTTAGGAAGAAAAGTAGGTCTAATGTCCACAAATTGATAGGCTCCTCTGGTTAGCCAGAATGTGAAGGAAATATATACAACTATCATGACTCGAGAACTAAAAGTTAAGTTAAAATAATTTCTTAATCATGTCCTTTACAACTAGGCAGCTTCTTCTTCTATTCCATTTATTTTCTCAATCATAAGAATACAACAGTGCAAGCCAAACTATATAACCCATAAATAACCATTGTTCATAAGCTTATTTCTTTTTGAGACGGAATCTTGCTCCGTCACCTAGACTGGAGTGCAGTGGCGCAATCTCGGCTCACTGCAACTTCCGCCTCCTGGGTTTTTTTTTTTTTTAAGCGATTCTCCTGCCTCAGCCTCCTGAGTAGCTTGGATTACAGGCACCCACCACCAGGCCCAGCTAATTTTTGTATTTTTAGTAGAGACGGGGTTTCACCATGTTGGCCAGGCTGGTCTTGAACTCCTGACCTCAAGTGATCCACCCTCCTCGGCCTCCCAAAGTGCTGCGATTACAGGGGTGAGCCACCATGCCCGGCCTAACTTATTTCAAATGGGTCACAATTCCTCACTATCACAATCTCTTACTTTTTGAATTAAAAATATTTCTTTAAATTAGCATTCAACATGATCCCATCAAATAACCTATTAATCATCTTCGGAAGGTCTATTCTTAGTGTCAGTTACATAAAACATAGGTTTGTATGGAAGAGATGGGGATTAAAATTATCAAGGCATGGTAGACAGCCAAGACATCTGGGCATAGAGTACTACAGTATGGTACCAGCTGGTGGCCATTGTCCCTCCAGAAACATCCATGTGAACAATCTTGGGTTCCATGTCTGGCTGGGACTTGAAGCCAAGAAGCAGCGAGTCTAAGAATCTCTGGGTTAGTTGGAGCCCCTTTTGGCAGCTTGAATCTGGGAAACCGGGCCAGGCAAATAATGGAGACCAAAGGACCCACTTTTCTAGACAGAGATACCTGAAGACAGGCACCAATTATATCATTTCCAAATTCATGTTACTATATAGCATAAAGTTTTATTTTATCAGCCTCAGAGCTGTTGAAGCATTGAGTTAAACAAGTAAAGCTGTGAGGTCAGTGACTGACACAAAGTGCTCAATAGTAGTTCCAATTGGCTACTAGCCACAAAACAACTAAGATGGATACAGCAATGGAAAACCATCAAGTAATTCAAGAATCACATTTTGTCCAATACAACTTGATTTGGTTTTCAGCTTCTGAAAATAGACAAAACCTATTTTTTCATTTAGTTTAACCTTGAGATCCACTGGAGATGAGTAAAAGAGGCATTGACAGTAAGCTGCAAGCATGCAATGATATATACTAAAAATAAAGTCATTGGTTGGATTAGGAGGAAAAAAATATAGGATTTATAACAGTGCTCCCCATTCTTATGGAAATTCATAAAGCAGAACAAAGAGGCATAAGAGAAGATAGCTTAGAAGTGTTTCAAGTAAAGCATCAAAATATATCAGTAGGAATAAAGCAATTAGTTGATACTCCTGCTTTATATTTTATATATATATACATATATATACATATATATATACATATATATATACGTATATATATATATACGTATATATATATACATATATATACGTATATATATATACGTATATATATATACGTATATATATATACATATATATACGTATATATATATATATATATACGTATATATATATATATTTTTTTTTTTTTGAGACAGAGTTTTGCTCTTGTTGCCCAGGCTGGAGTGCAATGTTGCGATCTTGGTTCACTGCAACCTCCGCCTCCCAGGTTCAAGCGATTCTCCTGCCTCAGCCTCCTGAGTAGCTGGGATTACAGGCATGCACCACCACGCCCAGCTAATTTCATATTTTTAGTAGAGATGGGGTTTCTCCATGTTGGTCAGGCTGGTCTCGAACTCCTGACCTCGTGATCTGCCCGCCTTGGTCTCCCAAAGTGCTGGGATTACAGGCGTAAGCCACTGCGCCCGGCCTTACTTTAGATATATCAATACCCAAAAAGTTGTCTAAATACTATTTATACATTGAAATGTATTTTTCCACTGAATTCCCATGTAATCTCAGTAGATGTTTAGTAAGTAAAAAAAAAATGGCTGCCACACGAATTATAAAATTACATTCAAGAGTGTTACCATTAACTTTAAGATGTAGTTTTCTCTAACAGACAACCCACAGAGTCATATTTGGTATTTTTGTTTAAAGAAAAAAATTTTTAGCCTGAAACAGTTTCAAAGTTACAGAAAAGTTGCAAGAATAGTTGAAATAACTTACATACATCAAAATGTAGAAAGTTTTATAAGACAACAGACACCAATTACAGAACAAGACAAGAACAAACAGAAAGAAGACGTTTATTTTATACACGCATACACACACATGAGGAAAATGATTAAAGTGTACAGTACTGCTATACTGTCGTGGTAGACAGACTTTAAGGTCACCACTGAGAACACCATCTCCTGCTGTTCAGACTCCTGCGTGCATACAATCCCCTCCCCTTGAGCGTAGGCAAGTCCTGTGATTTGCATCTAACTAATACAATATGGTAAATGTGATAGGATATCACTCTTGTGCTTCTGTTTCACGTACATGTAATATTCTGTCTTGCTAGCAGATATACTAGACAGACTGCCTCTCACTGACTTTAAAGAAGCAAGCTGGCATATTTTAGTGCATGGCCATGTTGGAGAAGCCACATAGCAACAAATGGCATGTGAGCTCTAGGAGCCAAGAGTGGCTCCCAACAAGAAACTGAAGCCCTCACTCTTGCAGATGCAAGGAAACTAATTCTGCCAACAGCCTGAGGGAACTTGGAAATGGATCCTTCTCCATTTGAGCCTCTGATAAGTCTGCAGCCCAGCTGACACCTGAAATATAGCCTTCCCGAAACTCTGAGCAGAATACCTAGCTAAGCTGTGCCCAAACTCCTGATCTAAAGAAACTGTGATAATAAATGTGTGTTTTAGCAATTAGCATTTGAGGTCATTCATTACACAGCATAGAAAATTAGTATAACTATTTAAAAATCATACAAATCATTACAAAAATGATTATCCACTACAAACACGGGGGAAAGAAATGAACAAGCAATTTTGAAAAGAAATCTAATTATCGGCCAGGCACGGTGGCTCAAGCCTGTAATCCCAGCACTTTGGGAGGCCGAGATGGGCGGATCACGAGGTCAGGAGATCAAGACCATCCTGGCTAACATGGTGAAACCCTGTCTCTACTAAAAATACAAAAAAAAATTAGCCAGGCGTGGTGGTGGGCGCCTGTAGTCCCAGCTACTCGGGAAGCTAAGGCAGGAGAATGGCGTGAACCTGGGAGGCGGAGCTTGCAGTGAGCCGAGATCGAGCCACTGCACTCCAGCCTGGACAACAGAGCGAGACTCCGTCTCAAAAAAAAGAAATATAATTATCAATAAATACATTAGAAGATGCTCAGGTCACAATTACTCAAGGAAGTGCCAATTTTAAAAGTCCGGTATTACTAAATGTTGGTCAGGGTACGTAGAATGAGATATCCTGGTGTTACTTTAGAGCTTCCACTTCTAGGAATCTACCTAGAAAAAATGAGCACATAAGAAATAGACTTTATTTAATCATTCCCCTACTAAGAGACATTTAAAGTGTTTCGAGTTCCTCTTCCATTTGAAACACTCCAAACTCTGACTAGGGAACAGGCAACCTATCAATAGAAAACTCAATATGAAGTTCTTGCATAAAACTCTCTGATAAAGAGCTATATAAAAGCAGTAGCCAAAGCAGTCAACAATATAATATGAACAGTTTATATAGCCAGTCTCTAAGAGAATAACCTACCAACCATCTAGTAAGTCAATAAATAATGTCATCAACAGTTATCAGGATATGTTCAATAAAAATGACACAGGCATGAATTTCTATGATGCTATAACCAGAGCTAACATTTATTGAGAGTTCGTTACATGCTAGGGACTGGCCTAAGTGCTTTACATGTATCATTTTATTCAGTCCTCACAATAACCCAGTGAAATATGTAGTCTACTATTTTCATTCTATAAGTAATAAAACTGTGGTTGAGAAAGTTAAATGATTTGCCAAAGGTCACACAGCTAATAAATAGTAGAGCTGGGATCTGAACTCAGACAGTCTGACTCTAGCACCTACACTCTTTACCACTAAGCTACTGCTATTTTATACTTCAGGTAGATTTGTATACAAAATTAAGGTTAATCACCACTGCTCAATTATGATAGAGAGCAATAATAATTAACAAAAATGTCTATGAAGTTCTCTGAGTTTTCAGAAACAGACGGTTCAATATATACTGTATCATATAACAATGAAGGGTAGAGCTGACCTCCTCCTTCATAATACAAAGAGAAAGCTATGGAAATGAGACCATACGAAAACGAACACCTAGGCCGCACATGGTGGCTCAAGCCTGTAATCCCAGCACTTTGGGAGGTCAAGGTGGGTGGATCACGAGGTTAGGAGTTCAAAACCAGCCTGGCCAAGATGGTGAAACCCTGTCTCTACTAAAAACTACAAAAATTAGCCGGGCATGGTGACAGGCACCTGCAATCCCAGATACTTGGGAGGCTGAGGCAGGAGAATCGCTTGAACCCAGGCAGCAGAGGTTGCAGTGAGCTGAGATCACGCCACTGCACTCCAGCCTGGGCGACAGAGTGAGACTCCATCTCAAAAAAAAAAAGAAAAAGTGAACACCTAAATACTCATTCCTTCCACAGATTTTTATTGAGGGTCTACAATGTGCCATGCCCTATACTAGATGCACGGTATTCAAAGGTGAATCAAAAGGACACATGCGAAATTTCCAGAGTTGAAAACAAGTCCTATCATTGTAGGCTTCTCCCTTTGGTCCCCTTTTCAGATCTGCAAATTCAGCCATCAGCTACTGCCAAAGCTCTCTTTTATTTTTATCTATAGTTACAATCATAGTGATCTTTAGTGAGAGAAACAGTGGATGAGGGAACAGGGAAGAAATGTTTTTAGCCTATGATGGTGCTTCCATAGTTTATGTACAGAGGACATATAGACATTCAGAGTTTTATCATCAACGTTCTAGTTCAGCATCATAGCCCACCTAACTAAGTATATGAATTAACTTTCAGGACTATCAAATTTCAAAGACAGGCCTACAAAATGCAAGGCAATACATATGTGGCACCAGCATGCAAGAGATGAGGATGTTCAAGATGAAGAAAATAGCGTGTTGTCCCTTTAATATTTTCAAACAATCTGTATTAACTATGATAAACAAGAAAAACAAGTTAAAATTATCATACCATTGTTTGACCGGTAAATTAAAAGTTATTTCTTGCCAGTGTCTCTGAGCTTCATAATCACCAAACATAGGCGGTTTACCAGCACCTAAGATCAAAGGTAAAAAGAGCAAAACAACAATGTACTTTAGCATATCAGTGATTTTTATTTCCTTATGAAAATTGTCTAAATTAGAGAGGCAGTGTAGGTTACAGAAAGAACACAGGAGTTACCGAGAAAGTCAGAGAGATAAAATCTGAATCTAGCACTGCTGGCACACTGCTGGAGTGACGCTGGGCAAATTACTTAATCTCCCTAAACTTGAGCACATTAAAAACAGGATCAATACAACTTCCCTACTGCAGACTACTGGAATAAATAAGATAATGGATATAAAATACCCAGCATAGTGCCTGGCACATGGTAAACATTCAATAAATAGACACTATTATTAACATTACAATCATCCCTCAGTATCTGTGGGGGATTCATTCTAGGACCCCCCACTACCACAGAAATCAAACTTCATGGATGCTCATCCCTTATATAAAATGCCATAGTATTTGCATATAACCTCTGCTCATTCTCTTGTATACTTTAAATCATCTTTAGATTACTTATAATACCTAACAATGTAAAATGCTACATAAATAGTTGTTATACTGTATTGTTTAGGGGATAATGCAAGGGAAAAAAATCTACATGTTCAGTACAGGCACAATCATCCTTTTTTATTTCCCGAATATTTTCAATCCATGGTTGGCTGAATCCACAGATATAGAATCCATGGATACAGAGGGCTGACTGTACTCAATAATAATTATATCCAGGTTTATTTTTACTTCATAAGGCTGTCAACTATACTGCCCAATATGTACCATAAAATAGTAACACGAGTATCTGCATTTTATAAAGGACTTTTTTTTGAGACAGAGTCATGCTCTGTCACCCAGGCTGGAGTGCAGTGGCACAATCTCAGCTTACTGCAACCTCCACCTCTGGGGTTCAAGCGGTTCTCATGATTCAGCCTCCCGAGTAGCTGGGATTATAGGCGTGTGCCACCATAACTGCCTAATTTTTGTATTTTTATTAGAGACCGGTTTCACCATGTTGGCCAGGCTGGTCTCACACTCCTGGCATCAAGTGATCTGCCTGCCTCGACCTCCCAAAGTGCTGGGATTATAGGCGTCAGCCACCATGCCCAGCCATTACAAAGGACTTTTACAAACTATAAATAACTTAAGGTCAAGTATAGGGTCAAAAACAGACTATATGTTAAAAAGACATTAATTAGATCAGGCTTTGCTGTCAAATAAGTTGTATAAAAACTATTGCTTTACGGTTTGATTACTTTAATTTCAAAATTGCAAATAAGGGATAATGGATTTGTAATAACTAACACTTGATAGTGCTTACTATATACCAAATACAATGAACCTATGAAATAGGTATTATCTGGCCAGGCGCGGAGGCTCACACCTGTAATCCCAGCACTTTGGGAGGCCGAGGTGAGCAGATCACGAGGTCAGGAGTTCAAGACCAGCCTGACCAACATGGTGAAACCCTGTCTCTACTAAAAATACAAAAATTAGCCGGGCATGGTGGTGCGTGCCTGTAATCCCAGCTACTCAGGAGGCTGAGGCAGGAGAATCGCTTGAACCCAGGAGGCGGAGGTTGCAGTGAGCCAAGATCACACCACTGCCCTCCAGCCTGGGCGACAGAGTGAGACTCCATCCAAAAAAAAAAAAAAGAAAAGAAATAGGTATTATCATTATACCCACTTTATAGCTGGGAAAACAAAGGCAATGGCCATTCACGTAATAAGCAGCAAAGTCTGGATTTGAATCCAGGCAGACTGGCTCCATAATCCATGCTCTTAGCTCCTATTCTGTAATGCCTCATAAGTTGGTTAAGTAGCTTTTATTCTTAAATCATTTAAAATGACATAAAGGTGGCCGGGCGTGGTGGCTCACGCCTGTAATCCCAGCACTTTGGGAGGCCGAGGTGGGTGGATCACGAGGTCAAGAGATCGAGACCATCTGGCCAACATGGTGAAACCCCATCTCTACTAAAAATACAAAAAATTAGCCAGGGTGGTGGTGGGCATCTGCAGTCCCAGCTACTTGGGAGGCTGAGGCACTTGAACCCGAGAGGCAGAGGTTACAGTGAGCTGAGATTGCGCCACTGCACTCCAGCCTGGGCGACAGAGTGAGACTCCGTCTCAAAAGAAAAGAAAGAAAGAAAAAAAAAAGATGTAAAGCTATCTCCATTTAGTAAAGAGTAAACACCCACTCACTATTTAACTAACAGTTGACTACAAAATTGTGAGAAGGCCCAAAGAGGTACAGTATAATCACAGCTTTTTAAACTGGCATGTAAGGTAAAAATCACATAGAGTCAAATATACTAATTAACCCATTAGGAAGGTGTGCCATATTGAAGAATGACATATTATTGCTCACTGAAATCTAATCCAGATTTTCTCCAGTTTTACAACATTACATGAAGTGTTTGTATTTAATTGTTGAATTATACCAATATTCTTTAAACGCTATAATCTCTAAGAAGATATTCCCACTATGAGACAATCATGGGAAACCCAGATTAACTTTTCTATAGCATATATACATTGAGTGATTTGCACAAGAAATTAACCATAGTATACACGCATGTGTGTGGGTCTCTGTCTCTCTATCTCTCAGAAAGAAACTTAATAAGTTTTCTATTCTCAGAATGTAATAGCACCTAGTAGATTCTTAATGCCACCCTCATAGGTTATCAGTGAATGTTAATACAGCAAGGACGTTTAAGTTCAAAAGACTTGAGTTTGTGAGTCCCTGATTTTTCACTTACTGATCTGCAACATTAATTTGTGATGGCAGACCAATTAATTTTGCCGAGGTTGCTTTAACACAGTGCCATATATGAGTTCTCACCCAAAAACATTTTTAAGTTACTATCTGGCACTTTGAAATTCAAAGTTTCTGTTCATGCTTCTTATTCCATATTCTATACATCTATTTCTATCAACTCATATCCAACCTTCAAGCATCATCTGAAATCCTAAATCTTCCATGAAGCCTTCCTTCATAAATTAAAAACATATTGATCACTAACTACTGACTTCTCACAATACTTATACTTTCAGTTCCCATGTTTTATCATATGACTATACTATTTCTTAACTGCTAACCAGATAAGAATTTTATATCCCATAGGCAGAGAAACTGATTTTCCAGTGTCCAGAGAAAACATTGCTAGGCATATAGTACATTAAAAGTTTGCTTAATTAAACTGGAGAGGAAGAATAACCTACAATAATAAAAATTTTTTTAAGAAAAGAATTCCCCAAAGAATTAATTGCATTTTTGCATGTGTATTCTTTGGCTGGGTGGCGGGATTGGGGGCAGGGAGGGATATAAGTTTCTATTTTAAAGAATACAACCATTGAATATGGCTTCTTTGGGGGTGGAAAGGAGTTGACTTTCCTTTTTATTTGTTTTGTTTTTGTTTTTGGTCCACTGGGATAATAAAAGTCAGAGAGAATCTTAAGTAATTTCCTATACCTGAAGAAATCCAACTATCTAGATTTTCTGAAATTGCTCTAGACTTGTGGTCAATGTGGAAGAATTTATTACCATTCTCTAACAAATAGAAGAATGGATAATGACTCTCTTTAGGGTTGGGAAACAAGTTCCTATCCAGAGTCTGACCTACTTCAATAAATTCAGCTGACACTGAGTATGAAATTAGTACTTAAGTTTTTAAAACAGCTAAAGTGCCCTTAAAGCAACCCAGAAGGACAACCCAACTGTACCTATGGGAGCTTCACTTGGGAAGGGCAAAAAACGATTCCTTCCACAGTGCTTAATTCTACAAATTCATTTACATAAGATTCAGAATTACATAAAGAAAACACACTAATGTATATTTACTCAGCTTCAATTCTGTCTCATTCTCAGAAAAATGGGCTTAAGCACTACTTAAATGTTCATTTTATTAATTGTTGAACTATTCATAATTATGTTTGAATTTTAAAAACAAGTAGTTTTGTTGTTAACAATACCTACTAACTGCCTTTAAATTAAAATTTTAAACATTTTAGAGAAGAGAATTTGGCTAAAATTTTCCATAATAAAATCTTCCTTTTGGCAGGGTGTGGTGGCTTATGTCTGTAATCACAGCACTTTGGGAGGCCAAGGTGGGCAGATCACCTGAGTTCAGGAGTTCAAGACCAGCCTGACCAACATGGTGAAACCCCGTCTCTACTAAAAATACAAAAATTAATTGGGTGTGGTGGCACATGCCTGTAATCCCAGCTACTTGGGAGGCTGAGGCAGAAGAATCAACTGAACCTGGGAGGCAGAGGTTGCAGTGAGCCGAGATCATGCCATTGCACTCCAGCCTGGGTGACAGAGCAAGACTTGTCTGAAGAAAAAAAAAAAAAATCATCCTTTTATATTTTCCATAGCAATGGGTAAGTAGAAAGAAACTAAGCAGTTAAATGGAACACAGTCATACTTTAGTAATGATGTGCTACAAAAACTGATTCTCTACAACTTTCTCATCAAACAGCCAATGCAGCTTTGGGGAAAAAAAAAGTTATTAAAATAAAATAACTTTCCCCAGCTCAAGTGTTGCCATTTGCCTTAAAGACACTGGTAACACTTTGGATCAAGTATAGAGGAACTGTGAATCTCTACAAGAAACGGTAAACAATCAATACTAAAATCAAAATTTTTCTACTCCCCATGGATTGTTTAAAAGCAACAAACAGTATTTATTCAATATTTTTAGGTCTCTGAAAATTAATGTATATAAGCATCTCTAAAAGCGTAAGGGATAGACATTTCAGAAAAAATCAAATTACAATAATATACATAAGCCATTTTCCTAAATAATACATACATTTCCAAAGGAGGAATAATGCATTAATACTAAGCAAGCTAACCTGAGTTTCCACACTTGAGTGTGATGGAGTTCTGAACATTCAACTTCAAAATCTGGCACCTTGGCATATTGAATATTTTAAGCTAAAGGAATCTGAGGAAGGGCAGGTGCAGGAAGAACTGACCATCCCCTGAAGCAGATCATAAAATCCTCATGTGAGAGGTGCCCTCCCTATACCCAGAGAAAAGAAGCATCTTTATCTCCAAAGGTAAAAGGATACCCAGAGGAACCAAAATGAACAGGTTTTGCCAAGTTTCCCGTTTACTACTCTTGACTCATACTCTATTGTCCTATCACATTTTCTACAACTCTCCCCTCTTCATCAAAGTTAGTATAAAAACACTCAGGTTTAACTGTTTCTTCGGGTCTTCATTTCCTTCTGAAGGTTTCAAACTTATATTCAATAAATGCGTTATGTTTTTGTCTTGTTAATCTGTCTTTTGTTACACGGGCACATTAGAGAACCTAGAAGGACAGAAGGAAAATGTATTTTTCCTCTCCTGTAAGTGCTTCTTAATTACAATCTTAAAACAAGATAAACCAAAAGCAAACTAAAATAAGCATATTAAAAAACAAACTATGACAGAGGAGGCAGAGCAGGATGGCCAAATAGAACCCTCCAGCAACTGTCCCCCTGGCAGGAACACCAAATTCAACAGCTATCCCCACAAGAAAGTACCTTCATAAGAATCAAAATCAGTTGAGCAATCACAGTACCTGGTTTTAATATCATATCAAGGAAAGAGGCACTGAAGAGGGTAAGAAAGACAGTATTGAATTGTCAACATCACTTCTCCATTCCCCAGCAGCAGCTGCATGGCATGAAGAGAGAATCTGTGTGTTTGGGGAGGGAGAGTGCAGTGACTATGGGACTCTGCACTGGAACTCAGTCTTGCTTGTCACAGCAGAAAGCAACACAGGGCAGAATTCAGCTGGTACCTATGGAGGGAGCATTTAGGCTAGTCCTAGCCAGAAGGGAATGGTCCATCCCAGCAGTAGGAACCTGAGTTCCAGATAGGCACACCACTGTAGGCTAAAGCACTCTGGGGTCTTAAATAAATTTGAAAGGCAGTTTAGACCACAAGGACTTCCTAGGCAAGTCCTGGTGCTGTGTTGGACTCAGACGCAGTGGACTGGGGGTGCACATGACCTAGTAAGACACCAGCTAAGGCAGCCAAGGGAGTGCTTGCATCACCCCTCCCTCAACCCCAGGCAGTATGGCTTAAGGATGCCTTCTGCTTAAGGAAAGGAGACTGGAGAGTAAAAGAGGACTTTGTCTTGCAACTTAAATACCAGCTCTGCCACAGCAAAATAAGGTACCAGGCAGAGTCCTGAGGCCCACATTCCAGGCCCTAGCTTCAGGCCACAGTGGAGCACAGCACCAGGCAGACTCCTGGAGTCCCGGATTCCAGGCCTGGCTCCTGATTAAGGTTCCTAACTCCAGGCCTTGGCTCCCAGACAGCATTTCTGACCCAACATAGGCTGTGGACTGGGGAAGCTGCCACCCTAAGGAAAGGGCATAAGCCTGGCTGGATTCAATACCTGCTGATGAAGAACCCTTGGGCCTTGAGTGAACATCGGCAGGAATCAGGCAGTGACTGCCGCAGGCCTTGGGTAAGACCCAGTGCTGTGCTAGCTTCAGGTCTGATGTAGCACAGTCCCAATGTGATGGCCACACGGGTACTTTTGTCACCCCTCCTCCAGCTCCCATCAGCTCAACATGGAGAGACAGACTCCATTTCTTTGGGGGAAAGTAAGGGAAAAGAACAAGAGTCTTTGTCTGGTAATCCAAAGAATTCTCTCAGATTTGTTACCCAAGACCATCAAAGTGGTACCTCTATGAGCCTGCAAGAGTCACAGTGTAACTGGGCTTGGGTTGCCCCCTAATGCAAATATGGCTGCAGCGACCATGGATGACAACACTCAACTCCCTTTGAATACTTGGAAAGCCTTCCCAAGAAGGATGGGTATAAATAAGCCCAGACTGTGAAGACTACAATAAATACCTAACTTATCAATATCCAGATGAATATCCACAAGCATTAAGACCATCCAGAAAAACAGGACCTCACCAAAGGAACTTAATAAGGCACCAGCAACCAATCTCAGAGTGATAGAGGTATGTGACCTTTCAAACAGAGCATTCAAAATAACTGTTTTGAAGAAACTCAAAAAATTCAAGATATAACAGAGAAGGAATTTAGAATTCTATCCTTAACAGAGATGGAAATAATTTGTTAAAATCAAGCAGAAATTCTGGTGCTAAAAAATTCAATTGACATACTGTGGAATGCATCAGAGTCTCTCAACAGCAGAATTGATCAAGCAAAAGAAAGAATTAGTAAGCTCAAAGGCAGGCTATTTGAAAATACACAGTCAGTGGAAACTAAAGAAAAATAAGAATGACAAAAGAAGCATGCCTAGAAGATCTATAAGATAGCCTCAAATGGACAAATCTAAGAGCTTCTGGCCTTAAAGAGGTAATAGAGAGAGAGAGAGAGATCAGGGTAGAAAGTTTATTCAAAGGGATAATAACTGAGAACATTCCAAACCTAGAGAAAGATACCAATATTCAAGTACAAGAAGGTTATAGAACACCAAGCAGATTTAATGCAAATAAGACTACCTCAAGACTTTTTAACAGTCAAACTCCCAAAGGTTAAGGATAAAGAAAGAATCCTAAAAGCAGCAAGAAGAAAGAAACAGCATACAAAGGAGTTCCAATACATCTGGCAGCAGACTTCTCAGTAGAAAGCCACACAGGCCAGAAGAGAATGGCACAACATATTTAAAGTACTGAAGGAAAAAAAAAGCTTTTATCCTAGAATAGTATATCCAGCAAAAATACCTGTCAAACATGAAGGAGATATAAAGATTTTCCCAGACAAAAACGCTGAGGGATTTCATCAACACTAGACCTATCCTGCAAGAAATGCTAAAGGGAGTTCTTCAACCAGAAAGAAAAGGGCATTAATAAGCAATAAGAAATCATCTGAAGGTACAAAACTCACTGGTAATAGTAAGTACACAAAGTATTTTAACACTGTCATTAAGGTTTGTAAACTACCCATATCTTGAGTAGAAAGACTAAAAGATGAACCTATCAAAAATAATAACCATAACTTTTCAAGACACAGAATAAAATATAAATAGAAACAATAAAAAGTTAAAAAGCAGGGGAATAAAGTGTAGAGTTTTTGTTAATTTTCTCTTTGCTTATTTGTTAGTTTTTACAATCAGTATTAAGTAATCATTAGCTTAAAATAATGAGTTATAAGATGTTATTTGCCAGCCTGGGGAACATGGCCAAACCCCCATCTCTACAAAAATACAAAAAATTAGCTGGGCATGGTGGCATGTGCCTGTAGTCTCAGCTACTTGGGAGGCTGAGGTGAAAGGACAACCTGAGTCTGGAAGGCGGAGGTTCCAGTGAGCCAAGATCACCTCACTTAGGCCAGGCGCGGTGGCTCATGCCTGTAATCCCAGCACTTTGGGAGGCCAAGGTGGGCAGATCACTTGAGGTCAGAAGTTTGAGACCAGCGTGGCCAACATGGTGAAAACTCGTCTCTACTAAAAATACAAAAAAAATAGCCGGGCATGGTGGCGTGCACCTGTAATCACAGCTACTCCACAGGCTGAGGCAAGAGAATCGCTTGAACAGTCTGTTGCCTACAAGAAACATACTTCATTTATAAAGACACACATAGACTGAAAATAAAAGGATGGAAAAAGATATTCCATGCAAATGGAAACCAAAAAGAGCAGGAGTAGCCATACTTACATCAGACAAAACAGATTTCAAGACAAAAGCTATAAAAAGAGACAAAGAAGCTGGGCACGGTGGCTCACACCTCTAATCCCAGTACTTTGGCAGGCTGAGGCAGGCGGATTGCCTGAGGTCAGGAGTTCAAGACCAGCCTGGCCAACACGGCAAAACCTCGTCTTTTCTAAAAATACAAAAATTAGCTGGGCGTGGTGGTGCACACCTGTAGTCCCACTACTTGGGAGGCTGAGGCAGGAGAATCACTTGAACTCTGGAGGCAGGAGGTTGCAGTGAGCCGAGATCACACCACTGCACTCCAGCCTGGGCAACAGAGCAAGACTCTGTCTCAAAAAAAAAAAAAAAAAAAAAAAAAAAGAGAAAGACAAAGAAGGTCATTATATAATGACAAACGGGTCAATTCAGCAAGAGATATAACAATGGTAAATATATATGCATCCAGCACTGGAGCACCTAGATATATAAAACAAATATTATTAGAGCTAAAGAGAGTGTCTCCAATAGGGTAATAGCTAGAGATGTCAATTTCAGCACTGGACAAATCATCCAGACAGAAAATCAACAAAGAAACATCAGACTTAATCTGCAGTGTAAACTAAGTGGACCTATCAGATATTTATACAACATTTCATCCAATGGCTAGAGAATATACACATTCTTCTCCTTGGCACACAGATAGACCATACGATAGACCACAAACAAGTCTTAAAAAATTCAAAACACTGATATCATATCAGGTATCCTTTCTAACCACAATGGAATAAAACTAGAAATCAATAACAAGAGGAATTTTGGAAACAGTGCAAACACATGGAAATTAATCAATATGATCCTGAATGCCCAGTGTGCCAACGAAGAAATTAAGAAGAAAATTTAAAAATTTCTTCAAACAAATGAAAATGGAAACACAACATACCAAAACCTATGGGATACATGAAAGTAGTACTAAGAGGAAAGTTTATAGCAATAAGTGCCTATGTCAAAAAAGTAGAAAAACTTCAAATAAACAACCTAATGATACATCTTAAAGAACTAGAAAAGCTACAGCAAAATAAACAGAAAATTAGTAGAAGAAATAGTAAAGATCAGAGCAGAAATAAACGAAGTTGAAAGATCAACAAAACAAAAAGTTGGTTTTCGAAAAGATAAACAAAATTGAGACACTTTTAGCCAGACTAGGAAAAAAAGAAAGAAGACTTAAATAAATAAAATCAGAGATTAAAGAGGAGACATTACAACCAATACTGCAGAAATTCAAAGGATCACCAGAGACTACTATGAGCAATTATATGCCAAAAAACTGGACAGCCTAGAAGAAACTGATAAATTCCTAGACACGTACAACCTACCAAGACTGAACCAGGAAGAAATCCAAAACCTGAACAGATCAATAACAAGCAATGACATCAAAGCAGTAATTAAAAGTCTCCCAGCAAAGAAAAGCCTAGAACCTGATGGCATCACTGTTGAATTTCACTAAACATTTAAAGAAAAATCCTAATATCAGTCCTATTCAAACTATTCCAAAAAATAGAGAGAATACTTCCAAACTCATTCTACGAGCCCAGTACTCCTAATAACAACACCAGAGAAAGACATATTAAAAAAAGAAAAAAAAACTACAAGCCAATATCCCTGATGAACATTGATGCAAAAATCCACAACAAAATACTAGCAAACTGTAATCAACAGTGCATTAAAAAGATCATTCACCATAACCCTACAGATAAATCCCACGGATGCAAGAATGGCTCAACATATGCAAATCAATCAATGTGGTACATCAAATCAACACAATGAAGGACAGAAACCATATGACCATTTTGGTTGATGCTGAAAAAGTATCTGATACAATTCCACACCCCTTCCTGACACAAACCCTCAAAAAATTGAGTTTAGAAAAAACATACCTCAACACAATAAAAGCCATACATGACAGACCCACAGCTAGTATCATACTGAATGGGGAAAAACTGAAAGCCTTTCCTCTAAGATTTGGAACAAAAGAATGCCCACTTTCACAACTGTTATTCAACATAGTGCTGTTAGTCTTAGCTAGCGCAATCAGACAAGAGAAAGAAATAAAGGTCACCCAAACTGGAAAGGAAGAAGTCAAATTATCCTTGTTTGCAGATGATATAATTTTATATTTGGAAAAACCTTAAAACACCATAAAAAAACTATTAGAACTGTAAAACAAACTCAGTAAAGTCACAGCATAAAAAATCAACATACAAAAATCACTAGTACTTCTGTATGCCAATGGTGAACAATTTGAAAAAGAAATTTGAAAAATCTCATTTACAATAGCCACAAATAAAATTAAATACCTAGGAATTAACTAAAGAATAAAAGATCAGGCCAAGCACAGTGGCTCAAGGCCGGGCGTGGTGGCTCACGCCTGTAATGCCAGCACTTTGGGAGGCTGAGATGGGCAGATCACAAGGTCAGGAGTTCAAGACCAGCCTGGCCAACATGGTGAAACCCCGTTTCTACTAAAAAAAAATAAAAATAATACAAAAATTTGTCGGGCATGGTGGCATGCGCCTATAATCCCAGCTACTCAGGAGACTGAGGCAGGAGAATTGCTTTAACCTGGGAGGTAGAGGTTGCCGTGAGCCAAGATCATGCCATTGCACTCCAGCCTGGGTGACAGAGCGAGACTCTGTCTCAAAAAAAAAAAAAAAAAAAAAAAAAAAAAAAAAGAAGAAGTAAAAGATCTTAATAAAAAACTATAGAACACTGATGAAAGAAATTCAAAAAAATGGGAAAATATTCCATGTTCATGGATTGGAAGAATCAATATCATTAAATGTCCATTCTACCCAAAGCAATCTACAGATTCAATGCAATCTCCATCAAACTACCAATGATATTCCTCACAGAAATAGAAAAAATAATCCTAAAATTTATATGGAACCACAAAAGACCCCAAATAGTCAAAACTATCCTAAGCAAAAAGAACAAAACTGGAGGAATTACATTACACTGACTTCAATTTTACTACAGAGCTACAGTAACCAAAACAGCATGGTACTGGCATAAAAACAGATACCTAGACCATGGAACAGAATAGAGAACCCAGAAACAAATACACACATCTACAGTGAACTCATTTTTGACAAAGGTGCCAAGAACATACACTGGGGAAAAGAGAGTCTCTTTGGGGGAAAATTGGATATCTATATGCAGAAAATGAAACTAAACCCCTATCTCTCATCAGATACAAAAATCAAATCAAAATGGATTAAAGACTTAAATATACGACCTCACACTATGAAACTGCTCCAAGAAAACACTGGGGAAACTCTCTAGGACATTGGTCTGGGCAAAAATTTCTTGAGTAATACTCTACAAGCACAAGCAACCAAAGCAAAAACGGGCAAATGGGATCCATGAAGTTTAAAAGCTTCTGCACAGCAAAGGAAGCAATCAACAAAGACAGAACCCACAGAATGGGAGAAAATATGCGCAAACTACCCATCTGACAAGGGATTAACAACCAGAATATATAAGGAATTCAAGCAACTCAATAGGAAAAAAAATTAAATAACCCAATTAAAAAATGGGCAAAAGATCTGAATACACATTTTTCAAAAGAAGACATACAAATGGCAAACAGGAATATGAAAAAGTGCTCAACATCACTGATGATCAGAGAAATGCAAATCAAAACTACAATGAGACATCATCTCACCCAGGTAAAATGGCTTTTATCCAAACGACAGGCAATAAAGGAAATCCATATATTGAAAAGATAGCTCCACTCTTATGTTTATTGCAGCACCGTTCACAATAGCCAAGATTCGCAAGCAACCTAAGTGTCCATCAGCAGACGAATGAATAAATAAAATGTATATGCAATGGATTCAGCCATAAAAAAGAATGAGATCCTGTCACTTGCAACAACATAGCTGGAACTGGAGGTCATGATGTTAAGTGAAACAAGCCAGGCACAGAAAGACAAACTTTCAATATTCTCACTCATTAGTGGGAGCTAAAAATTGAAACAATTGAACTCTTGGAGATGAAGAACAGAATTATGGTTACCAGAGGCTGAGAAGAGTGGGTGGGGTAGGGAAGATTAATGGATTCAAAAATATAATTACACGGAATGAATAAGATCTAGTATTTGATAGCTCAACAGGGTGACTGCAGTCAACAATAATTTATTTTACCATTTTTAAATAACTGAAAGTATAAATGGAATGTTTATAATACAAAGAATAAATGCTTGAGGTAATGAATACCTCATTTACCCTAATGTGATTATTACACATTGTATGCTTGTATCAAAACATTTCATGTTAGCCAGGTGCAGTGGTATGTGCCTATAGTCCTGGCTACCTGTAAGGCTGAGGTAGGAGGATCACTTGAGCCCAGGGGATCAAGGCTGCAGTGAACCATGATGGCACCACTGTACTCCAGCCTGGGTGACATAGTGAGATACTGTATCTAAAAAATAAAATAATGGCCAGGCACGGTACCTCATGCCTGTAATCCTAGCACTTTGGGAGGCCAAGGTGGGCAGATCGCCAGGAGTTCAAGACCAGCCTGGACAACATGATGAAACCCCATCTCTACTAAAAATACAAAAAAAATTAGCTAGGCATGGTGGTGAGCACCTGTAATCCCAGCTACTTGGGAGGCTGAGGCAGGAGAATCACTTGAACCCAGAGACAGAGGCTACAGTGAGCTAAGATTTCACAACTGCACTCCAGCCTGTGCTGGAGCACAGGGCAATGGAGCGAGACTCTATCTCAAAAAAATAAAAATAGGCTGGGCATGGTGGCTCACGCCTGTAATCCCTGCACTTTGGGAGGCCAAGGCAGGTGGATCTCCTGAGGTCAGGAGTTTGAGACCAGCCTGGCCAACATGGTAAAACCCCGACTCTGCTAAAAATACAAAAACTTAGGCCAGGTGCGGTGGCTCACGCCTGTAATCCCAGCACTTTGGGAGGCCGAGACGGGCGGATCATGAGGTCAGGAGCTCGAGACCATCCTGGCTAACATGGTGAAACCCTGTCTCTAATAAAAATACAAAAAAATGAGCTGGGTGTGGTGGCAGGCACCTGTAGTCCCAGCTACTCGGGAGGCTGAGGCAGGAGAATGGCATGAACCCGGGAGGCAGAGCTTGCAGTGAGCCGAGATCGCGCTACTGCACTCCAGCCTGGGCGACAGAGCCAGACTCCGTCTCAAAAAAAAAAAAAACAAAAAAAAAAAAACAAAAAAAAACAAACAAAAAAAAACTTAGCCAGGCATGGTGGCACGTGCCTATAATCCTAGCTACTCAGGAGGCTGAGGCAGGAGAACTGCTTGAACTCGGGAGGCAGAGTTGCAATGAGCCAAGGCCGTACCACTGCACTCCAGCCTGGGTGACAGAGCGAGGCTCTTGTCTCAAAAAAATAATAAATAATAAATAATCAGCTGGGCGCTGAGGCGGGCAGATCACTTGAAGTCAGGAGTTCGAGACCAGTCTGGTCAACATGGTAAAACCCCATCTATACTAAAAATACAAAAAATTAGCTGGGCGTGGTGGCTCATGCTTGTAGTCCCAGCTACCTGGGAGGCTGAGACAGAAGAATTGCTTGAACCGGGGAGGCAGAGGTTGCAGTAAGTCGAGATGGCACCACTGCACTCCACTCTGGGCGACACAGCAAGACTCCATTTCAAAAAATAATAATAAAATAAAAATTTAAAATAATAAAAATATAAATAAAATTTTTAAAAAAAAAATCTCATGTGACCCATGAATATGTACATCTACTATGTACCCATACAAATTAAAAGCAAAAAAACTTTTAAAAAACAACAAAAAAAGAAATTATGAGCTGGGAGCAGTGGTACAAGCTGAGATATTTTACAATACATAAAAATGATGCATTTCTATTGGGAGGCTAGGTGGGAGGACCACTTGAGGCCAGGAGCCCAAGGTTACAGTGCCTGATGATCACATCCTGTAAATAGTCACTCTACTGCAGCTTGGGCAACATAGTGAAAACTCACTTCTTAAAAACAAAACAATACAAATTAGGATACCAAAAATAGTATTTTAATCAACAGAAGGAACAATATCTCAGCAGAATCACAGATGTTATTCATTAATTCTCCCAACCTCCAATGACACATTAAGTCCCTCACACGTGAATGCTAAAAATGTTATATTCTTTATGATGGAGTTGAGTTCTATAATGGAATCCTCTCCCCTCCCCTCCCCTCCCCTCCCTTCCTTCTTTTCTTTTCTTTTAAACAGGGTCTTGTTCTGTCACCCAGGCTGGAGTCCAGTGGTGTGATCACGGCTCACTGCGGCCTTGACCTTCTGGGCTCAAGGGATCCCCCCTCAGCCCCCACTATCAGTAGCTGGGACTACAGGCATGCGCCACCATGCCCACCTAATTTTGGGGTTTTGTTTTTGTTTTTGTATTTGTTTTTGTCTTTTGAGACGGTCTCGCTCTGTCGCCCAGGCTGGAGTGCAGTGGTGAGATCTCAGCTCACTGCAAGCTCCGCCTCCTGGGTTCATGCCATTCTCCTGCCTCAGCCTCCCTAGTAGCTGGGACTACAGGCGCCCGCCACCACGCACAGCTAATTTTTTGTATTTTTAGTAGAGACGGGGTTTCACCGTGTTAGCCAGGATGGTCTTGATCTCCTGACCTCATGATCCGCCTGCCTCGGCCTCCCAAAGTGCTGGGATTACAGGCGTGAGCCACCGCGCCTGGCCAATTTTTGTATTTTTTATAAAGACAAGGTTTCCCCGTATTGCCCAGGCTGGACTCAAACTTTTGGGCTCAAGCAATCCACCTGCCTCGGCCTCTCAAAGTGCTGGGATTACAGGTGTGAGCCACTGGGCCCAGCCACCATTTTTCTTAATGTTTAGCATATTTACTTTCCTTATCTGAAAAATGACAAAAATATATCATAGCCATCTACAAGATGCCTTCAAATAATCTACTAATGTGCAATAACAATATTTTTCTTATATAGTAACCCAAAAGGAATCTGATTCTGTTGATTTTCCTAGGGACAATTTAAGAGCAGGGTTTAAAATAAGTAGCTGGAGTCCTGTTTTCTTTTCCAGATGAGAAAAGTAATTGAGTAAATTCAGTTCATGAAAGAAATGTCAGGTTAAGTAATATATGTAAGTCACAGGAATAGAGAAGTATTGGATGAATTGTCCCCTCCTGAATTCCCATTAAGCATTTGATTATATATACCAGCAATACTGAAATAGTATCATTTAAAAATTTGTAGTATTTTATCCTATACTCTGATTTTAGTTCTTTTCAACTTCACCTTAAAATAAACGAGAAAATAATATATGTGTCACAATTAGGAGACAAAAGGAAAACTGGAAAAAAGATTGCAAACTAAATAATCACCATGAATTAGTACCAAATTCAGAAAAGGGGATGACTTTCCAATGGACCAATTATGGACTAAAAGTAATATTATAAGTTACATATTTTATGTAACAACTTCTAATTGGACCTTTCCTCAGCCCTTCTTCCCCCACTTCAGCCACCAAACTACTTCCTTTCTTCCGTTCACGAACAAACGTCCTGAAAGTTGCTATGTCCATTTGATAACTACCATTCAGTCCTCAGTTCATTACAGTCTGGCAACCAGGAGGTTCACATGGTCTCCTATAGATCCCTTGTCTATTTTAAATTTTCATCCTTTTTGACATGTCTATAGCTTGACACTGTTGGCCGGTCCTCATTTTGTAAAGTTGTCTGGTTTCTTGGCTTCTAGAAAAACAAACTCTCCAGATGCTAAGCCTACTACACAGTTTCTTCTCAGTCTCCTTTAATCATTCTCCCTTCTCTCTGGAGATGATTAGTGGTTAAATCTGTTTTCTTCTTGCACAAAAGTTGCTTTTGTTGAGGGGCAAAAGCAACTCTTAAACCTGTTGCTTTTGCCCCTCAACCCCTGGCTTCAACCATCATGTCTATTAACCCTCTGTAAACACTAGAATAACTTATGGAGCTTTTAAAAATATAGATGGCACTTCGGTTTCCAGCAATATGCCAGACAAAGGGTCCAAAAACATCTCCAGTAAAAATCCTAGTTAACATTGAATAAATAATGTATATAATATAATGTTTTATATATGTTTTATATATAATGTATGATTTATATTTGTTTTTATATAATTAATAATATAGTATTACGTATCCTACTTTTATAAATATATAATTTTAATATATGGCTGAACTAGCAGTAACATGAAAGAATTCCTTAGAGGCCCCAGAAACAACAGCAAAGTGTAGATTCAGAGAAGTAAGCATTTGCCTTGAGGGTATCCAATGATCTCTGGTGGTCAATAGCCTGGCTACCAGGAGCCCTGTGCAGTCAGTAAGGAGGCAAAGCCTGGGACCTGAACAGGTAGGAATTCAAGGTCAGAGAACCCTCTACTACAATTTAAAATACAATGCCTTTAGGGAGATAGTGAAGATAGTACTCATCTCGGCCTTGGCTCCTGGTAGTACAGGAAAAACGAAAAAGAGTCCTATGAAAACTCCTAACCATATGCCTGCATTTGCCCAGGTTGGGGCCTGAATTCACACCAAGTACATGACCCAAAGAAACTTTAAGTTGCTAATTTAGTTTGATTTTTGTTAATAGTGCCCCAGGTGCCTACCAGGAAGCAACATAAACCCTATGTGGAAAAATGCACAGGAAACTCAAGCCTCAAAGAATTCCCACAGATAAAAGTTCCAAATTACATAAACTCACTATTTTATTAAAAATCACTAAGCTCATGAAGAAACAAAATACCATGAGCAAGGGTCAGGAGAAACAAAAAACTATGAAATCAGAATGCAGATACGAGAATTTTTAGATAAGAAACATAAAATAAGCATGGTTCAACTGCTTAACAATACAAAAGAAGACCTTGAAAGTATGCTGAAGGAACAAGAGACTATCAGAAATGATCAAGATCTAAAAAGGAACCAAAGAGAACTTCTGGAAATAAAAAATATAATAACTGAAACCTTAACATTCAATGGGGAGTTAAAAAAAAAAAACAAACAAATTAAGCACAGCTAAAAACTAATGAACAGGAAACCAAATTTGATGATTATAAAGGAAGCACTGTGAAGAAACCCCGAGATGGAAAATACAAGAGATTATGAAACACAGAAGACAGAATGAAAAGACCCAACATACATCTAACAAGAGTTGTACAAGAATAAAAATGAGGAAGATACAATATTTGAAGAGATAACTGAGAACTATAAAGTCAATGAGGGGAAGAGATTATTGTCTATTTTATTCTCTGCAGCATCACCAGCCCTTGGCACATAGTGAATGGCCTATACTATCTGTGGAATTCCTAACCAAAGATCCAACATATATCTAATCAGAGTTCTAAAAGGAAGAAAAATAAGAAGACACAGTAGCTGAAAAGTTTCTAGAACAGACAGAAAATACCATTCCTTAGAGACAGAAATCACAGAAAATCCTAGGATGACAAATGTTTTAATATTCACTAAGATATATCATAGTGAAACTGCAGCAAGAAAGGAAAGGCAAATTACCTACAAAAGAATAACAGTTAAAATGACAGCTGATGTCCAAACATCAACACAAATTAAAAGACAATGGTATTTTCAAAATACTAAGAGAAAACAACCATCAAAACAATTCCATACCCAGCAAAACTTTAAGACTGAAAGCCAAATAAAGGCATTTTCAGACAAAAACTGGGTTTGCCACCAACAGACTCTCACCAAAAAAAACTCCCAAAGGTGTACTTCAGGAAGAAAAAAATGATCTCAAAGAAAGATACAATATGTAAGAAGGGTGAACAGAAAATGCTAAACACAAGGGTAAAACTAAATAAATATGCAGGGCACAGTGGCTCACAACCTGTCATCCCAGCACTTCGGGAGGCCAAGGTGGGAGGATCCCCCTTGAGCCCAGGAGTTTGAGCCCAGCTTGGGCAACACAGCAGGACCTTATGTCTACTAAAAATAAAAAAACATATATTTAGCTGGGTGTGGTGGCAAGCACCTGTAGTTCCAGCTACTGGGGAGGCTGGAGCAGGAGGATCCTCTGAGCCCAGGAAGTCAAGGCTGCAATGAACTATGGTCATGCCACTGTACTTGAGCTTGGGCAATAGAGTGAGATCCCATCTCTAAAAATAAATAAATAATAAATAATAAACCAATATTAACTGTACAAAACAAGTCATTAATGCCTAATTTATAGGATTAAAAATCATGGAAGAAACAAAATCCTAGACAGTAACATTTTAACTTGGGAAGTGAGGATCTGTAACCAGAATTAAAACATTCTAAAGTCTTTGCATTGTTCAAGAGGATATAAATATTAACTTTAGGCTTTGTTAAGTTAAATATGCAACTGAAAATTTCCAGATAAGTCCTGAAAGAAGAAAATAAAAATATAGCTTTCAAACCAATAGAGAAGGGAAACAGCAATTGCGGAAGGAAATTGCTTAGACATATCTAAACATACAGTAAAGAATAAAAGGACAGAAAAAGATATAACAAGCAAAAATCAAACTAAAGAAAACTATTATGGCTATATTAATTTTAGAGGAAACAAACTTTAACAAAAAAGCATTACTGTAAACAAACAGGGAAGCAACAGTGATATGAAATTCAGGTCACACACAAAAAAATTCTACCTGTTAATACCACCACTTTGGGAGGCCGAGGTGGTGGATCACCTGAGATCAGGAGTTCAAGACCAGCCTGGCCAACATGGTGAAACCCCGTCTCTACTAAAAATGCAAAAATTAGCTGGGTGTGGCAGCGCACGCCTGTAATCCCAGCCACTAGGGAGGCTGAGGCAGGAGAATCCCTTGAACCCGGGAGGCAGAGGTTGCAGTAAGCTGAGATTGTGCCGTCCAGCCTGGGCAACAGAGTGAGATTCCATCTCAAAAAAAAAAGAAAAACAATTCTAAATCACCTAGTAATATAGATACAAAATATATACATACAAGTTGACAAAACTACAAAGAGAAACTACAGCTCTCTTAATAACTGGTAGATCAATTGGTAAAATATCAGTAAGAATATAAAAAACGATTGTATCAAAACAATAATATTGGGTTATTGAATATATGCAGAATATTAAACTAGAGATTACACATTCTTTTCAAGCACACACAGAACATTTACAAAAGCTGATTACATACTAGGTCAAGTTTCAATGCTTTTCAAAGAATTAGTAGTACACAGAAAGATTCTCTTTCTACCATCTACTTAAATTTAAAATATCAAAAAGGTAATTTTTAAAGCCTAAATATTTAAAAAATTTTAAACATAATTCTAAATAACTCATGGGTCAAAGTAGATGTCACATTAGAAATTAGAAAATATTACTTGTGGGATGGTACTCTAAAGAAAATGTATAGCTTAAATGATAGTGTTACAGAGACTGAAACTTAAGAGCTAAAGCATCCAATTTAGTAAATTTAAAAAAGAACAACCCCAAGGATATCACTGAGAGAATGGGCAAAGCTCAGATTAGTTATTTGAAAAATACGGCTATGTACCACAATAATGACATCTCAGTCAACAACGAACTGTATAAACAATGATGGTCCCATAAGATAATCATACTGTATTTTAACTGCACCTTATCTATGTTTAGATATGTTTAAATACACAAATACTTACCATGTGCTACAACTGCCTACAGTATTCAGTACAGTAACATGTTGTATAGGTTTGTAGCCTAGGAGCAATAGGCTATAATGTACAGCCTAGGTGTAGTAGGCTGTACAATCTGAGTTGGTGTAAGTCACTCTACAATGGTTGAACAATGACTAAACTGCCAATTGACGCATTTCTCAGAATGAATCCCCATCATTAAACAATGCATGACTGTACTAATAAAATTAATAAACCCCTAATAAGACTGATTGTTTTAAAAAATGAAACACCACTAACTATATAAGAAATAAAAAAGGAACTATAATCATTGATACAGCAGAAAATGTAAAAGGTAAGAAAACATTATGAATAATTTTATGTCAATACATTTTAAAACTTAGGTGAAATGGAAACATTTCTAGAAAAATATAAATTACAAAAATAATTCGAGAAAAAAGAGAGAGCCTAAATGGTCCTATAACCAATAAACAAATTAAATCACTAAACATTTTCCTTACAAAGAAAATTCCAGGCCCAAATACCTTTACTATCAAGTTCTACCAAGTATCTAAGGAACAAACAATTCCAAGCTTACATACTATTCCAGATTTTACAAAAAGAGAGAATACTCCCTAATTCATTTTATGAGGCTAGCTTAACCTTGATATCAAACCTGACAAAGGCATTTTAAGGAAGTAAAAGAAATGGGCCAGGCGTGGTGGCTCACGCCTGTAATCCCAGCACTTTGGGAGGCCAAGGAGGGCGGATCACCTAAGGTCAGGAGTTTGAGACCAGGCTGGCAAACATGGGGAAATCCTGTCTCTACTGGAAAAAAAAAAAAAAAAAAAAAAAAAAATGCCGGGGGTGGTGGCACATGCCTGTAAATCCCAGCTACTCGGGAAGCTGAGGCAGGAGAATTGCTTGAACCCAGGAAACGGATATTGTAGTGAGCCGAGATTGCACCATTGCCCTCCAGCCTGGGCAACAGAGCAAGACTCAGTCTAGGGAGAAAAAAGAAAAAGAAAAGAAACAAAGTATTTGCCTATATCACACTACATTTTTTTTTTAATGGAGTCTCCCTCTGTCACCCAGGCTGAAGTGCAGTGGCACCATCTCTGGCTCACTGCAACCTCCGCCTCCCGGGTTCAAGCAATCCACCCACCTCAGAGGCCCGAGTAGCTAGGACTACAGGCATGTGCCATCATGCCTAATTTTTCTTTTTGTAAAGGGGGTTTCACCATGTTGGCTAGGCTGGTCTGGAACTCCTGACCTCAAGTGATCCCCCTGCCTCAGCCTCCCAAAGCGCTAGAATTACAAGCATGAGCCACTGTGCTCAGCCTACATTTTTATGTAGTATGTATTTACATGTCCACCTTATCCACTAGACTGTAAACTTCTCTAAGGAAGATACCATTTATTATTCTTGGTCACCCTAAAGACCAGGCCTAAAGACTTAATCACCAGCAAGACCTATTTTTCCTGCATAGCAGACATTTTAGGGCTAAATGATCTGATGTGAGGATCAAATGAGATGAGTTATGAACTATAAATGTGCTAGTTATAGCCCTGCACTATTAAAAAAGAAAACATAATTTATACATATTATCTCAATCCTCACAAGAATCCTTTTTTTTTTTTGGAGACAGAGTCTTGCTCTGTCACCCAGGGTGGGGTGCAGTGGCGTGATCTCGGCTCACTGCAACCTCTGCCTTCCAGGTTCAAGCAATTCTCGTGCCTCATCCTCCGGAATAGCTGGGACTACAGGCACCCGCCACCACACCCGGCTAATTTTTGTATTTTTAGTAGAGACGGGGTTTCACTGTGTTGGCCACGCTGGTCTCGAACTCCTGACCTCATGTGATCGGCCCACTTCGGCCTCCCAAAGTGCTGGGATTACAGGCGTGAGCCACGGCCCGGCCAAGAACCCTCTTAAAGTATGTATTAATACCCCACTTGATAGAAGAGGCTCAAGGAGATTAAATAAATTCCCCAAGATCAGGCAACTAACAGGTGAAAGAGCTAAGATTTGAGCCCAAGTCAACTGCTACATTTAAGTGATTTTACTTCCTCCATATTCCTCGAACTCATTCAGAAGCCACAGAGCACAGTCATAAGAGCACTGATTGTGGAATTAAATACAACTATATTTGAATCCCAGTTGTCATTTATTGGTTGTCTCATTTTCCATTTGTAAATCGAAGATATTACCTGTCTTCAGTGGTTGTGGTAAATACTAAAGAAAATACTCATACTCAAAATATAGTAGTTCTTACAAGTTCTTTCTATAAATCCTTTAAATTCATGCTGAATAAAGAGAAACTATATTAAGCCAGAGTATTTGAAAAAATTGGGCGCAGTGGCTCACACCTATAATCCCAGTACTTTGGGAGGCTGAGGCAGGAGTATTGCTCGAGCCCAGGAGTTCAAGACCAGCCTAGGCAACACAGTGAGACCTCATCTTTACTAAAAATCAAAACAATTAGCCAGACAATTAGCCACATGCCTGTGGTCCCAAGAGGTCAAGGCTGCAGTGAGCCAAGATCATGCCACTGCACTCCAGCCTGGGCAACAGGGGGAGACCCTGTCTCAAAAAAAAAAAAAAAAAAAATGTAAATTAAATTAAATTGAAAAATAAAAATAGCCCAAAAAAGTGTGTTGTTTTGTTTTTTTTTGAGGCAGAGTCTTGCTCTGTCGCCCAGGCTAAAGTGTAATGGGATGATCTTGGCTCACTGCAACCTCCATCTCCTGGGCTTAAGCAATTCTCGTGCCTCAGCCTCCCCAGCAGCTGGGATTACAGGTGTGCGCCCGGCTAATTTTTGTATTTTTAATAGAGACGGGGTTTTGCCATGTTGCTCAGGCTGGTCTTGAACTCCTGAGCTCAGGCAATCCACCCACCTTAGCCTCCCCCCAAAAAAAAATGTTTTAAGAGAAAAGAGAAACTATAGTCTGGTTAAAATATTGACTGGACATAGTGGCTCACACCTGTAATCCCAGCACTTTGGGAGGCTGGGGCAGGCAGATCACTTGAGCTCAGGAGTTCAAGACCAGCCTGGGCAACATGGTGAGACCCTGTGTCTACAAAAAATACAAAAATTAGCCAGGCGTCGTGGTGCACGCCTGTATTTCCAGCTACTTGGTAGGCTGAGGCAGCAGAATCACTGCACCAAGGAGGCGGAGGCTGCCATGAGCCAACATTGTGCCACTGCACTTTAGCCTGGACGATGAAAGTGAAACCCTGTCTCCAAAAAAAAAAGTCTTACAAAACATATATGTATGTGTGTGTGTATACATCTATATGTAAGAGCTACAGGCCAGGCACGGTGGCTCATGCCTGTAATCCCAGCACTTCAGGAGGCCGAGGCAGGCAGATCACGAGGTCAGGAGTTCAAGACCAGCCTGACCAACATGGTGAAACCTCGTCTCTACTAAAAATACAAAAATTAGCTGGGCATGATGGCATGCACCTGTAATCCCAGCTACTTAGGAGGCTGAGGCAGGAGAATAGCTTGAAACTGGGAGGCGGAGATTACAGTGAGCCAAGATTGCGCCACTGCACTCCAGCCTGGGTGACAGAGCTTTTTTTTCTCAAAAAAAAGCTACGATATACACAGACACATACACATTTATTCTCTACATACACATTTGCTATATACACACATATATACAGATATTTATATATATGTGTGTCTGTGTATATCCATATATATGTCTGTGTATATATACATTTACTATATACAGACACACACATATATAGGTATGCATAAAATACCTATATATGTGTGTGTCTGTGTATATACACATTTACTATATAGACACACATATATATAAATTTCCATATATGTATCTTCGTATATAGTAAATGTGTAAGTAGAGAGTAAATGTGTGTCTGTGTATATATATGTGTCTGTGTATATATCATAGCTCTTACAACTATTAATATTATTGTCTCATTTTTCTCTTTACCTATCTCTTTTTCCTATGACCCTTTTTCACTAACATAAGTTATTTTTCTACAACGAAATAATTTGCCCAGCTAATTGTATAACCTATTCTCTGGTCACTCTCTCCTCATCCTTTTTGTTCCTATGTTTCATGCAACTCAAATACAATACTTATAATAACCATGCTCTGTGACACCATGTCTGTTGCACAAGTTCCTGCACTCTATAATACCTTCTCCACTTCATTTGCCTAGAAAATTCTGACTCATCCTTCAAATCTTGAATGCAAACATCTTTCCTGAAGTTTTCTCTAATGCATCTTGATCATTTACCTCTCTATTAACTCTGTACCTCACACATACTCCTACATTATAATTATCACCCTCTGTTGTGACCATTTAACTATTAAAATGTGGGCCCTCTAGCTGGGTGCGGTGGCTCACGCCTGTAATCCCAGCACTTTGGGAGGCCGAGGCAAGTGGATCACGAGGTCAGGAGTTCGACACCAGCCTGGCCAGCATGGTGAAACCCCGTCTCTACTAAAAATGCAAAAATTAGCTGGGCATGGTCGCGTGCATCTGTAATCCCAGCTACTCGGAAGGTTGAGGTAGAAGAATTGCTTGAACCCGGGAGGCAGAGGTCACAGTGAGCCAAGATTGCGCCACTGAACTCCAGCCTGGGCGACACAGCGAGGCTCCGTATCAAAAAAATAAAATAAAATAAAATAAAATAAAATGTGGGCCCTCTGAGTATTGGCTATTCATCTTGTATTTTTAGAAGCTAGCACAGTGCCGGGAACATGAGACGTGCTAAATAGGTACCTGCAGAGTTACATTTAAGCCAATCCAACACACCAGGACCACACTCCATCAATTCCCCCTCTCTCATTCCCAATTTTATTCTTGTTCACTGATCGCTTCCCTTTAATCCAGTAATATGCTTCTCTACCCTAAACAGACTCCACCCCTCCCTTGAAGTGCTAGCTCATTTTCCTCTTCAATGTTTAATACAGAATCATTTCTCAATTTGTCATCTTACCTGTTAGAACACATTTTTGCTTTCTCACATCACAAAGCGCATGCTTCTATTTAGCTGTTATCCATATTCTTTCTATTAGAACTGGACATTTAAATGTATTTTCTCAACCATATCAAAAAGGCCTGAAATTCTTCTCTGTACTGGTCAGAAAATGGTAAACTTTTCCCCAAACAAACACCTATTCAAAGGAAAATTTCGTTTTTTTTTTAACCAGTAAAAATGTATTACCTGAATAAGAATTAAGAGACACTGTCCATCGTACTGTTAGTCCTATTAAAACCACTACTGTCATCAAGTACCATTTCTCCATAGTTCTTCAAATTTAGGGAGGGGAAGAAAACACAGCACCAGTGCCAGAGTACTTTTAAAACGTGGTCAATCACTTCTTTTCTTGTTCAGAGAAATGTTATCACTTCTTGAAATGTTATCGATTCTTCGCAATTAGGAGTTTGAGAGAATTTTAATGATGCTTGGTTTCCAAATAGTCAAAACTTGATTATGTCTATGTAGAAGTATCCTAAGGGGAAAAAAAAAGATATCAAGATTCAGCTGAGTACAGTACCTACAACAATGAACCCAGTAAACCAAGTAGAAGGATAGAGAATTCGAGGGGAGGGGTAGTGGGAAGGAATGTGAAGGAAACGTGGTATTTTAAGTTCCTTATTCCCTAGTCCTTTAGTTGGGAATATACATCAAAAGGTGGATCTCCCTATTAAATGGGACTCAATACATCTAAAGATATAGTAAAGATTTACTCTCACAAGGGAATATTTCTGAGAAAAGAAAAACAACACATATGTAGATAATGACACAGTCAATTCTATTTAGAACACATTCACCTACAGGTAAATATAAAACCACAACCGTAGACAAAGGCATGATTTATCTTTGGTACAGCGAGAAAGAGGAATCTTGTCTTTGTATTTAGTTTGGGAAAGTCTTCCAATAAACAATTTATCTAGTTTGGTTTTTACTTTTCTTCCAAAATATACTTGCATTAACCACACCAACTTTCCATCTTAGAGAAATGAGCCTTTTTAAGAATCATTAAGAATAATCCCAAATCGTGAGAAAAAAATACAAAAGCAGTAAAACTCAATTAACCACTTACTTTTTTTTTTTTTTTACAGTTTTCCTTAGGTTGGGGTTTTAAAGTAAGAAGCAAATTGATGCCGGTTGCGGTGGCTCACGCCTGTAATCCCAGCACTTTGGGAAGCCGAGGTGGGCAGATCACCTGAGGTCAGGAGTTCAAGACCAGCCTGACCAACATGGTGAAACCCCATCTCTACTAAAAATACAAAATTAGCCAGGTATGGTGGCGCTCGCCTGTGATCCCAGCTATTTGGAAGGCTGAGGCAGGAGAATCGCTTCAACCCAGGAGGTGAAGGTTGCAGTGAGCCGAGATCGCACCATTGCACTCCAGCCTGGGCAACAAGAGCGAAACTCCATCTCAAACAAAAAAAAATAAAAAGCAAATCGACAAAATTGACATTTTCCTCTTCTCTTTGAAAAATGTTGGACCATTTTAACCACAGGATACACTTTAAATATATTCAGAAAATATAATAAATCAACTAAAAAATTTAGGGCAAAATTGGTACATTCCACCTAATGATCTAAAATTATTTTATTTTATTTGTTTTTTTTTCTTTTTTTTTGAGATGGAGCTTTGCTCTTGTTGCCCAGGCTGGAGTACAATGGCACAATATCGGCTCACCGCAACCTCTGCCTCCTGGGTTCAAGCGATTGTCTTCCCTCAGCCTCCCAGGTAGTTGGGATTACAGGCACCCACCACCACGCCTGGCTAATTTTTGTATTGTTAGTAGAGACGGGGTTTCACCAGATTGGCCAGGCTGATCTTGAACTCCTGACCTCAGGTGATCCACCCTCCTTGGTCTCCCAAAGTGCTGGGATTACAGGCGTGAGCCACTGCACCCGGCCCTAATTATTTTCTTATTTAAAATAAAAACATCACGGGATAACTCCAGAACTGATTGGAATGGCTAATCTTTTGTCATTGATGCCAAATCTCAAATCATCCCCTCAGAAAGATCATCCCTGACTATCCTACTAAAGCTTCCTCCCCTTACTGTTTGTATCATTACCTTCAATTTGCTTCCTAATTCTTTTCACTAACAGGATTTGTATTTTCACATGACATGGTGCAATCTCACACACATAATTTTCAGTATAAATGCTGGACACCAAAGAATACATATCATATGGTTCCATGAAAGGTTCATAAATAGGCAAAACTAATCTATGGTGTTAAAAATCAGGAAAGAGGTTACCTTTGGGGAGGAAAGAAGGGATGGTGGTTGGGAGGGGTGCCCAGAGAGGTGTTCTGAAATGCTGTGAATCTTCCTTCTTGATTTGAGTAGTGGTTAGGAAATGTGTTGACTTTAGGATAAATTAACAAGTTACAACTTATAATTTGCGTACAGTATTTTTCTATATGGTATATTCCAATTTAAAAAGCATAAAAGGGGCTGGGCGCAGTGGTTCACCCCTGTAATCCCAGCACTTTGGGAGGCCGAGGCAGGTGGATCACCTGAGGTCAGGAGTTCGAGACCAGCCTGGTCAACATGGTGAAACCCCATCTCTACTAAAAATACAAAAATTAGCTGGGCGTGGTGGTGCGTTCCTGTAATCCCAGCTACTCGTGAGGCTGAGGCAGGAAAATCGCTCGAACCCGGGAGGCAGAGGTTGCAGTGAGCCAAGATCGTGCCACTGCACTCCAGCCTGGGCGACAGAGCAAGACTCTGTCTCAATTAAAAAAAAAAAAAGTGTAAAAGGAAATTACTTGGATGTGTTGACTAAAGGCTCCCTGTGAGCAGGGATCCTCCTGTCTTAGTCGTTGCTCTCTGTTCCCCACTTGTAGAACAGTGTTAGCAGAAGGCAGGTACCCAAGAAGTATTTGCTGAATGGAGCTGTGTGCGTCTGTGTGTACGAAGCGGGGAGGTACCCTAATTTTACTGAGCCCTGTGTGGTTAAAGATATTATGCGAGGCTTTTAACGACTCTCTTCTGCTTAAACCAGAAAAAGGGTTATTTGCGACTTTTTCCACCTGTAAATCAGAAAACAGTAATTTTCTAACCCATCCACTGGCCACGAAGTTGCTAGGCAGGCAGTAGATGCGCTTTTCGTCCTCCTTTGCCCTGACGGTGCATCTCGACAAATGCCAAGCCCGCCGTCCCCATCCCAGAACCGACTTTGCTCCTTTTAGTCTGAAAGGTCCTTCCACCGCAGTGGACACAACACCGGGGAGTGCAGCTATCCCGGGCGTGTATATGGGGCGAAAGGGATCCCTTCTCGCGTTTCTCCGCCCCTCCTCTTGAGGGCCAGGCCCTCAGAACCGCAAGGACAAGGGTGCCAGGACCGCCCCAGCCTGCAAGTGCCACCACTATCACCGCGTCCCCTCACCCGACCCACAAGCGACCCTGCAGGAAGGGCTGGGGAGGCCTCGCGTCGCGTCCCTGGGAGTGGAGCGGAGCTGGGAGACGGGTCGCCAGCTCTGCGCCGGCTCGTGGCGCGTCCGAGCCCCCGGCACCTCCCCACACTGGCCTGGGGTCCGGAACCTCCGGGATCCCATGCTCTTACCCCGCCGCCCGCCGGCCGCTGGGATTCGCGCCTGCCGTGGGTCCCAGGAAGGCGCATGCGCGCTCGCCCCCGCGGCGGACTGCCCCTCCGGCCTTCCGCCTCCGTGTGCCCGCGCACCACCCGCGCGCCCGGTGCGGGAGCGAGCCCGTCGAGCGTGAGGGGAGGGGCGGGCAACCTGGCCTGGACAGGAGGCGGCCGGCTTAGGAGGCGGGGCAAGAGCCGATGGAACCCGAGAGGTCCCCAGCCCCGGGTTAGGCTAGGGGCAGGTGGAAAGCCCCTTGCTCTTCTTTCCTGGGATCGTGGCCAAGGCCGGAGCGGCTGCTTAGCCAACGGATTCCTGTCAGGGGCGGGCCCTGGCTTGCTGCACTGAGCAGAGAGCCTTGGCCGGTCCTCACCACCTCTGGGCCTGTGCCCTCGAGGAGCCAGAAAGCCAACCTGCTTCACTTTCTTCTAGCCACATGCCTGCGAAGAAGAAGACTGGGCAGCCCCCTAAAGTAAGAAACATTGAACATCCAACCATTTGCGAGAGCCTGTGCGTTGTGCAAAAGGACAGCCCTGCCCTCGAGTAGCCACTACACGTGCCCCAGCGGGCAGCTTGAATCACCTGGTCCCAAACTTGCCAAAAATACCTATCTAGTAAGTTAGTAAGACCTGCACACTTTTCCTTTTGCATTGATCCCTTCCTTTCCAGTTCCACTATTTCCATCTCAGTCTAGGCTTCTGTCCAATCACGCATGGACGGCTGTGATGATTTTTACTTGCCTTCCTTTGTTCAGAGAGTGCCCTCATTCCCCACTTCTGAATCTTGCCATTCTACGTAAGCCAACCCCTATAATTTGTAAGTGTTAGCAAATATTTGGCTAGGACTATGGCTTTCTACTGAGTCTGAATAACTTCTCTCTGGGCCTCAGTTTCTTCAACTGTGAAAGAAATCAGTAGGGCTAGGTGAACTTCCAGGTCTAAAATATGATTATATCTAAAAGACCATCAGCACTGGGAATATGGAGAAATATGGCAGGTCCCTGCCCTCAAGGCATTTAATTCTCATTGGAAAGACATTTTTATGCATAAAAGGATAAAAAGCTATAGAAGGAAACACATACTAAATGTTACATTACTTACATATGCACTAAGCACTGTAGGAGTTAGGAGAAGAGGGTTCACTGTAAACTGCAAACCATCAGGAAATGCTTTTCCTGGAGGAGTCAGCTGAGCTTTGAAGGAAAGCCTGGCTGGATAAGCCCAGAGAATGAGAGTAAGAATCTAGACAAAGGAAATGGTTCAAGCCAAATATTGTGGCAGCTGAAAAGTGTAGAACATTTCCTCTAGTTTAGGTGGTGGGTGATGAAGCTGGAAAGGACTGGTAATTGTAGAGAGCCTTGAATACCAGGCTATGGTGTCTGGAATGTATCCAGTGATCAGTAAGGGGCTATTAAATGACTTTTAGCAGGGAGTCAAGTATACAGTACAGTTACAGTGTTAGAGAAAACTTAAAGTGGTGAAAATGGATCAGATGAATCAGAGGGAGACTATAGCAGTCCACGCATGATTAGACAAGGGCTTGGACTGAGATGGCAATAGTGGAACTGCAAAGGGAGAGATCAATGCAAGAAGAAACATGTACAGGTCTTTTTTTTTTTTTTCTGAGACGCAGTTTCGCTCTTGTTCTCTTGTTGCCCAGGCTGGGGAGCAATGGCACGATCTCGGCTCACCACAACCTCCACCTCCCGGGTTCAAGCAATTCTCCTGCCTCAGCCTCCCGAGTAGCTGGGATTACAGGCATGCACCACCACACCTGGCTAATTTTGTATGTTTAGTAGACATAGGGTTTCTCTGTGTTGGTCAGGCTAGTCTCGAACTCCTGACCTCAGGTGATCTGCCTGCCTCGGCCTCCCAAAGTGCTGGGATTACAGGCGTGAGCTGCTGCACCTGGCCTCGTGTACAGGTCTTAATAGCATACTAGATATGTACAAGTGAAACAAAGGAGAGGGAAGAATCAAGGATGGCTCCCAAGGTTTCAAGTGTGCATTACAGTTCCCAAGAACTGATAGATCTTGGGAAGCCTGGAGAATAATCTGGCTTGGAGGGAAAGATGGTTCATTGTATTGAGTTCACGGTAACATAAAGACAAGAAAGTTGTAATACTCAGGTGTCAGTTATGAATCAGAGCCCAGGAAAGAAATTGGGGTGAAGATAGAGAGATGAAAGTGTTTCATTTGCTGAATAATGATGGAGACAGTATAGAGAGAAAATAAACAACCATACTTGAATAAATGCATTATCTCAGGCCAAAAGGAGAAAGGCACATTGGTGAAGGATGTTACATGGTTACAAATGTAGGGAGAAATCCATTACATTGCAGGATCATAAATATTAAGCATCTGGTGAACAAGAACCATGTTTGGCAGACCAAAAATCATACTTTATTGAATCTAAAGTTCCACCACTTGTAAAAAGCACCATTATTTTATGTACCACTGAGGAAGAAAACAATGCTACCATTTAAGCTAGTAATTACTGTAAAACATATAATTTCAGAAATATTAATATGTAAAAAGTATACATCTTAAAGTGATGGAAGTTGGTATCAATCTCTCCTTCCTGTTTCTCAACCCAACAGCTTCTGACCCAGTATTTAACAAAAAGTTAATGCTCAAAATGTTCATGAATAAATAGCGGAAGAGACATCACAGTCACTAACTCATAGCTGAATTGTCTCACCACTGCCATCTATATACCTTCTCCTGCTCTTTACCTTCAATAGGTATCATCTTTCACATGTGAATATCCAGTGCCTTTACATAACAGATGTTCAGAAAATGCATTTTGAATGATAGCATTTACTATAAGCAAAAAGGATAAGCCATAGCAAAATTGTAAAGCAGATCAAGTTTAGAGGCAGTGTAGAAAGGTGATTAAGAACTAGTCTCTGACTCTGAAAACAAACAGGTTTGGATTTAAATCTTAGTTCTTCTACTTTCTAGCTGTGTGAACTTGGTAAAGTCTCCTAATGTCTCTGGCATAATTACTTCACCTACAAAAAAAAAAGAATTAATAATAATGTCATCTTCTTTGAATTTTAATGAGAGTAAAATGAAATCATGCATATAAAACTTGAATATACTGCCTGGCATATAGTATGCAATCAATAAATAATAGCTATTATCATTTGTCTTTAACATGTGCTCACTTTTTCATAGCCTTTCTTTGAAGTGTCTTCTTCCTCCTACCATATAGCAGCCCATACATATATATATTTGCATCCCCACCAGAAGCCTACTGTTCTTATCTGAAAATTTTCTCTGAAACCACGACCAGACACAGTATCTCACAGCTGTAATCCCAGCACTTTGGGAGGCTGAGGCAGGCAGATCCTTTGAGCCCAGGAGTTGAAGACCAGACTGAGCAACATGGCGAAACCCTGTCTCTACAAAAAGTATATAAAAATTAGCCAGGTGTGGTGGTGTGCTTATGTAGTCCCAGCTACTCAGGAGGTTGAGATGGGAGGATCACTTGAGCCCAGGGAGGTTGAGGCTGCAGTGAACCATGATTGCACCAATGCACTCTAGCCTGAGTGACAGAGCACAACCCTGTCTCAAAAAAATAAAAAAAAATTATCTGAAATCAAATTACACTAATGTATAATCCATCTTAAAAGTTGTTGGCTGGGCGCAATGGCTCACGTCTGTAATCCCAGCACTTTGGGAGGCCAAGGCGGGTGGATCACGAGGTCAGGAGATCGAGACCATCCCGGTTAACACAGTGAAACCCCGTCTGTACTAAAAATACAAAAAAAAAATTAGCCGGGCATGGTGGTGGGCGCCTGTAGTCCCAACTACTCGGGAGGCTGAGGCAGGAGAATGGCGTGAACCCGGGAGGAGGAGCTTGCAGTGAACCGAGATCGCGCCACTGCACTCCAGCCTGGGCAACACAGCAAGACTCCGTCTCAAAAAAAAAAAAAAAAGTTGTTGTTGCCCAGGCCCGCTGGCTCACGGCTGCAATCCCAGCACTTTGGGAGGCCGAGGCAGGCACATCACAAGGTCAGGAGATACGGTGAAACCCCATCGCTTCTAAAAATACAAAAAAAATTAGCCGGGCGTGGTGGTGGGTGCCTGTAGTCTCAGCTACTCGAGAGGCTGAGGCAGGAGAATGGTGTGAACCCGGGAGGCGGAGCTTGCAGTGAGCCGAGATCGCACCACTGCACTCCAGCCTGGGCGACAGAGCGAGACTCCATTGGGAAAAAAAAAGAAAAAAAAAGTTGGTGCATTTTAAAGGCAGATGGGAAAGAATATGAAATGAATACTATTAATCTCTAAAGTCAGTTTGACTAATAGGTGATGGCTTCAATTATCTACTGCTGTGTAACAAATTACTCCAAAATTTAGCGGCTTATATAGCAATGATTTTATTTGCTCATGTTTCTATGGATCAAGAATCTAGGCAGGGTTCAGGTAGGTGGTTCATCTGTTCCACTGGGATTGTCTGAGGTCACTCATGAGGCTGCATTCAGCTGGGAGATCAGCTCAGGCTGAAACATCCGTGAACAGCTTCAGCCCTCTCTCCACAGGGCTTCTCTCTTCAGAAAGTTTCGCAAACTTTTTACACGGCAGCTCACTTCCCAGAGAGAGCATTCCAAGCGGCAAAGGCAAAAGTTGCAGATCTCTTACACCCCAGCCTTACAAGTCACACAGCAACCTAGCCATGATACAAGGAGAGTGGAAATAGATTCTGCCTCTCAGTGGGAAGGTAGGAAAGAATTTCCGGCCATCTGTAATCCACTACAGAAAAGTTGGGATGAAACTAGAAATGGGCAAGAGCCCAACTAACAATTTTATTTCTCACCAGCCAAAAAATCAGAGTTCAAATCCCCTTACTTACTTGTCTTTCTGCCATGTCTTTTGCAAAAGGAGCAACCTCTGGTGGCCATTTCATGTATGTAGAGTAAAGATAATCTCATGGTACAAATTGCATATAACTTGTTTTGGCCTGAATTGTAGCCCTCAAAATTCATATGTTGAAGTCCTAATCCCCAGTGCCTTAGAATGTGACTATATTTGGAAATAGGGATTTTAAAGAGGTAATTAATATTAAGTGAGGACATTAGGATGGGCCCTAGCCCAACATGCCTGGATCCTTGCAAGAATGGAAATTTGAACACAGATATGCATGCGCACAGAAGAAAGACCATGTGAAGACAGGAGAATAGGGCCATCTGCAAGACAAGGAGAGAGGCTTCAAAAGAAATCAACCCTGCAGACACTTTGATCTCTGACTTCAAGCCTCCAGAACTCTGAGAAAATAAATTTCTGTTGTTTAAGCCACGCAGCCTGTGCTATTTTGTTACAGCAACCTTAACAAACTATTATATACTTTATTGAAGGTACTGTCAATATTTAATCAGCTAGGCAAACTTCCTCACACAAATCATACTTTTATAATAGTTTCTAGTCCCTTTCCTAGATCACTTCCACTCAGTAAGAAAACAAGCCCTTTTCTATATAAGTTTCAGATCTTCTCTGATTTTAACTGAAAGCCATTCACCTGATCATAACTATTCTTTTAAATAGAATCTATTTTCTTATCAGTACCTGTTCCTTAATTGACCCTTTTATGGGTCAAAATGACTCATTTTCCATTATTCTGTAACCTCTAAGTCTCATTATACTCTTGCCCCATGTAGGGCATAAGTTCACCTGAGTAGCAGAATGTTAGAGTTAAACTTACATTGTCATGTTTCAGTATAGGCATTAGCCAAAGTCTTTCATATCCAGCTCACTTGATCTTCACAGTAACTCTGAGACAATGGTAGAACAGGTGTTATTATCCCCTTCTGACATATAAGAAAACTTGAGAGTGACATTTCCCCAAAGCATGTTCTACAGAACTCTCATTCAGTGAGATAATAACTATTGTCACACACAAAAAACAGGAAGGTTCTAGGCTCCCTAGTTGCAGACTGCTGTTCTGGTGTCTCTGATGCCCAAATGTTCTCTCTCTCTTTCTTTTTTTTTTTTTTTTTTTGAGACAGAATCTCATTCTGTTGCCTAGGCTGGAGCGCAGGGGCACGATCTCGACTTACTGCAACCTCCATCTCCCATGTTCAAGCAATTCTCCTGCCTCAGCCTCCCGAGTAGCTGGGATTACAGTCATGTGCCACCACACTTGGCTAATTTTTGTCTTTTTAGTAGAGATGGGGTTTCACCATGTTGGCCAGGTTGGTCTCAAACTCCTGACCTCAGGTGATCTGCCCACCTCAGCCTCCCAAAGTGCTAGGATTATAGGCATGAGCTATCACGCCAGGCCAACAAAATCTCTCTCTAAAGGCTACCATAGTAAGTAACACTTCCTTTACTCAATATCATTTATTCGTCAAATGTTTTCTGAGCATCTGCTCTGTCTATGCCAGATGCAGAGCCATGTGCTAATAGAAACCAGACAAGTTAGACTTGGTGGCTGCCCATCAGAACTTCACTTCTAGGGAAGCTAGAAGTCTAACTGTACACCATGGGAAGGAGAGTCTTTCAAGGAACAAGGAAATGTATATTATGCCAAGAAATACTACAATGAAGCTTATAATTATTATACAAAAGCCATAGGCATATGTCCTAAAAATGCTAGCTACTACAGTAATCAAGCAGCCACATCGATTATGCTTGGAAGGTTCCAGGAAGCTCTTGGAGATGCACACCAGTCATTGAGATTGGATGACAGTTTTGTTCAGGGACATCTAGGAGGGGGCAAGTGCCCCCTCTCTCTAGAGAATGCCATGGCCACATGTTAGTTTCCAGAGAGCCCTAGAACTGGATCATAAAAATGCTCAGGAATAACAGGAGTTCAAGAATGCCAATTCAATAATGGAATATGAGAAGTTAGCAAAAACAGATTTTGAGAAGCATGATATTAGGAAGGTTGTTCTCTGCATGGACTGTGCCCGAGCACTTGCCCCTGCCTGCCATTGCTTCAAAATCCTCAAAGCAGAATATTTAGTAATGCTGGGTCATTATCCAGAAGCACAATCTGTGGCCAGTGACATTTTACAAATGGAGTCCACCAATGCAGATCCTCTGTATGTATAAGGTCTTTGCCTTTATTATGAAGATTGTATTGACAAGTCATTTCAGTTTTTGTATAGGCTCTTAGGATGGCTCCATGAGAGGGCCTGCGTTGCTTGCAGAAATCCCAAAGCACTCAAAGCAAAGAAAGAAGACAGAAATAAAGCATTTAAGGAAGGAAATTACAAGCTAGCATACGAACTGTACACATGACCCCTGGGGATAAACCCCAACAATATAAAAACTAAGCTAAACTCTACTATAATTGGGTTATGGTTAATTCTAAGCTTAGGAAACTAGATAATGCAATACAAGACTGCACAAATACAGTGAAGCTCAATGACACCTATTTAAAAGCCTGCTTGAGAAGAGCTCAGTGTTACATGAACACCAAACAGTATGAAGAAGCAGTGCACAATTATGAAAAAGTGTATCAGACAGAGAAAACAAAAGAACACAAACAGCTCCTAAAAAATGCACAGCTGAAACTGAAGAAGAGTAAGAAGAAAGATTACTACAAGATTCTGGGAGTGGACAATAATGCCTCTGAGGACGAGACCAAGAAAGCTTATCACAAATGGGCCTTGATGCACCATCCAGATTGGCACAGTGGAGGCAGTGCTGAGGTTCAGAAGGAGGAGGGGAAGTTCAAGGAAATTGGAGAGGCCTTTACCATCTTCTCTGATCCCAAGAAAAAGACTCGCTAGGACAGTGGACAGGACCTGGACAAGGAGGGCATGAATATGGGTGATTTTGATGCAAATAGTATCTTCAAGGCATTCTTCAGTGGTCTTGGGGCTTCAGCTTTGAAGCGTCTGGTCCAGGGAATTTTTTTCTATTTGCCTAATGAAGGGCAACCACCTAGAACCCAGAAAATGCAGAGTCACTCAGTTTAATCTTGAATGTGGATGCAATTCACATCATGTCTCCGTGTACTTACTGCAGTTCTGTTTTCTCAGTTGGACATCCAGTGTCTGTGTGAATGGGGTGACGGATAACGAACCAGTGTCAAAGACTGCAATTAGGGGATGGAGGTAGGCAGATGGACAAGGAAGCAGCTTGTGAATTTTTATTTTACTCTTTAACTTTATTAAAACAGAAAAAAAAAAGAAGAGAAAAAAAGGTGTGAGGACAGTCTCTTCATACAGACAAATAAATTTTATTTATTTATTTTTTGAGACAGAGTTTCACTCTATCATCCAGGCTGCAGTGTAGTGGCGCAATCTCAGCTTACTGCAACCTCCGCCTCCTGGGTTCAAGCAATACTCTTGCCTTAGCCTCCTCAGTAGCTGGGATTACAGGCGCCCACCACCATACCTAGCTAATTTTTCTATTTTTAGTAGAGATGAGGTTTCACCATGTTGGCCAGGCTGGTCTCGAACTCCTGACCTCAGGTGATCCGCTTGCCTTGGCCTCCCAAAGTGCTGGGATTACAGGCGTGAGCCATCACACCCGGCCCAGACAAATAAATTTTAAAACACTAGGTTACACAAATCTAAGGAAGAAAGCTTCCTTACTTCAGATCTTCTTGGTGCCTGTTTTTTAAGGCAGGGTCTCACTATGTTGCCAGGCTACCCTCAAAATCCTGGCTTAAGGTAATCCTCCTGCCTCAGCCTCCCAAGAAGCTAGGAGTATAAGCACATGCCACTGCACCTGGCTTTCAAAGCCTTTTATATGTTATGTACATCATGATTCTCCAAGAGAATATAGGATTTTTAGACTCATGTGACTATAGACTCCTATCTTCACACCCACCCCACCTCCCACTTCTCGCCCTGAAGAATGGTCCATGAAACACACTTTTGGAAATGCTGGTGTGAGACACTGCACAATTTCCCTAAGAGATACAGCAGATAAGTATCTGAACATAGATCTTAGCTAACTTTTATTCATTTTTAGGGCTATTTAAAGGAAGTCAGAATATGAAATTTGCTGATTAAATTAATGATAAAGCAAAATTAAAATGGAAAAAATAAATTCCTAAAATTCAAAAATAAAGTGAAATAAAATAACTTAACTATATATCCAGCTGATGGCTCTGCTACACAAAGAGACTGTTCCAAGTGACTTTAAAACATATAATTTAGCCAGCATAATGGCCCAGCTGTAATCCCAGTTACTTGGGAGGCTGTGAGGCAGAAGGATCACTTCAGCCCAGGAGTTTGAGGCCAGCCTGGGCAACATAACGAGACTCCATTAAAAAAAAAGAAGAAGAATAAACAGAAAAAACACAGTAGGGCCTAGGTGCAGTGGCTCATGCCTGCTATCCCAGCACTTTGGGAGGCACAGGCACGAGGATCACTTGAGCCCAGCAGTTCAAGACCAGCCTGGACAACATAGGGAGATCCCATCTCTACAAAAAAATTTAAAAAATTATCTGGGTGTGGTGGCACACACCTGTGGTCCCAGCTACTTGGGAGGCTGAGGTGGGAGGATCACATGAAGCCCAGGAGGTTGAGGATGAGGTGAGCCATGATTGTGCAACTGCACTCCAGCCTAGACGACACAGTAAGATCCTGTCTCAAAGAAACGAAAAGGAAAAAACACAGTAATTTGATGGTTAATTCCTAGTTTGATATACCTTAAGGGAAAAAAAAATCTGTTAAAATAATTAAATAATTGTTAGTAATCGTATTGTGGGTATTAGGGTTGGAATTGTTATTCTGAGACTACTATATGTGTAAAGTGGGATAAAGAAAATGAAGATATATATGCTATTCAAATTCCATCATGGCTGGTGTTTAGAGACCATGATTCTTGGCATGGGAAAAATGAGTTAAACATGAAAGATAAGGTTAAATATTTCTTTGTTTTTCTTTTTTTCTTTTTTTTGAGACAGAATCTTGCTCTGTCACCCAGGCTGGAGTGCAGTGGAATATCTCAGCTCACTGCAGCCTCTGCCTCCCAGGTTCAAAGCGATTCTCCCGCCTCAGCCTCCCGAGTAGCTGGGACTACAGGCACACACCACTACCCCCGGCTAATTTTTTTGTATTTTCAGTAGAAAATGGGGTTTCACCACGTTGGCCAGGCTGGTCTCAAACTCCTGACCTCAAGCCATCTGCCCGCCTTGGCCTCCTAAAGTGCTGGGATTACAGGCTTGAGCCACCGCGCCCAGCCTAGAAGTTAAATATTGATATACATTCAGGGTTTATTTTATAGAATTACTGGAAGGAAGAAAGGAAAAAAGAAAGAAGGGAGGGAGGGAATGAAGGAGGGAGAGAGGAAGAAAGGAAATTAAAAGTAGGCCGGGCACAGTAGCTGACGCCTGGAATCTCAGCCCTTTGGGAGGCCGAGGTAGGCGGATCACTTGAGGCCAGGAGTTAGAGATCAGCCTGGCCAACATGGTGAAACCCCATCTCTATTAAAAATAAAAAAAAATAGCCGGGTGTGGTGGCGTGCACCTATAATCCCAGCTACTTGGGAGGCTGAGGTATGAGAATCGCTTGAACCTGGGAAGCAGAGATGTCAGCGAGCCAAGATCACCCCACCACTGCACTCCAGCCTCAGAGACAGAGCGAGACTTCGTCTCAAGAAAAAAACCAATTCAGTTTTAAGTTGATTCCAATTTGGTTCCTCCAAATATAAGGTTGGTTTCCGAAGCTCCAAAAGAGATTCCTTTCATCTATAAGTCTGTTCTGTGGTTTGAAACAAGGGTGATCGTGTGTGTGTGTGTGTGTGTGTGTGTGTGTGTGTGTGTGTGTGTGAAAGAAAGGGAGAGGGAAGGGGAGGGGAAGAGGTTTCAAAATAATGAGCTGGTTTATTAGCTTCCCCATTGGTGACAATTTTTTTAAAAAGTATCATGAACTCATGGAGAATGTGACAGACAATTCACGTTCGATGTGTTTCGATCCAGTGTCGTTACTGTGCTTACTGGTGCTCAGTGTGTCCCATGGCTAGTGGGAGTCTCTTTAAGTTGGCTCCTGAGTCCTTCTGACATGACATAGCAGTCTTTACTTGGATCATAGTTTCCTTGCTATCTGGTATAACAAGATGCTCCACGTTTATTTTTGTATGTTTATTTTCCAAACCTGTAATTAGCTATTTCTTCAAGAACCCTGGTTCCTTTTAGCAGGAAATGGTATTTCAAGACCACATTCTATGTGCTGAGGATGCTCATTGCTATTGGGTTGCTTTTTGGTTTTAGTCCTTTCTGTGGAAAGAGCTAAGAAATATGCCCTTCCTTCCTTCCTTCCTTCCTTCCTTCCTTCCTTCCTTCCTTCCTTCCTTCCTTTCCTTCCTTCCTTCCTTCCTTTCCTTCCTTCCTTCCTTCTTTCCTTTCCTTCGTTCCTTTTTTGAGACAGATTCTGGCTCTGTCGCCCTGGCTAGAGTGTAGTGGTATGATCTCAGCTCACTGCAACCTCCACCTCCCAGGTTCAAGCAATTATCCTGCCTCAGCCTCCCAAGTAGCTGGGATTACAGGTGCCCACCACCACACCCAGTTTATTTTTTTATTTTTATTAAAGATGGGATTTCTCTATTGGCCAGGCTTGTCTCAAAACACCTGAGCTCAAGTGATTCACCCATCTCAGCCTCCTAAAGTCCTGGGATTACGGGCGTGAGCCACCACACCATGCCTAAAAATGAATTGTTTTCTACTGTGAATAGAGTAATTTTGATTTCTATTGTTTAAGTGATGCAAATCAAGTTAAATTTATAATTACTTGTGAACATACTCATTCATTCAACAAATATTTATTGACTAAATAGCCTGCCCTTAAGGAGCTTACACCAGTAATTTATACACAGTTCAGAAGAATATAATCATTGTTATTTTTACTGTCAATTTCAGATGCCAGCTGGAATTATTCTCATATATATACATACATACAGATGTTTCAACCATATATATGTATATAATCATACATATAAGAATAATTTTGTTTATATGGATCATAAAAAAAAGTTACATCTTTATGGATAAAAAGAGTTCTTTAATGTGACAATATAATGTATTCATTGGTTCACGGACCCCCAAACCTCCAAGGAGTGTTACAAATCTGCATCTCTCTCAGCCCGGGATCTTGAATTTAAATTTAAATCTATAATATATGGTATAACTTAGCCCAATGTATTTTTGGACAATTATAAACATCCATAATTCCCAATAATGAATAACACTGTTGGGTCAGTGCTTAAGTAGATTTGTAAAGCCAATGTGATAACACAAATGCTGCTTTATTGCTTTATCTTCAGTGTCTTTCACAACTGAGTGGATTGTCACACTCTATTATGTGGCACACAGATCCATTGGCTTAGAGCTATCATGGTGCTTATCTAAAATGGTCTTTGAAAATGAAAATTTGGGCTAAACATAAAGGAAGCAACCTGCCAGTAAGAACTATTCAAACCAAAAATTCTTCCCAAGGGAAATGGTAAGAACTCCATTTTAAAATCATATAAATCAAGATAGTAGGAGGTTCCAACTTGTAAAATTTACAGTAAATACATCAAGATTTAAAGTCTGATTTTGAAATAGATTTTTATTTATAGAAAGGGATCAAAGTCTATGCCAGTGAAACAGGGTAAAACACAAAATAAAGTCTTTTCTTCTTTCTTGAGTTTTTGCTTTTGTTCACCAAAGTTATAAAAGATTGCCAAACTAAAAATGAATGCTGAGGAGAGGGGCAGGACACAAAATATGTAGGATGTGATTTTTGTATCACCGTTTTGTTTGATAGTAGGTTTGGGGTTTGGTTTTAATGAGAAAGGAGACGGCAGATATTGTCAAGACAGCACTCTGCCTCTGGAAACATGGATTTAAATCTAAATGAGATACCACATGTGCCCAATAATAGTAGCTACTACATATCACCGGAATGATTCTCATAAAATGAAGAAAAGAACCTGGGTGCTTTGATGGTGTAAAGGAAAATAATCCTTCCTGGATATGTAGTGAAGACAGGTTTGTAAAAACTCTATAAAAAGTTATTTTCTATAATTGATGGAGTTAGTTTTCTGGAATAATAGCTGAATTGAACAGAACTAAACTGTTATTGAATCTACAGTAGTCAGTTAAGCAAAAGAAATAACCTCTAAGTGCCCTTTCTCGTCCAGGATTTCTTTAGGATCCAGAGAAGACAGCTAAGAGGAGGAAAGCATCTTCTCCCTTCAACTATAGCATCCAAATCTACAACCCAGGAAAGTGTATGATGGCTGGACACAGTGGCTCACACCTGTAATCCCAACACTTTGCGAGGCTGAGGTGGGAGGATTGCTTGAGCCCAGGAGATGGAGACCAGCCTGGGCAATATAGTGAGATCTCATCTCTATTAAATTAGAAACAAAAAAATTTTTAAAAATTTAAAAACAGAAAGTATACTAAGAGAAGAAATTTAAAAATTAAAAAAAAATTTTTTTCAAAGCCCCTATCCAAAGCTGTTGTGGAATATTGTGGTGTTTACTTTTCAAATACTGGAGCGCTTGTTCTTTATAACTATTCTTGGGAAAGATGGAACTACTGCATTACCCTAGGTAAACGTTTGGGCTGATTGGAAGGGCGGGGCCAGAAAGTATTAAATCCTATTCAAAGAAATGAGAGGGGCTGGAAAAGTGTGAACATTCTCCAAAATAGACCCCAGTGAAACGTAATTACAATTCATCAGATACTCTGCATTTTCTTCTCCAAAGAATTCTACAGAACGTTGTGGTTTAAATGAAATGCATCAAAGCTGGTATCTAGTTACATTAAACACTAATTTGACTCCTTGGTTTGTTCTCTGCTGGAAGCTTTCTGGTTGTGTATACTTCACTTCCCAAATGAATTTTCCCCAGAGGCATCAGGGAAGCAGAAAACCTTTCTCTGGAGGCTCCTCTTCTAATTTTTGCCTCTTACCTTTTGTAAAATAGTTCCTTTAAGCTGTTTCACAGTGTGAGATTTAATTACATTCTGGATTGCTCTTTTCTGGTCCTTACTTGCTGCTACTGATTTGATCGAAACCCCCACGTAGAGATTTTTATTGAGTCCTGAGATCTAAGACATCCAAATCAAATTTTGGAAAACCTTGTGTTCTTAATAAAGTTCTCTACTTTCTCAGCATACTTTTCTTACATTGAATTAATAAAGTTTTGGTAGTTGTTTAAATAGATTAAATGTCACCCTTTAAATAGAAAGAGAAGGCTCTACCTAACTGACCTATTTTTCATCTGTGATTTAGAAAAAGGCAAGATTAGCATGGATATTGCATTTTCAAGGACCTTACCACTATTAAATAGACTGTTAAGTGCATTTTATGGCTGAAGAGTCTGTTCCCAGTTCAGTCTACGAGACATGCTAAGTTCATCTCTACCTGCTACATTGAACATTCACTGACTAAAATACTTTGTGTGGATCTAATACCTATGCTCTGTATCTTTTAAATACATAACTCTAAATATTTTAGGACTAGTAAAATGTAATTCAGTAACAGTCCTAAGAATATGTATTGTCCCGCAAGAAAAATATAGTGTTCATATTTATCCAATGATATACATCCTTTGCTCCATTAACACCTGCATATCATAAGTGACCGGATGTTGAAAAATAACACAGGCACTCATAAAATAAGAGTCTTATTTAAATCAAGAAAGCAAGAATAGCTGATTAAAACTCCATCCTCACATTGACTCAACTTGTTCTCAGGGTTTCAAGGCTATGAGAGAAGTAGTTTATGGACCTATATTCCAAACTGAACAGAACAGGTATTTTACCATTCATTCTTACTGACATTCAGGCAAATTTTAGGGTTTTTTTTGTTTGTTTCGTTTTGTTTTGTTTTTTTAGAGGAACTTCTGCCTAGCCATTTTGCCTTCTTTTAAGGTGGTTTTTGAACACAAAAGAAAGTGTCAGTGAATGAATGTGAGAAAAAAATGAATAAATATATGTATATAAATTAAGAAATGATTTTCCTGTATATTCCTCTCTTTTATGAAAGTACGTATCTATCCTACTTTGTCAGCAAACCCAAAAAGAAGCAAGTCTCATTAAAAGAGAATTCTGTTCAAAGGACTCCTTGCCTGTTTTTGCCTACTTGGCATGCCAAAACTTTGATTTTAATTGTTTGGTAGGCTCCATCTAATCCAGATACTCATACATAGTAGTAATTAAATAGATTCTTCAATTCAGAATTTTATGAACAAAAAGATAGCTCCTCTTGGATGGGTATCAGGAGACTACCTGTTCTGAGGGCTCCAACAGCCCAGACATGCATCCTAAGTATTTAAGCTGTATAAGTTCCCCAACTTTAACTTTCTGTGAGGAAATCCTACAGACCACACTAACTATAGAAAGTCTTTTCATTCCTCCTTTCTGCCACAAATAACGGTATAGCCTTTCCCACCCTGCCCAGTTGGCATTACTATAATCTTTCTTTTATACCCTCATTCCGCTTTGCTAATACCTCCCTTATGGAATCTAATTCATTCCTCTTTGTGTTGTAATTAGGTCTATACATGTTTGCCTGCAACTAGACTTTAAGCTTCTTAAGAGGAGCGTTCATGTTTTCTTTCCTATATTCTTTACAGTTTTCAGCACAGTATTTTGAATCAGTGGGTTCACAATAAACAGTTGTTGAATTACTTTAAGTTCATTAATTCAACAGTTAATAATCAAGATTATATTAATTAAAGACTAAGCAGAGCTGTTAGAGAAGTCCTAAGTTCTCAGTGGGAGCAATAAGGATTACTTAAATATACTTGACAGTACATTTTGGATTTAAAAATATGCCAAAAGGAAAAATAACCTAGACTCATTTAAACAATTTTGTAAAGCAATTTTGATCAATGTATTTATGATTCAGTAAATTATTCATTCCACAGATACACTAAGACTAGATTTCCTAAAAAAAGAAAAACCAGCACTGAGACTAGATAAGATAGATTTCTGTTTTGCTTTTCTCAGAATTGCTTGGACTATTTCTTTAGTTTCTTTCCTTTGTTTGAGATAGAATCTTTGAAGTTAGTTCTCACTCATAAGTGGGAGTTGAACAATGAGAACACATGGACACAGGGAGGGGAACATCACACACCTGTTGGGGGGTAGGGGGCAAGGGGAGGGATAGCATTAGGAGAAATACCTAATATAGATGACAGGTTGACAGGTGCAGCAAACCACCATGGCACATGCATACCTATATGACAAACCTGCATGTTCTGCACATGTATCCCAGAACTTAAAGTATAATAGTAATAAAAAGAATCTTTGAAGTTAATAGAATCTTAAGTTATTAACTAGAACAGTAGGACTACAAAACTGCTGTCAAGTTTTCTTAATCAAAGATCACTAACAAGCTTTGTTTGAAAAAGAAAACTCTACTGTGGAATTAAAAGTACGAGACTAGAAGTCAGAAGACCTGGTTTTCTTCCTGATGCTGCTACTGACTGTGTTACTTTCTCCAAAACACTTCAGCTTTCTGGGCCTCAGTTTCCTTACTTATAAACTTTGGAGGTTTCATACTCAATAATCTCAAAGGTTCTACCCAATTCTTAAAATCCTGTGATCCTGTGAATGTATTACAAATAGCATTCATTGTGTGTGTGTGTGTGTGTGTGTGTGTGTGTGTGTGTGTGTGTGTGTGTGCATCTCCCTCTGTCACCCACGCTGGAGTACATACAGTAGCAGCCTTGATCATCCTGGGCTAAGTTGATCCTCCTATCTCAGCCTCTGGAGTAGCTGGGACAACAGGCACGCACCACCACACCCAGCTAATTTTGTATTTTTTGCAGAGGTGGGGTTTCACCATGTTGCCCAGGCTGGTCTTGAACTCTTGGGCTCAAGCGATCCACCTACCTTAGCCTCCAAAAGTGCTGGGATGTAGGCATGAGCCACCATGCCCAGCTTTTTTTTTTTTTTAATTAAGTGGAGCCTTTTATTGGAAAAAGCAACATGTGCCAGTGGTGGATTAAAAGTGGCCACAAATTCTTTGCAGCTCCTTCCAGTAAGAAGTGCAGTTTATTTTGCCAATCCTTGAATCAGGGCTGGCCTTGTGACTTTCTTTGACTAATAGAATGTGGCAGAAGTGTTGTATGAGCTCCTCTGGAGTCTAGGCCTCAGGAAACCTTGCAGCGTCTGCTCTTGCTCTCTTTGAACACTGGCATCGTACAAAGAAGCCCAGGTTAACCTGTAGGAGACAGATGTCTCAGGTGACAGCCAGCATCAACAGCTAGACATTTAAGTGAGGTCATCGTAAGCCATTCAGCTCATATCTAGTTACCAGATGACTACAGCCACATTAGTGACTCCAGGCACGCACACGAGAAATGACCAGCTGAGTTCAGCTCTAATTTCTGACCCTTAGAATTGTAACCAAATACAATATTAGTTTAGCCAGTAAGTTTTGAGATGATTTGTTATAAAGCAATAAATAACTGGCACAATATATCTGGTTAAAAATTGTTTTCAGGCTGGGCATGGTGGCTCAAGCCTGTAATCCCAGTACTTTGGGAGGCTGGGACAAGTGGATCACTTGAGGCCAGGATTTCAAGACTAGCCTGACCAACATGGCAAAACCCCACCTCTACTAAAAATACAAAAGTTAGCCAGCGTGGTGGCACACACCTGTAGTCCTGGCTACTCAGGAGGCTGAAGCACGAGAATCATTTGAGCTTGGGAGGCAGAGGTTGCAGTAAGCCAAGATCTCACCATTGCACTCCAGCATGGGAAACAGAGGGAGACTGTCTCACTGTCTCAAAAAGAACCAAAATTCAAAACAAGCAAAAATATGTCTTCCTTCCTCCCCCAAACCTTGGTCCTCACCTCCAGAGACAACAGCCCCCACAATGGAAGCTGTTCCATTTGAGTTCTATACACTGCTCTGCATCTTGCTAAAGTCCCTTAATATGGAACTTACTCCACATCAGTCATATAAACATAAATGGCCTCAGAGTATTCTGTTATTTGGATATAGCATAATTTATTTAACCAAGGCTTTCAAATGGGAATTTAGGTTGTTTCTGCTTTTTTAAAATTTCCAAACATTGATGCAGTGATCATCTTTGCACATATATATCTATGCATGTATGTAAGTAAATCCATGGGAGGTGGGGATGGGGTTCAAGGATGGTGCTCCTCCACAAAGATCTCTAGAAACTGCCCCAACAAACAAACTTCTCTCCAACAACCAGAACTAACAGGGCAACAGGGCAGTCCTATGGTCTGGACAGTATCAATGAGGGTGATCCCTATCCACAAGGCAACTTACATTTTTTGTTTAGCTTTTGTTTCCCTGACAAAGTCACTCTTTGCTATCCCCAGTGCTGTGCATTCCTCCTGGTTCACCACAGCAAGATTCTGATATTTTGTCAAAAGCTGCAATTGTCAGATCCTTTGCCTGGATGTCTATCCTATGCCAAAGAGTCTACCCAAGCTTTCTGACTATGATCACCAAACTTATCACTGCCTTTCACTGATGGGAGCTTGCCCCCTAACAAGAGAGCTACCAATCAGGTTAATGCTGATAAAAATAATGCCTAGCTTTCTCTGCATTGTGTCCTTAATAGTAGACATGGTTTTACTTCTGTCTTCCCTCTCCACTCCAGTTCTGGCCCTCTTTTGTGTTCTCTAGAGCCTTCCTCTGGTTATAATTTCTCAGCTTTCACTCCTTATCATTTTGGAGCAGGCTTCACTCTCTCCACAAGTGTCTGAAGGGAGGAATCACCTCAGAGAGAGCACGAGACCGTTTGACTCTGGTTGGAGGCGCACATCAGCCCTCCCTAACCAAAGTCTCTCTCAGATGGTCTCCTTAGAAAAGGATATTCATTCTTACTTTCCAAAAATACCAAAACCGCCACTTATGAAAAGCCCGGTTTCTGAGGCACTCAATCACTCTGCCTTGGCCTGCCGAGGGCAAATGACACTTAGCACATAGGACCAAGACTTTCCCACAGCCCTTCCTCCCAGATGAAGGGCACCCGCAGTCACATGCTCCGATGTTCTGCACCTCAGCACAACCTGCTTATGCTTTCATTAATAAGGGACTGACCCATCTACAAAACAAATCAGACTGGAAAGTGAGATACTTTCCTACCCTCCCTTGCAGCTAGAGGTGGCCATTCTGTCCAAGTTCTCAATGATTTGTAGGGAAAGTCAGCTGGCAGGATGCCTGTGAATGCTTTTGCTTTCTTGACAAAAGGAATGAATGTGGGGTGGATCTGCCTTTTAAACTCCTAACCCTTCTTCCTGTAGTGGCTATGAAAATAATACCTGGAGCTGTGACAGTTGTCTTGCAACCATTGGTGAGAAATTCATTTCCTATTGCCAAATTACCACAAACTTAATGGCTTAAAACACCAATATATTATATTTTAATTCTGGAGGTCGGAACTTTTCCACCTTCTAAAAGCTGTCTGCATTCCTTGGCTCATGGCTCCTTCCTTCATCTTCAAAGCTAGCACCACAGTATCTTCAAATCTTTCTCTTTCTATAACCTCTGCTTCTTTAAAAAAAAAATTAATTAATTAAATTTATTTATTTATTTTTGAGATGGAGTTTCACTCTTGTTGCCCAGGCTGGAGTACAATGGCACGATCTTGGCTCACAGCAACGTCTGCCTCCCAGGTTCAGAAAATTCTCCTGCCTCAGCCTCCCAAGTAGCTGGGATTACAGGCATGCACCACCACACACAGCTAATTTTTTTTTTTTTTTTGAGACGGTGTCTCGCTCTGTTGCCCAGGCTGGAGTGCAGTGGTGCCTTGGCTCACTGCAACCTCTGCCTCCCGGGTTCATGTGATTCTCCTGCCTCAGCCTCCTGAGTAGCTGGTATTATGGGTGCGCACCACCACACCTAGCTAATTTTTGTATTTTTAGTAGATACAGGGTTTCACCGTGTTAGTCAGGATGGTCTTGAACTCCTGACCTTATGATCCACCCGCCTCGGCCTCCCAAAATGCTGGGATTACAGGTGTGAGCCACTGCACCTAGCCTATTTATTTATTTTTAATTAGAGATGGGATTTCGCCATATTGCCCAGGCTGGTCTCCAACTCCTGGGCACAAGCGATCTACCTGTCTCAGCCTCCCCAAAGTGCTAGGATTACAGACGTGAGCTACCATGCTCCCAGCCCTCAATATCCTTAACTCAATCAAATCTACAAAGTCCCTTCTGGCATGTAAGGTAATATATTAATAGATTCTGGGTATTAGAATGTGGGTATTTTTGGGGGCCATTATTCTATATACCACGAGTAATATGTATAATGCATAATAAGCATCCAAAAGCCAAAAATGGTGAAACAAAAAGATAGGAAGAGCTCAGATTCTTTTTTCTTTTTTTGAGACAGGGTCTCACTCTACCACCTAGGCTGGAATGCAGTGGCACAATCACGGCTAACTGCGGTCTCCCCTCCTAGGCTCAAATGATCCTCTTGTCTCAGCCTCCTGAGTAGTTGGCACCACAGGCACACACCACCCTACCAAGCTAATTTGTTTCGTTTGGCTTTTTGGGGGATAGAGATGGGTTTTCACTATGTTGCCCAGGCTGGTCTTAAACTCTTGGACTCGAGCAATCTTCCCTCCTCAGCCTCCCAAAGTGCTGGAATTATAGGTGTGAGCCACTGCACCCAGCCCCCATATATGATATGTACATATATATATATATATATATATATATATATTTTAAGACAGAGTCATACTCTATCACCCAGGCTGGAGTGCAGTGGCATGATCTCAGCTCACTGCAACCTCCGCCTCCCGAGTTCAAACAATGCTCCTGCCTCAGCCTCCCAAGTAGCTGGGATTACAGGCCTGCACCACCACGCCCAGCTAATTTTTGTATTTTTAGTAGAGACAGGGTTTCACTATGTTGGCCAGGCTGTCTCGAACTCCTCACCTCAGGTGATCCACCCGCCTTAGCCTCCCAAAGTGCTGGAATTACAGATGTGAGTCACCAACCCCAGCCCCCAGATTCTTAATGACATTACAGAATCAAAGTACCAGCTCTGGATTGCCTACCTCTAAGTAATTAAATGTCTTCATTGTATAAGTCACTAGTAAACAGGTTTTCATTAACTTGCACCTGAACACATTCTAACTGGTCATTGTTTTTATTGTGCAAGATTTCAAATTGTCGGATTAAATGAGATCATATTTGGGAAAATGTTGTGTATGCTTTTGTCATATTGAATTCCCTGAAAGCACCATACTATTTTGCTTTTCAGCCATTGTTTTGTTGTTTTTCATCTCTGCATTGTTTTCCTTTCTCCCCTTTCTCACATGCTGCCCCATTTCTGGCTAACTCGTATTAATCATTTCCATCTCTTTGTAGATGTCTCTCCCTGCCTGCCCAGAAGCCTACCTACACTCACCAAAGTTCTGGCTATGTAGCCTGTGTTAGTGTTTCCATGGCAGCCTGACCCTCCTGATCACATCGTCTTTACCTAACTGTAAGCTCCTTGTGGACAGAGACTGTCTTATTTTTGGCTGAATTCAGATGCTAAAGGAAATCATTAGGAATCCATTTCCTTCCTTCCCTCAAGTCTGCTTTTCTTTTCTCTTGGCTTTACTCCTGGGCAGATTCCTCCCACATGGACGAGATGGCCACCAGGAGCTTCAGGCTTACCTTTTACCAACTTGGCAACCTTGATGGAAAGACAATGTCCCTTTCACATTAGATCCAGAAAAACATTTGGCCTCTCACTGGCCTCAATTGGGCCAGGTGTGGGCCGCATATCACCTCCTAGAGTGGCTCTGTGGAGTCAGCCCCCAGAATCACAACAACTGAGGAGGAGAAAGGAGAAGTTTTACAAAGGAAAATGGAGGCCTTATGACTAGAAAATGCACAAATAGATACTGGGCAGGCCAGGCTTGGTGCTCACACCTGGAATCCCAGTGCTTTGGAAGGCCAAGGCAGGAGATCACTTGAGCCCAGGAGTTCAAGACCAGCCTGGGCAACATAGTGAGATCCTGTCCCTAAAAAAAAAAAGTTTTAAAAATTAGCTTGACATGGTGGTGCTTGCATCTAGTCCCAGCTACTTGGAAGGCTGAGGCTGGAGGATTGCTTGAGCCTAAGAGTTCGAGGCTGCAATGAGCTGTGATTACCCTACTGCACTGTAGACTGGGTAACAGATAGAGACTTTGTCTCAAAAAAATAGAATAAACTTATACTAGCTTTTGGGTAGGCAAAACAACTGACGACCACTAGAGAAGGAGATATATATAGACACCTTTTCTTGGGTACTTACTATGCTTCAGGCACCAGGCTAAGCCATTTTTATTCATTCAAAAAACAATTACTGAGAACCTACTACAGGCTAAGCATGAGAACAAGAAAGACGTGGTCCCTGTTCCCACAGGATGCAAAATTTAAAGAGAATTTCTAACTATCCTTCAAAACCATATGAGGTATGTGTTTTGTTTATCACTGCCTAATAGACTTTAAAAACAAATGACATGTAGCATAGAGTGCTTAAGTGACTTGCTCAAAGGCACATGGTAGTGGGTAGCAGATCTAGAACCCGACATTTATCTGAGAGGTTAGCCTCATTTAACACATACCTTGCAGGTATAGATGAGACAGGTGAGAGGGACAGCATTTTCCCGTGACCTACAGGACCAATGCTATCCAAGGGAGTGCTGAAGACCCAGACAGGGCACCCCAATCAAGTTAAAATGAATACCATGGACAGGTAGAGAAATACATATGTGAAAGAAGGAAGACAGACCCCTGTATTTTGCAGCAGTAAAGAAGAATTTGGAGACCAGCTATATATTTCATTTCTAGCACAAATGAGTCCTCAGCCTCCCTCTTTCCCCCTTTCCTCATCCCTTCTTCTTCCCCTTAATCATTAAATTACAGAACCCAAGAGATAGAAGATGATTTAGGAAGCATATAGCCAAAACCTCTTGGTAATCCAAATGACAGCCAAGGTCTCCCTGCCTCTTAAGACCTGGTGGGATTGACTCAATCCCCCATTCCACCTCCTGTGGAAAACCCAGTACCCTTCTCAACCTCTCTGGAAAGACCTAGGGGCTTCTCATGGCGGTTGCTTCTGGCTCCAACTACTTTGTCTTCTAAGTTCTTGGTCTTTAGTCTATATTGCTGCTCCTCTTTCATCTCAGCCTTGTCATCAATTCAAACATGTAGCTCAACCCTTTTATACGGAGATCAATATATTAATCTCTCATGCCTCATTTTATACTGTGGAGAAAATTGAGGAGTGGAGGTTACAAGACATGCCCAAGATGACTCAGCTGGTGAGGGGCAGGGCTGGGCCAAGAAGTCAGGTCTTCTTTCCACTTCATCATTCTTCCCAGTCATCAGGTACATTTGTATAGCTCAGGGAGGGGAAGAAACTTGGCCATTCTTTGGCCAATAAATGCAACTCTAAGAGTTTTCCCCAGGTCTTTACTACTTATTAATTAATAATCTATTTTAGTCAGCTTTGGCTGCCATAACAAAATACCATAGACTGGATGGCTTAAACAACAGAAATTACTTTTCTCACTCTCCTGGAGGCCAAAAGTCCCAGATCAACATTCAGCAAGGTTGGGCCTCAGTGAGAGCTCTCTTCCTGGCTTGTAGAAGGCTGTCTTCTCATTGTTTCCTCACATAGCCTTTCCTTGCTGGATGCAGAGAGGGAGGAAGGGAGGGAGGGGGAGAGGGGGAGAAGGGCAGCAGGGGGCGGGGAGAGAGAAAGAGAGAGAGAGAGAGAGATTTCCTCCTCTTCTTATAAGGCCACCAGTCTAATCATATTAAGGCCTCACTCTTATGATCTTTAATTATCTCCTAAAGATGTAGTCTTCAAATACAGTCACTTTGGGGGCTGGAACTGGGAAGAAACAATTCAGTCCGTAGGACAGTCCTATTAAAAGTTAAAGGGGAAAACAATGTGTCATGTCAGAAAATATTCTCACCTTCTCAATTCTTAGTGAAGTTTTAATTAGGGAAATAAAGAACTATGGATAAATTTTTAGGTTTCTTAGTAAGGCAAAAGAACTTGCAAATTGGCTGGGCGCAGTGGCTCATGCCTGTAATCCCAGCACTTTGGGGGGCCGAGGTGGGCAGATCACTTGGGGTCAGGAGTTGGAGACCAGCCTGGCCAACATGGTGAAACCCCATCGCTACCAAAAATACAAAAATTAGCTGGGCGTGGTGGTGCATACCTGTAATCCCAGCTACTCGTAAGGCTGAGGCAGGACAATCCCCAGAACCGGGAGGTGGAGGTTATAGTGAGCTGAGATCATGCCACTGCACTTTAGCCTGGGTGACAAAGCGAGACTCGATCTCAAACAAAATGAAACAAAACTTGCAAATCACCTAACAATCCTTGAGTGCCTACTATGTCTCTGGCATCATTCATTATAAGCACCTTACATATATTAACTAATTTCATCCTCACAACCATCTTATTATGTAGATACCATAATAAGATTTAGCTCCCATTTTGCAGATGAAGAAATGGAACTAGTCCAACATCACACAGCTAATAAGGGGCAAGACTAGGATTTAAACCCAAACAGTCTGGCTCCTGATCCTATGCTCTTAACTATAACTCCATGTTGCTTATATTTATTATAATCACTTCCAGTTTCCTGGGGCAAATAAACATGGTTATACAAAACAAATGGAAAGTGGTATGTATGAATTATCCTTTACATAGTTTGCTCATATAAAGTGCTTAGAATAATAATTTTAAGTTAAAAAGCAAAAAATAGGAACAAATACCTTGGGCAACATAGTGAGACCTCACCTCTACAAAAAATTTAACAATTAGCCAGTCGTGGTGGTGCCCACCTGTAGACCTAGCTACTCAGGAGGCCAAGTGGGAGGATCGCTTGAGCCTGGGAGTTTGACACCAGCCTTAGCAAAATAATGAGACCCTGTCTCTACAAAAAAATAAAATAAAAAATTAATTGGATGTGATGGCACATGCCTGTAGTCCCAGCTACTCAGGTGGCTGAAATGGGAGGATTGCTTGAGTCCTGGAGGTCGAGGCTGCAGTGAGCTATGATTGCATCACTGCACTCCAGCCTAGGCAACAGAGCAAGACTCTGTCTCGAAAATAAAAAGGGAACTATTGAAAATTACAGTCAACTGAAGTCAGCAAGTGCAGCTCCTAAAAATTTTGGAAGTTCCAGCTATTTATGTCATATGTAGTAGGGACACTAAAAGATTGCCAAGCCTTGCATTTATTAGTAGAATGCTGAATTCTTAATATAACATAACAATACTGCATTTATTTTACAAATATCAAGTATAATTGGAAACAGAAGAACCCTCCCAAGTAGGGTGACCAACTGTTTGCCTGGGACTTTTTCAGTCCAGAGAATTTCTGTCTTCTCTGGAACCAGAAATAACTCTATCAAACATGTTTTTCATTTGTTTTTGTTTGTTCTTGAGACAGTCTTTCTCTGTCGCCCAGGCTGGAGTCGAGTGGCATGATCTCGGCACACTGCAACCTCTGCCTCCTGGGTTAAAGCAATTCTCCTGCCTCTATCTCCCGAGTAGCTGGGACTATAAGCACGTGCCAACATGCCCGGATAATTTTTTTATATTTTTAGTAGAGAAGGGGTTTTGCCATGTTGGCCAGGCTGGTCTTGAACTCCTGACCTCAGGTGATCCACCAGCCTGGGCCTCCCCAAGTGCTGGGATTTTAGGTGTTTTTATTTTTACTTTTTGGCCAGGTCAAAAGTTTTTAGTGCTCAAAAGCCAAAAAATTAACTTATTTTGTTTCTTATGGCCTCCCTTTCCTGAGGCAGTGGATGACAAGTTTCAGTTTGAACTGGAGAGAGGGATGAGGTAAAAAAAAAAAAAAAAAAAAAAAAAAAGCATTGCACATCAAGAGCTACCTCACCTTACTCCACCCCCAAGCCCCAGTCCAAATAGTCACAGGAAAGCACAATTCTCCTTCGCTGTCAAATCCAGAGGTACTTTTATCCCAACTGTGGAAATCAGCCTGGATTAGGGCAAGTTCCAGATACTGTCATCAGCCTCTCCCTGGTTCTTTCTCTCTCTCCTCCCCAAGGTCAGGCATCGTTATATAATTTGATCGGGCGAAACTCTTCACCTGTTGTTCCAAATCAATTGTTAATGACATAAACTTTGACTCTGGGTACTCTGGTTTTTGACAGGCAAAGAGCCGTTTCTTTCAAAAAGCCTTCCTTTCCAAAGTATTCTCTTTGTCATGAACTTCAAAATGCCCATTTTAAAACTAAAAAACTAGGCTTGGTGCAGTGGTGCATGTCTGTAATCCCAGTGCTTTGGGAAGCTGAGGTGGGAGAATGGTTTGAGGCCAGGAGTTCAAGACCAGCCTGGGTAAGACCCTGTCTCTACAAAAGAATTTAAAAATTAGCTAGGTGTGGTGGTGCACATCTGTAGTCCTAGCTACTCAGGAGGCTAAGTCAGGAGGATTGCTTACACCCAGGAGTTTGAGGTTACAACGAGTGACAATTGTGCCACTGTAAACTAAGTAGATACTTTTTCCTCTATGAATTTCTGCTAAAACAAACAATAATAGCTTAATATTCATTATATTTTATAACAATAGTACTACCTCATAAGGTTTTGGTGACAATTAAATGAGTTAATACGTATAAAGTGCCTAGTGCCACTTAGCATTCTGCAAGTGTTTGTTCACCAAGCACTGTTGCAGATGCCTTGCCTGTAACTACCTCATTTAGTCCCACAACAAGTAGGAACTGTTATAATCCTCTCATTTCAGATGAGAACACTAAGTCACAGTAAGGTTGCTCAAGTCACACAGCTAGTAGGTGGCAGGGCTGGATTTCAAGCCCAGGCAGTCAGGCTCCAGACTTTGTCTGCTCTACCATATGGTTTCTGCCTTTCAAGAGGAAATCAAGGAGTCACAAGAAATTCCAAGAAAGGAATCAAATGTTAGCATTTTTTTCTTTCTTTCTTTCTTTTTTTCTTTTCTTTTTTTTTTTTTTTTTTTTTGAGACGTAGGCTTGCTCTGTCACCAAGGCTGGAGTACAGTGGTGGGATCTCGGCTCACTGCAAGCTCCGCCTCCCGGGTTCATGCCATTCTCCTACCTCAGCCTCCCGAGCAGCTGGGACTACAGGTGCCCACCACTACGCTTGGCTAATTTTTTCGTATTTTTAGTAGAGCTGAGGTTTCACCATGTTACCCAGGATGGTCTCGATCTCATGACCTTGTGATCCACCCGCCTCAGCCTCCCAAAGTGCTGGGATTACAGGCGTGAGCCACCACGCCCGGCCTTTTTCTTTCTTTTATTTTGAGACAGGGTCTTGCTGTCACCCAGGCTGGAGGGTCTTGCTATGTCACCCAGGCTGGAGTGCAGTGGTGTGATTACAGCTCACTGCAGCCTCAAACCCCCAGGGCTCAAGCAATCCTCCCACCTCAGCCCCACCAAGTAGCTGGGACCACAGGTGCCTGCTACCACACCCAACTAATTTTGTTTAACTTTTGTAGAGACGAGGTCTCTCTATGTTGCCCAGACTGGACTCAAACTCCTGAGCTAAAGGGACCATCCTGCCTTGGCCTCTCACAGCACTGGGATTATAGGCATGTGCCACTACACCCAGAAGAATGTTAGCATTTCAAAATTTTACTGCAACACTCTACTTTGAAATGCATCAGAAAAGTAAGATGGACTGATGGATGGATCAAATGATAAATGGATAGATCGGTTATGTAATAAAGCATATGTATTAGGCCAGGCGCAGTGGCTCACACCTATAATCCCAGCACTTTGGGAGGCCGAGGTGGGCACATCACTTGAGGTCAGGAGTTGGAGACCAGCCTGGCCAACATGGTGAAACCCCATCTCTATTAAGAATACAAAAATTAGTCGACATGGTGGCATGCACCTGTAATCCCAGCTACTTAGGAGGCTGAGGCAGGAGAATTGCTTGAATCTGGCAGGCAGAGGTTGCAGTCAGCTGTCAGCTGAGATTGCGGGCACTGCACTCCAGCCTGGGTGACAGAGCAAGACTCTATCTCAAAAAATAAAAAATAAAAATAAATAAATAAATAAAAGCATGTGTATTAGAGTGTTCATGGCAGAATGGTAACTATACAGGTATTTGTAACAAAATTCATGTTTTCTGTGTCTGAAATTTTTCATAATAAAATATTGAGCACCATTCCCCAAATATTACTGCAACATATTTGCACCCTACGAGCCACTCAGATAATTCTTTTATGAAAAGTCTACCTTATCCAGCATCCTACTACATATGACAGCACACGTTTAACTACTAAATTGTGTAGGACAGACAAAATGCCATGCAACTCTGCAATAAGGGTGATCACTATGGACTAGCCTGATAAGTGCCCCCTAGGAATGTCACTGTGAGTCTCATTTTTGCAGATTGTGGCAAGTAGAGAAATGGGAGAAAAAAATTAAACTATATTTAATTATATAATTAAAGCATATTTAGCTCACAGAATCCCCCTATTGTAATAACCAGTGAATCAACATTTTTTTTTTTTTTTGAGATGGAGTCTTGCTCCGTCACCCAGGCTGGAGTGCACTGGCGCGATCTCGGCTCACTGCAAACTCCACCTCCCAAGTTCACGCCATTCTCCTGCCTTAGCCTCCTGAGTAGCTGGGACTACAGGCACCCACCACCACACCGGGCTAATTTTTTGCATTTTTAGTAGAGATGGGGTTTCACCATGTTAGCCAGGATAGTCTTGATCTCCTGACCTCGTGATCTGCCCACCTCGGCCTCCCAAAGTGCTGGGATTACAAGTGTGAGCCACTGTGCCTGGCTTTTTTTTTTGAAATGGAGTCTCGCTCTGTTGCCCAGGCTGGAGTGCAATGGTGTGATGTCAGCTCACTGCAACCTCCACCTCCTGGGTTCAAGTGATTCTCCTGCCTCAGCCTCCTGAGTAGCTGGGATTACAGGAACGTACCACCACACCCAGCTAATTTTTGTATTTTTTAGTAGAGACAGGGTTTTACCATGTTGGTCAGGCCGGTCTCGAACTCCTGACCTCAGGTGATCCGCCAGCCTTGGCCTCCCAAAGTGCTGGGATTACAGGTGTAAGCCACTGCACCTGGCCTTTTTTTTTTTTTTTTTTTAAGGAGTCTCGCTCTGTTGCCCAGGCTGAAGTGCAGTGGTGCGATCTCGGCTCACCATAACCTCTGCCTCCTGGGTTCAAGCAATTCTCCTGCCTCTGCCTCCTGAGTAGCTGGGACTACAGGCATGCACCACCACACTGGTTAATTTTTACATTTTTTGTAGAGATGGAATCTCACCATGTTGCCCAGGCTGGTCTTGACCTCCTGGGCTCAAGTACTCCTCCCACCTCAACCTCCCAAAGTGCTGGGTTTACAGGCGTGAGCCACTGCCCTTGGCCTATTTATATTTTAAGTCTAGTCAAGTGAATCACTGGGAGTGAAGACAGAACAAATAAATCTATAACTGGGCCGGGTGTGATGGCTCACACCTGTAATCCCAGCACTTTGGGAGGCCAAAGCAGGTGGATGGCTTTGAGCTCAGGAGTTTGAGATCAGCCTGAGCAACATGGAGAAACCTTGTCTCTACAAAAAAATACAAAAATTAGCTGGCTGTGGTGGCCTATACCTGTAATCCCAGCTACTTGGGAGGCTGAGGCTGGAGAATCACTTGAAGCTAGGAGGCAGAGGTTGCAGTGAGCCAAGATCATGCCACTGCACTCCAGCCTGGGGGACAGAGTGAGACCCTGCCTCAAAAAAAAAAAAAAAAAAAAGAAAAAGAAATAACTGGTTGTGTCAATTAATTCCACTGCACTGAGACCAGCCTTTTTTTTTTTTTTTTTTGGTGCAGAGTCTAGCTCTTGCTGCCCAGGCTGGAGTGCAATGGCACAATCTCGGCTCATAGCAATATCCGCCTTCTGGATTCAAGTGATTCTCCCACCTCAGCCTCCGGAGTATCTGGGATTACAGGCGCCCGCCACCAAGCCCGGCTAGTTTTGTTTTTTGTATTTTTAGTAAAGACAGGGTTTCGTCATGTTGGCCAGGCTGGTCTCGAACACCTGACCTCAGGTGATCCACCCACCTTGCTCTCCCAAAGTGTAGGGATTACAGGCGTGAGCCACCATGCCCAGCTTGACCAGCCATATTTTATTTTTATTATATTTAAGGTATACAACGTGATGTTTTGAAATACATCAAGCCTGTCCAACCTGTGGCCTGTGAGTTGCATGTGGCCCAGGACAGCTTTGAATATAGCCCAACAGAAATTTGTAAACTTTCCGAAAACATTATGAGATTTTTTTGCGATTTTTTTTTTTGTTTGTTTGTTAGCTCAACAGCTATCATTAGTGTTAGTGTATTTTATGTGTGGTCAAAGACAATTCTTTTTCTTCCAGTGTGGCCCGGGGAAGCCAAAATATATATGTAGTGGTTACTATAGTCAAGCCAATATATAGTGATATATATAGTGGTTACTATAGTCAAGCAAATTATGGGCATTAATCCCATTTATGAGGCCTCTATCCTCATGACCTAATCACCCCCAAAGGCCCCACCTCCTAATACCATCACTTCAGAATTGGGTTAGGATTTTTTTTTTTTTTTTTTGAGATGGAGTCTTGCTCTGTCACCCAGGCTGGAGTGCATGGCGCAATCTTGGTTCACTGCAAGCTCCGCCTCCCGGGTTCACGCCATTCTCCTGCCTCAGCCTCCCGAGTAGCTGGGACTACAGGCACCCACCACCACACCCGGCTAATTTTTTGTATTTTTAGTAGAGACGGGGTTTCACTGTATTAGCCAGGATGGTCTCGATTTCCTGACCTTGTGATCCGCCCGCCTTGGCCTCCCTAAGTGCTGGGATTACAGGCGTGAGCCACCGCGCCCGGCCCTAGGTTAGGATTTCAACATATGAATTTTGGAGAGACATAAACATTCAGTCACTGCAGGAAGAAAGTTAGAAGCTGAGTGCAGCTGTGTATGGTGGCTCACACCTGTAATCCCAGCACTTTGGGAGGCTGACGTGGGTGGATCGCTTGAGTCCAAGAATTTGAGACCAGCCTGGGCAACATGGTGAAACCCTGTCTCTACCAAAAATACAAAAAATTAGCTGGGTGTGGTGGTGAAAGCCTGTGGTCCCAGCTACTCAGGAGGCTGAGGTGGGAGGATTGCTTGAGCCCAGGAGGCAGAGGTTGCAGTGAGCCAAAATTGCAACACTGCACTCCAGTTTGGGTGACAAAGTGAGACCCTGTCTCAAAAAAAGAAGCTGAGTGCAAATTATTTGCAAATATTTAGATTATATCCTTGGGCTGTCAATATTGATATAATAATAAGAATAGCTAACAGTTTTTTTTAATGCTTATTATGTGCCCAGGACTGTTGGAAACATTCTACATGCTTTAAATTATTTAATCCTCTCACCAACTCAGTGAAGGTAAAATAGGGACTATTATTGTCCCTGTTTTACAGATACAGTAATTAAGCTGCACATGGTGGTTCATGCCTATAATTCTAGCACTTTGGGAGGCTGAGGAGGGAGGATTGCTTGAGCTCAGGAGTTTGAGACCAGCCTGGGAAACATAATGAGACCTCGTCTTATTAGCTAGGCATGGTGGTGTGTGCCTGTGGTCCCAGCCACTCGGGAAGTTGAGATGGAAAGAACACTTGAGCCTGGCAGGTTGAGGCTGCAGTGGGCCATGATTGCACCACTGCACTCCAGACTGGGTAAAAGAGTGAGATGTCTCAAAAAAAAATTTTTTTTAAATTAAAGATAAGGTAACTAAGGCACAGGAGGTTAAGTAACTTGCACAATGTAACACAGCTAATAAGTCATGGAGCCAGAATTTGAAATCGGCAATTTCATTTCCACACCAGTGCTCTTCACCACTCCCTTATACTGCCCCTTATCAGGTGTTTAAGTAGTTAATTCATAACACTTCTCTTTCCCATCTAAGTTTGAAACCAATTAAAAGTAGACACAGAAGTGAGAGATTGAAAATATTAGCTTTATTTCTGGTGAAAGTTGAATTAAAGACATACAACCAAGTGGACTTGCTAATAGTTGCTGAGCTAGTCAGATTTACCTACCCAGCCATAGGCAGCACTAAACAGGTGCATATCTCACCCACAGGTATAGAGCATATTTTGCTAAGTCGTAGCATGGTGGAGACTGCAAACCAGAATGTATCCTCTCTGCAAGCAGTCATGCCCAAAATGTACAAGAGTGGCTAATCCACAAATGCCCAATTCCCTCTTCCAAACTCTTCAATCAGATAAGTCACTCTCCTGCCCTCAGTGGAGGGGGTGGGGGGAAAGGAAGAAGCTCACATCTTCTTCTAATAAAAATTCCTCACCATGGAAACATGTTGAGTAGGAAATAAATATTTCCCTGCCTAGCACTTACTAGTTCAGCTCTATAAGAATAAAAAAGCACTAGACACACACATACAAACACACACACACACACACACACACACACACACACACACACATTTGGAGATTTCCCAATCCGAAGTGAGGTAATTCTAGGAGGGCCTAGATGATAGAAAATCTAGAGGAGGAACTCCCCACAAAGAAGTATCTAACTGAGATAATCTTCTTACAGGACTAAGCACATTTTCTGGCATGTGGTAAGTGGTCAATTCGTCTTCTAAGCTCCTATCATCATCATCATGGCTGTTGTTCTATACTTATCTATAATTCCCTTTCTGTATGAAAACACAAAACAAATAAGAGCAAATCTATTAGAATGAATTCCTGGCCAAGTCTTGTCCAGAGGACAGAAACAATTTACATTTCATAGCACTGTTAAGTTTTCCAAAGCAATTAAACATATATCACTTGATTCTCAGAACAAACCTGGTAAGGCAGATATTACAATGGAAATTGCATCTTGTGCAGGAGTTAGACTCTAAAGAAACATGTAAGGTAAAACTCAAATATAATAAAAATTAGCCACAAAATTTTTTAAATTTGCCTGTACAGTATACAAGCATACCATATCTCCATTAATCTAAATAGCTAGCTTTTCCTTTGGTTGAGCTATAGATGTAATAGCTAATTTGCAACCTGGGCAACATAGCGAGATTCTGTCTCTACAAAAATTAGCCCGGTGTGGCAGTGCACATGTATTGTCCCAGCTACTTGGGAGGATTGTTTGTCTGGGAGGTTGAGGCTGCAGTGAGCCATGATCATGCCACTGCACTCTAGCTTGGGTGACAGAGTGAGACTCTGTCAAAAGAAATGAATGAAAGAAAGAAAGTAAAGAAAGAAAGAAAGAAAGAAAGAAAGAAAGAAAGAAAGAAAGAAAGAAAGAAAAGAAAAGAAAGAAGAAAGAAAGAAAGAAAGAGGGAAGGGAAGGGAAGGAAGGAAAAAGAAAAAAAGAAATAGCTGACTTGCATTTAGAGGCTATATTGCACAAAAATTGAGGGTAGTATATTTAAACACCAACACTTTTGGCAGCAAGATACCCACATTGTAAAAAGTATAAGAGAGCCAAGTGCAGTGGTTCACACCTGTAACCCCAGCACTTTGGGAGGCTGAGGCAGGTGGATCACCTGAGGTCAGGAGTTCGAGACCAGCCTAGCCAATATGGTGAAACCCCATCTCTACTAAAAAATTCAAAAAACTGGCCAGGCTTGGTGGTGGGTGCCTGTAATCCCAGCTAATTGGGAGGCTGAGGCAGGAGAAGTGCTTGAACCTGGGAGGCGGAGGTTGCAGTGAGCCGAGATCGCGCCATTGCACTCCAGCCTGGGCCACAAGAGCGAAACTCCATCTCAAAAAAAAAAAAAAAGAAAGAAAGAAAGAAAGAAAAGGATAAGAGAACTGACACTAACTATGGAAACAGCAATTTGTGCCACCCTTGCCTCACTTCCCTGCATCTCATGCCCATTAAGTAGAATTCAGGGTAGCTTCACATTTAAGTGGATTTTCATTCTCTCTCTCTCTTATTTTTTTTATTTATTTTTTCTTTAGTTTTCTGGTGAGAGCTGGAAAACCTGCTAGACTAATTCTAAAAGAGCTGTAACACTGCTTTTTAAATGATGTTTGGTTTAATGGGAGTAAGCTAAACAGATATGTAATATGTCTCCACTAGATAATAATAATCTGCAGTTTGGAGTTTCAAGTGACTTAACCAAAGTCACCATCCAGCAAACCCAAACCGGTTGACTTCTATCCCATCCTCCTTGAACTACACAACATCACATCCTTCCATTACCAGAGAGTATAACTGAGGTGGTCTTTACTAGCTCTTAATCAGATCTGACCTAGGCAGATAGTGACTTCTCCTAGTGAAATATTAGTGTAGATCTAGAAAAATGTTAAAATTAGTCCACCCAGACTGGATCTCAGCAAAGAGACATAAGGCACATGTCCTTGTTCTTGTGAAAATGCTATCATATCTTTAATGACTATTGTCAAGACCTCTCATCCACAAGACTGAAAAATACCCTGAAAGTGAAAAAGTGATTTACCAAGCAACACTACAGAGCAAATTGTCTCACATTCGTTAAGTTGTGAGAACACAAAAATGATGCCTAGCTCAAACAGATGGAAGGGACAGTGGTCTCAATGACTTCATTTTTAAATATGAAATGTGGCAACTATTTGGTATATGATATCAGAGTAAAAATTAAGGTAGCCTCATGAAAATATGACCACTATGTAACAGCAAAACTGTGTAGTACTAATAGCCCCCACATTTGAGCACTCCAAATACGTGATAGTAAATCTTCATATTCTGATCCCCATTTTGTAGGTAAGGAAACATAGATTCAGAGAGGCTGAGTAACTTTAATCAAGATCACATAGTTAAGAAATGGCAGAACCAGGATTTGACCCTAAGATTATCAATTCCAAAGCCTATGCTCCTTCTAGAATATCATTTTGTGTCTCAAATAAGAAGTAAGGGAATCAGTTTGAAAAATACAATATAGATATCTCTCACATCATAAGTGTTTAGCTCTCACAACTAATAATATGCTTCTCAAACTTCATCTTATTTAGTGTAAGAATATTTTATTTTAAAGTAACAAAAAAAAGTGACCCATTAAGTATGTATTTTGAATATACTGCACTAGAATACCAGTTCCCAAAGTTGAGCCCGGATTCCTGCTCACAATCTCCTGTAAGCCTTTTTCAAATTATTCACTGGACCTCATAGGTGGTGGTAGCAGAGAATAATTCAATCCCTTACCCTGACCTGTAGTATATAGTATCAGTATTAGAGTAAATAAGTTCTCAAACTGCTGGAGGTTTGAATGACAGATATCTTAAATCAAGATAAAAGTAAAATCAAGGTAAAAAAACTAAATTTTTAAAACAGTTACTCAAAAAGCTAAAACTTTGAAATGATAGTTATTATACTATAATTCCTTTCCTTCTCTCAGCTAAATTTTCACTAGTAATCTTTACTGTATGTGGGCTTCTAAATTCAATGTCAGGACTAGGACTAGCAATTAGTCTTGTCTTTTAATCCAGTCTATTAACTCTTGCACTTGATTCCCTCTAGGAACAAGAGCAACTTTATCATAAAGTCATAATTCCTGATATATGTGGAAAGTGATGCTGTTGAAGTACCATCAATAAAGCAGATGTTTCACAGTGGTTGTGATTAATTTGTGCTGATCTTGAAACTACCTTGCTCTTGTAACCAACATTTACATTTGCAAGCTGGTAGAATTTGAAAGAAGGTTTACCAGTATAATCTGTAACAATGGCAAAGAAGGAAGCTAACAGAGCTATATAAAGACTAAATCAAATGGGAACCACACAAACTGCGATATAAATTTGCCAGAAAATGCATTAGATGGGTAATGCAAAAGAACACATTATCTTGATTCCAATTGGAAGGCAATGGCCAAATATCTGGGATTTTCCTTCTTTCTGCTTCTCTAATTAAACAGTGGAATCTACATGAATATTTTCCAGAGAAGACATCTAAGTTCCTAGTTTTATATGATGAGTGGTTTAGATGACTAATATAGGTAAGACATAACTTTTATGCCAAGGAATACAGCAATGAAAGATGAATTAAATGATTTAACTTTTTAAAAAATACTTTTTATCTTAGCTTATAAAAACAAAATGGTAAAAAGAATAAAAAAAAAAAAAAGCTTTTTATCTGGTTAAAAAAACCAGGAACACAAAACTCTTACAACCATTCCACAAGAGTTTTACCACCAGTGTAGTCTGAACCCAAGGCTCTCCAAGTGGGTCTCAAAAGGAGGCCTGTGGACCATCCTGGATTGTGTGTAATGAATACAGAATCCAGAGGCTTTCTCAAAACTTTAGCTTTTGCTCAGTTTCCCCCCAACAAATAGTAGTTTTAATGTGGGAGCTAAAGCACAGTGAATTATTTGTGTTTCTAGATAAAGAAACCCAACACATGGAAATACGACCATCTTTCATATGAAAATCTGAGCAAATGACTCTCAAATCCACTATCCTTTACTAAGGAAATAAAGGAGTTCTAGAAAAGAAAGACCCTTGAACAAATAACGATGCCCCTAAGTGGAATGGATTGTTTTGTGAGGTAGTGGTTCCTCTTCCTCTTCCACTGGAAAAATTGAAACAGATGCTGGCTGAAAACCGAGGTGTTCTGAAGAGGTTTCTACATTAGGGTGGGAGGTGGAACCAGCTACTGGTATTTCAGGCTGGGAGAAGTTTTCAACTAATTTCACAATGACTGAGAAAACATGCCAGAAAAATACATAGTTGACGGGTCTTACGCTTTTTAGACCTCTAATAAAGACTTAAAATTCATTCACTTAAAAAAATTAAGTGTTTATAAAAAGCATTCATTATAAAGAAGGAAAGAAATGGGAAGAAAACAGTTCCCCAAACTCTTGAGAAAGACTTGATTTGATAAGTTAACAGCCTTCAAGATCCCCTATCCCCGCTCCCGTGGTGCGAAGCTGTTATTCATCAGACAAATAATTTAGATCGTCCCCTTTGTGCTCAGCAATGCTAGACGGTCAGGAACTCACCAGGAACTCAGAGGGCAACACTAATGACAATGGCTCATTAATTGGCACGGTGAGCTTCAAGAAGGAGCAACTGGTCTGGGCAGGGAGGCTCAGGAAGGCTTCGCGGAGGAGACGCTGCATCCCAGGGGTACCTCGAGAGCAAACAGAACATTTGGAGTTTAGGGTTGTTCTGGGGCTGACAAGAGAGCTCCCTGTGAACCTAGGCATGCGCCCCTTGCAGAAAGGGGTAACGGGCTTTTTTGGAGAAAATTGAGTCTTGCTTACTATCTGTTGAGAGGAAAGTGGGAGGGATGCAGGGAGGAAAAGAACCAAAGCTCTCCCCTTCAATAAGACGTGCACCGCAGCTCCGGTCCCTGGACCCCGGGAAGGAGCATGGCAAACGCGGAGTCCGCAGAGGCGGAAGCGGCGGGGCCGGGGATGGCGGAGAGTGTGCTTCTCGCTGCCGGTTCGCGGCCTGGGGTGGGGGGCACTCCAGTCCATCCCCCAGCCCGGATGGGTCGCCGGGGTCCTCGTGCTAGGGCTGTGGCTTAATTAAACCGTGGTAAACTTGCCCCTATTTCCCCCAGAGATCCCAGGCTGGGTCCTCTCGGCCTCCCAGGTTCACTCTGAGGGGATTTATTTTCCGTCGCGAGCCTCCCATGAGCGGGCAACTGAGTAGCCGCGGGACGGGGACGGGAGCAGAGGTCCCACCGCGCGCCCCGCTGCACGCCCAGCTCCGCGGCGGGTGCCTTTCACACCTGGGTTTCCTTCGTAATTAATTCGTATTCTCTTCTCCCTTCCCTCCCTCCAGGCAGGGGCAGCTGGAGTCCCGCAGGCCGAGCCCTCGAGGTTGGCACGGGGGTGATCTCGGCGTGGGCAGGGGGTTGGGGGCTCCCTTGGGGACCGATCCCCGACACGACAGCACTGTGGTTGGGCCGCTGGGCGAGGGGAGCTTCGGGCCTGCAGTTGCCGCCTTCTTTCTTCCCTCCCACATCACGAGGCAAGAAGGAAATGGGGCCGTCGGTCCCCGCAGAACCACTCATCGCCGGGCTAGAGGCGCCCAGGCAGCGGGGAGCCCCAGGGTCCAGGTCCACAGCCTTCCCGGAGCTGAGTTCCACCGGCCCGGCGCGTCTGTGTCTGTCTTTCCCTTCTCCTCTCAACCCTCCCCAATCTTCCTTGCCCCAGAGTCTGCTGTTTTTGTTTCCTCAAGTGGCGCCTTCTTGCTGGGTAAAGCACACTTTTTCCTCCTCCGAGTACTTCCATAGCTTGCACTTGGGCTGCTGAGTGACCCTGGGTAAGTCCCAGAACCTTCTGGGTGGGCCTGTGTGAAAAGAGGGCCTCCAGGGTGACCCCGGAGGCCACTTCTAATGCCGATATTCTAGGACTGTTTTTCTGAAGACGGGTTCGGAATTCAGCACCAGAGGACTCAGGCAAGAGAGTGAAGGTGTCCCTCTTCTTCCCCGCCTCACCCCTGATGGGATGGAGCTGTGTGCAAAAGCACAAATGATCTGGAGAAGAGCCTTAGGTAGCAGTTTTATGTTAAAATGGGGGAGGGGACCAATTTAATTCTGCATTTAGGAAAATTCTAATATATGACGGCACTTCGGGAAATAAAAATGAGATGGTTATGCTTTCTTACAGACACCCTGGCTAGTTTTACATTTCTTTTCAAATTTTGTTTTGTGTACCCCAGGGAGCAAAGAATGGCTTGTACATTCCTCAGAGGGCAAGGAGGGGGAGTGGCGAAGAGAGAAGTTGGCTCTGGGTGTAACTCTGCCAACTGTTGGAGGGCAGCAAGGGGAGGGTGGTCTTTTAAGTGAGTTTGGGATCTGGTTACCTTTAATTCGCCTCCCAGGCCGCATCTTGCACTAATGGGAGTCTGTCAGCGGTGGACTCAGATTTCCCCACTTGCCTCGGATAGTGGAAGCATAGGGGCAAACAGCAGAGTAGGCCGCTCTGCCAGAGAGAAGAGAGACGTATGCCCTGCCCCTGGAGCTGGGGGTGCAGGCTGAAGGATGGGTGGGCACCGAGAGCTTCTCCGCAGGCATAGTGAAAGGCCTACAGACCAGGAGGAAGCTCCACCTTTTAAAAGCCTCTTCTGGGGTGGGAGTTTCCTGGGATGGGTTCTGCAACCCCTCTTAGAAAAATCCACCTTTCATACCTAAAATCAAATGGTTCAGAACCGAGCCAATGTATTTGGCCGTGTACCAGTGCTTAGAACAGAGTTGTTTCTTCGTGCAGAAGCCATTAAAAAACACACTGTACACGCCCCCAGCACTTTACAGTTTATAAGACATTTTTCACTGACACCAACTCACCTAATTCTGTAAGCCCAGGTGACAGGCAGACTCATTCTCACTGTAGGGTCGAGGAAATGCAGTCATTGAAAGAAACCAAGCAGCTTGTCCAAAGTCACAGTTAGGAAATGCCTAATCCCTGTTGGAACGCCTTCTGCAAGGCCTTTCTCATCCCGCTTCTTCCTGTCGCCTCCTCCCTTGAAACAGACGGCTCCCCACAAGGTTCAGCCTGGCACTTTCAGAATGCCCTTCCAACCTCCTCCCTTCACTACTTTATTCTGCAGCTTGTACCACCGGGGACACAGGTGGAGTCCGGGGACACAAGGCTCTGGAACCCACTTTCTTTCAGATCACATACCCCTCAGGACAGTTTCTCAAGGGACTCACGTTAAAAATACCCACCTCTCACACACTCATGTCAGCCTTTCATGTTCTCACTACCAAGACTCACCCTATAAACCATGTGAAATAAATAACCTCAAATATAACTCTTAATTGCTTCCAAGTCAATGTTTCCTCATCACTAAACTTTATTGCCTCCCAATCTTTAGGACAAACTCCCCTCGGGACTCTGTTCCTCCCAGGACACAGGCGGGGGAAAGGAGGAAATCAGCTTCTCGAGATTCGACCTAGGCTTCCGGGGCCTGAGAATAAGCAAGGATGTCAGGAGGCTCAGAGCCTGGGAGGGAAGGAGAGGCGTCCGGGGCTGGGGCTGGACCATTCCAGACAAACCGCGAAGTTTTCCGTCTGCTCGTCGCCCCCTACAGGCCACATCTGCCATCGCATCGACAGCCCTCAACAGCCGGCACATGTTTTGCTCTACTCTTCATTCGCCTTTCCCCGGACATCCAGATCCACCCCTCCGAGGAACTAGATACGGGCGGTCCCAACTCAGACCTTGGTCCTGAGAACGCTCTAGGGGCCACAGGCCTCAGGGCTGGATTGATTTTTCTAGGAATGAGTGCTAGAGAAAGTAGAAACGTCTAAATGCGTGTGTAGCCGAAAGCTAAAATCTTCCCCATAAAAATCAACCCGCTTTCTTCTTTTATTGCAAATAAATCTGCCCCCCTTCCTTTAGTTTTTTTTTCTTAAGTGGAATAAAAAGTGGATATCAGTAGTGTTGACTTTAAATCTCAACGAGAGAGCTGTTTCCAGTGCCGTTTGTCGCAGGTGCCTGCGTTCCATAACATCAAACAAGGGTTTCAGGCTTCCCCCAGCCCCACCACTAAGTGCTTGCGATCATTGTCTATGATATTTGCATTTCCCATTTTGTGCTAAATCTTCGAGGTTTAAAAAGCTTAAACGAAAAAGAGCTTTTGAGGGTGCGACGGCCGGGCCCATCTTCCTGACATCTGCCAGGACTTTAAACAACCGCTGGCAGCTTGAGGGTCTGGGTCCGAGAGTTTCCTGCCTTCCACGACATAAAGGAAGGGGACCATCTTTAGGCCGTCGTTCAAGGGTAAGAACTGGCTGGAAGGAAAGTTGCCGGCAGGTCTCTCCCGTTCACCCCGCCGCCTAATGAATGTAGCGCTGGAAAAAGCCCTGCGAGTCTCCGGCGGTGGCTTGTGGCTGAGTGTCACGCTGCTGGCGCAGGCTCGGCCGGTATTGCTGCTATGCGCGGAAATATGAGCGAGTAATTTTATAAGTAACAAAGGATCAGGGATGGAATGAGGCCCCTGTTATCCAATGTCATTTAGAAGCCTTGGATCAGCAGCTTCTTGAGGCTAAAAGTGAATTCAAGAAGCCCTGCCTTTCCCTTTTCCCAGGGGCTGTCAGCTAAATTTAGAAATAACCTCTCTATGTGTTTGCACAAATCATGTACCATTTGCTGTTTGTGTAAAAACCGATTAGCCAGACACAACTGTGAAACAACTTGTTACTTTTATAGCTGCAACACACAAACAAAATTAGATCCGTTTAGTTTTCCTTGTAAAAGGAGATTAGAAGGGACCCGCCCGGAGACCGTGTGGTCCATAATCTCCTCTCGGTGAAGGTTACCATTGCTCCTCTCTCGGCGGTGGTTATCAGGTTCTTGTTTATCAAGTTAAACTATCTCACCCCCGGCAGCTTGTTTTATTTTAGGACCCTGATCCCGAAGGAATGTTTACTCAAGACACAATAATGTTTACCGTTTACCAGGAAAACAGATTGGGTATTTGCAAGGAAGTGTCTTTCAAAGCGACCCCCAGCCCACGTCGACAGCGGAGAAATGAGGTGGGATCCGAGACGGGGAGGCATCTCCACCACCAGGGAGGCAAAGTGGACGACAACACCGGGGACTGGCCGGGATTAACCAAAAGGACGCGCGCAGGGCCGAGCCGACAGCACTGCTACTCGCTCCAGTTTTTAAAAGCGATTTCGCACAAGTAATTGTAACAGCTAAATTAATTACAAAATAATTAGAATTGATGCCTTTTGAGGATATGCTGATGGTGGTGAGAACCAGCCTTCCACATCAAGATGTTTCATTTCTACCTTCATACTTTCTTTTAAAAGTTTTTAACAGCTGAAATGCAAATTAAAAATAATCTACAAGGACCTTCCCCATTCCTGCCCTATGATGTCGCATTTCACACTAACCTAGCCTAAGGTAAAGAAAAAAAAGGGGAGAGAGGTGATGTTCAGCTGTTTTTAAAAGGGTATTAAGGCCACCATTCCTTGGCCTTCAGAAAGGCTTTGGGTTGGAGGGAGAGGAAGCATCTATAGGACCCCTTCAGAAATCCAATTATGTTGTGGATTGATTATTGCCATATAAATGAGATATCTTATTTGAAAATATTATGAAAACAAAACTATGTATTATCTATCAGATGAACATAAATAAAATCCCACTGCAAAATGTAAAGTGCCTTAACATAAATTTTAAAACCAGCTGGGTCTATTTACCACTTCCACTTAAGGAATGAAAAGAAATAATTTCAAAAATCTAAGATTTAAATGTTAAAAAGAGGGATGTTTGGAATTTACTTACTTTTCAAAGGATAATTGAAATGACCAAGAACTCTCTCATTTGGGAAGTTTTCATTGTGGAAGATACAAGTCTAGTCATTTTTTAAAAAAATTTAAAGACTGCTGTTGTTTCGGTTTCTTTTTTTAAATGACAGCTTACTTTATCTACAGAAATGTCTGGTCATTTAGATTTAATGGGTTGATATGAATGATATCACTCACATCCTGATTTTATGTGAAAACTAAAAGAAAAATAGTAACACAATTTAAATTAGGCATACTATTTCCTTTCTCCAATTAAAATTTTCTTACACTCAAATTATGAATTTAAAAAGTTTGAAAAGGCCATTACTTGAAATTCCTTGATTTTCTGGGGAGGAGAAAAGGCAAATAAATACCATTTAAAAATCTTGCCATTTACTTCAGACAACTAAATAAAACACTAGGCTGGGCATTTTAAAAATTTATTTACAAAGTTGTGTACAACACGATGGAATAACATTTAGAATACCATATATATTCATTCATATATAAACAGACTTTTATAATAGAATGACACTTTTTGCCTTTTTGAAAATTTTTTATATTTAAAATCTCCCAACGTCTCTATACATTCTTTTCTCAGATAAAACTTCGGAGAGTGAACCTTCAAAAAAAATGAAAGTTCAGAGCTCTAAATCTACGGAATTTGTTTTTTCTTAAAAAAATAAAAACCCCAAAAGGAAAGTCAATAATTTTTTTACAAATATATACAAAGAATTTCCCTCCCATCCCCACGGTACTAAGAGCAGGCGCCGTCGGGGTGCATTTTTGGAAAATTCGGTTTTCGGTTTTACCTGTATGGAAAGCTATCCCCGGCGGGCGCGCGGTGAGTTTGCTCGACCAGCTTAGGTGTGCGCGAGGGGATGGAGGCCGCGGAAGGTAGGCGTTGGGGGCTCAGGGGAAAGGAAATTGGGGAGAGGCAGAGTCCAGGATTGGGCAGCGGGACCGGGACCGGGCTTGGGACAGGGCGCGCAGCCTGGAGGTGCATTTGTTGCTCGAGGCCGCCGCCGGACCCTGGGTCCCGGCCATTGGCGCGTCCCTATTGCGCCGGCCATTTGGCTTGAGCGGCGGCCGCAGCAGCGGCGGCGGCCGAGGCTGCGGGCTGCAGAAACTGTCCGGAGAGTGGCACGCTAAGAATGGGCGCGATGGTGGCAGTCGTCCGGCTCAGCGACAGCGGTTGGTGGGTGGCCATGAGCGCTGCCGACTGCACGGTCCCGGGTGGCCGCAGAAACGACTGCGCCGTGCTGCCGCCCCCTGAACCCCCAGTGCCGCCGGCGACCCCAGCGCCCACCGCCGAGCCCCCAGGAGCCGCGGGGCCCCCACCTATGATGTTCTCGATGCTGAACGACGGCCGCGCGCTTGGCTCGGACTTGATGAGCGACGCGGTGGTGCCCGCGGCGCCCGCTGTGCCCGCAGCGGCCGCGGCGGCGCCCAGGCTATTGAGCTGCAGCTGCAGGCCCGGGCCGAGCTGTGAGCCGAAGGCGGCCGCTTTGCGGCCCAGCTCGCCCGAGGGCAGCAGCGGCACAGCGGGAGGCAGCACCGGTGCCACCGGCGGCAGCGCGTACGGGTACTGGAGCGCCGCCGCAGCAGCCGCGGCCGCCGCCGCTGCCGGGTGCGAATAGGCACCGGCCGCCGCCGCAGGGTGCAGGCCGTAGGGGCGGCCGTAGGGTCCCGCGGCGCCGGCCGCCGCCGCCAGGCTGTAAGCGCCGAAGCTCTGCATCATGAGCGCCGTCTGCTCGCGCAGGTGCTCCTGCTGGTGGCGCTTGAAGCGTTTCCGGCGCCGCAGGAAGCTGCCGTTGTCGAACATGTCCTCGGACTGCGGGTCCAGGGTCCAGTAGTTGCCCTTGCCCGGGTTGCCCGGCTCGCGGGGGATCTTGACGAAGCAGTCGTTGAGTGAGAGGTTGTGGCGGATGCTGTTCTGCCAGGCGGGGAACTTCTCCCTGTAGTAGGGGAAGCGGTTGCTGATGAACTCGCAGATGCCGCTCAGGGTCAGCTTCTTCTGCGGGCTCTGCAGGATGGCCATGGTGATGAGCGCGATGTACGAGTAAGGCGGCTTCACTAGGCTGTTCTTGGGCTTGCTCGGGGCCAGGCCTCCCGCCGAACCGCTGCCCGCGCCAGGCCCGCCGCCGCTCGCGCCGCCCTCCTCGCCGCCAACACCGCCCTTGCAGCCGTCCGCCTCCGGCGCGCCCACGTCGCCCCCCGGTCCGGCCCCGGCTCCGGCCGCCTCCTTGGGCAATGTCAGGGGCTGCTGGTGGGGCGGCTGAGGCTGTCCGTGATGGGGTGCCGCCGGGGGCACCTCGTCCGCCTCGTCCAGGCGCAGCTCCGGCGGCCCCGCGGGGCTATCGCAACCTGCGTCGCTGTCCTTCTCTTCCAGCCCGTCGTCGCCCTCGCCCACCACATCGATGTCCACGTCCTCGGCCGTCAGCACCGTCTGGCCGGACATGTCGCTGGCGCTGCCGCCGCCGGAGAGGGTCATCCCTCCTCGGGGTTGGTAGCGGCGGCGGGGAGGGGGCAGCGGGCGATGAGGGTGTTCGGGGGCTGCCACGGAGCTCAGGGGAAGAGGGTTTGAGTGCCCCCGAAAGATGGGGGGCAGGGAGAGGGGAGGGGGCCGCAGGTGGCTTGGGGCCCGCTGGGCTCAGCTCACACTCGGCGGCCCCGCATCGCGTGGCGCGGGCTCTGCCGTCCGCCCCCAGCGGCCGCGCTCCGCGAACTCCTGCCGTCCCTGGCGCTCGGTACTAGGCGCTCGCTACCGCTCCCGGCCCCGGCGGTTCTCCACGCCGCGCCCCCTCACTTAGCCCGCCTTCCTCGGCCTCTGGCCCTGGCGTGGGGCGCAGGAGCGGTCCAGGCGGGCGCGGGACGCCGGGCGCCGAGCAGCTCGGGAGGGCGCGGGCAGGGACAGTAGCGGGGGGGCAGGGGGCTGGGTGTCAGGGACGCCGAAGCCCCGGTAGTCGAAAGTCCCGTTTTAAGGACTGGCCTGATAGATTACTTTCTACTTAAAGATCCAGCGGGAGGCGGGGCCACGTGACCGTGCGTGACGTCAGGGCCGCGGCCGAGCCGGCCAAACTCAAGTTGGTTCAGGGAATTGTCAACAAAGGGACGAGAGACGCGCAACTCCGCTCCGCACTGTGCGCCAGCATCCCCGGGGCACGGAGGGCGCTGCGGCCCGCCCGGAGACCCCCCCACCCAGGCTGGATCCGGGCCCTGGGGCCCAGGGAGCGGGTGGGTGTGAGTGTGGGTGGGTGTGAGCGAGTCAGGGCGTGGGCCTGGGAGCGTCCGCGGGACTGTGCGACTGTCGCTGCCCTGCCTTCCCCGCCCCCTCTCCCTTCCGCCCTTCTCCCCCCCACTTTGTCACACTCCTTAGACAGGGACTGGGCGACCTAGAACGAGGTTCCCATATCGTGTTTTAAAAAGCAAAACTTAGTCTCTGTTTTGCTTTTTGTTTCATTGTTTTTAGCTTTAAAGAGTAAGAGCAGCGCACCCGGCTCCCTCCTGCTAATTAGATTTCAGATTCCCCTCTGGCCTCAGTGCTCATTCCGGGGAAGACACCTGCTGAGATGTCTTTTTCCCCCTCCCCCAACCAAACCACTCAGGTCCTACCTGCTCTTTCCCGGCTTGATGCGGGCGTGTTTTCCTGTATGTATTTTTTCGTGCGGCCACAAAAAGCATCAGCTGGGGTTCCCGAAGGTCAGAAAATGGCTATTGATTAATCTACTAGAATAGTTGCCGAGAGAAATAAAAACGACGTAAAATAGCAGGGAACCTATAAATAAAGAAGCCATAACTGGCTACTTGGAGTTGTTAAACGACTTAGCATATGAAAAAATCGGAAATGAGGCGCTGGGGAAGGAGCTGGGATTGGCAGCGGCCTGGGTAAGTCGAGTGGATCCGGGAAGAGGCCTGGTGTCTTCAGGTTAGACGCAGCGCCCAGGGGCGGCTGAAGAAACGTGAGGGGTGCGGGCAGTGACTTCCCGGGCGGCGGGCATGGCCTTGGGGGAACCTGGGCAGACTTGGGCATGCCAGCATGCTGGGATCTCCGTTGCTGCCAGCTAACGTGGATTTTCTTCTCTTAAGGTGTGGACAAATCCTCCAAGATTTAACTTCCAAGAAAACCGGCGGCGGAGCGGGTGGAGGAGGCGAGGATGTGTGGCCAATGCACGCGGAGTGCAAGGCAAGTCAGTGATAGTAGGAAAAACTGTGGGGATTTCACTGGGACTGGAGGGGGAGGCACCGCAAACCGACCCCCAAGTGCGTGGCTGGGGTGCGTGGACCTCACACCTCCAAGGAAAGTCAGTGCTCTTGACGCGGTGAATCAGCGATGCGCCTCCTCTTTCCTCCCTCATTTAGGCCGCCTAGTTGGGAGCCGCAAGAGCCTGCCTGGTGTGGCAGGCACACGGAACCCAATCCCTGTCTGTCCGCTGCGGCCTGGGAGGGGAGCGCCGGCCTCACCAGAGGAAGGAGCACGAGGGGAGGAGTTCCGAGAGGAAATAATTAGTGAAATATTTGCAGAAGATGCTGGGATGTGGATTTAATTCCGGATGGACAGTGGTGCTTCTGATTCCCTCAGTCTGTTTCCCCACCCACGATCTCCTCTTTCCTTGGCCTAGACACACCAAAAATAATTCAATAAAATAAAAATAAAAATTTAAAAATCTGTAAACTTGCTTCATTACAGGCATTGAGACACACAGATTGACTTTCATCCCCATTAGACAGTTTCCCAGGATATAACACTACTCATCTGAGGCTGGGAGCAGGGTAGGGGGTGGTGACACTATCCTGAGACGCCCGCCAACCTCCACAGTTTTTCTTTATCTAAATGATCCCGAGGTTGCACACGGCCCTAAAACGCATCTCAGAGTTGATTTCCGTAGCTCCACAGCTTTGTGGCCCGCAGGCTCCGAACCGTTTACAATGCCGTCTAGACAGCTTTCCGCGAAACCGACCCGAGCTGAGCTGGCTGGCCATCGCCCAGGACTGCAGAGGTCGCGTCTGCAACTGCCTCAGCAACCGAAGTGTCGGAAGGTCCAAAAAAAAAAAAAAAAAAAGCTAAAAAGCGGAAATTTACACATTCAGGAACCTCCTTTGCTCTGCTTGGGTTGCCCAGCCCTAAAGGCAGGGGCCCGGGGCGCAGCGCTGGCCCTGCCGCGGCCTTGGTGGCTGGGCCCGCGTGGACTAGTATGTGTGGATGCGCGCCGGAGGATGGTGGCTACAGGGCTCCCCTCACCGGTCTCGAAGTAGTCTCCAAATGAGCCTAATTTCGATTCCGCCGTCCGCAGAGGCTAGCTCTCTGGACTCCCTCCACGCTGCTGGTCGCTGCCTCCTACCCTCCCTCTGCCACGGCCCAGCCTGATCCGTCCATTCCCCGGTGTCTCCTTGGAACCTCCCTGGGGAAGGGGGTGGAGGACGAACAACTCCCAGCTGCCGGTTCCATTTGTTGCGCTTTTTTCCTTCGACACAATAAAAGTCAAATTAATTGATTCATACCATTAATTACGGCGCGTAGCGTGAAAAGCAACGCTTCCCCTCGGTTAGAGATCTATTGTGCTAATCTCTTGTTCAATCAGTGTTACCATCTGATGCTGGGTCCGGCCCTTACAGAAACTTTTCGACTCGATTAGCTAAATGATGAGACGTGCACAACCTACTGGCTGCGGCCCCGACGTCCCGCGCCCGCGCCGGCCTAATATCGATTTCCAGCGGAGGCAGAGGATTTTTCCGCGGCCGCTCTCGGCTCAGGAACCGGCCGCCGGCTTTCTCCCTCCAGGCGGACCATAGCGCCTGCACAACCTCCGGGGGCGGGAAGGAGGCGAAGCGGCGGCCGGGGAGGGCGACAGGAAGGTTCCTGCTGGCCTTGACGCAGGAGGCCGCCCCAGCGGAAGGGTCCGATCCCGACGCGGTGCAGGGTCCTGCCGGAGACCGGCTAGATGTCGGGCTAAATAAATTGTTTGCCGCGTAGTTGCAGTTTGCAGCTAAAAGCTCACAGGTCGTCAGTTACCGCCAAGCTGTAGGACAGAGACGGAAGAAGCGAGACAGATACAGAGAGAAAGTGAGACACATGTAGTGGGGGGAAGAAAATGTGATAAAGGGTGTATGTGGATAAAAAGTTTCTGAGTCTCAAAGGGTTATTGGAGAGATAGAGGGAGAATGAGTAGACACACACACGCAATTATGAGTTTGAGTGACTCTTTGAGTCTCAACAAGCGAACTTCCCAGGAGAGATTTAAAAAGGAAGATGGCAGCCAGCTGCCTCACCTGCTCAAATGTTTGAAATGTTTCAACCAAAGGAGAATGGAATGAAACCCCTTCGGTTCCTCTGGAGCGGGCAGAGTACATGGTACCCCGCTGGGAAAGCCACCTGGACGCGGTGGGAATGAGGGGTGCGGGGAGTGGGGATCTAGGTTCTAGCAACAGGAGGCAAGAAGAATGGAGTCCGGATCGATAGGAAGGAAATTGAGACGTCTCCAGGGGAGGGGAGATTTAGTGTGTGCGTCCAGTGGGGGGATGGGGGGGAAGAAATGGATAGAAAAATTTATGATGGAGAAAGGGAAATTAATTACAGCTCATTTTGGGTTCTTAGGTGGTCAACACTGGAGGAGGGGCACGGTTAGAGTGCGGAAGGCGGGAATTGCCCACCTACCCCTCACCAGGCCCAAGTGAACCCATATGCCTCTTTTCTCCTCTTTTAAGTCAGAGACAGTGCCAGTGGCTTGAATAAGTCGTTGGCGCGATGTGAGATAGAATCATCATGCCCGCGCGCGGGTGCACTTTTCTTACAATACGGGGAGTTGGGACCAGGTTCCGCGGAGTGAAGGGCGCGTCCCCCACCAAGAGTAGTTACTCTTTGTCCAAGAGGGAGCAAAACGTGGGTGGGACTATTAGAAAAATTCCCCTCCTTTCTCCCCAACACCCCCGCGCCCGCAACAATCAAAGTCTGCTGCTTCTTGAAAATCTTCATAGATTTGTTAAACTATTACCGGCCTCTTTGTCTGGATGGCCGCCACCAAGGAAGGTGGGAAAGGGCAGAGGTGGTACCCAAGGCCCCAACCCACCCAGATTACTTCCATTTCCCAAAGCGGGGGATTTTCAACTCTCTTACCCACCACTACCCCCTTGTATACCTCTCCGGATCTTTTCGGGGTGGAAAAAAAGAGGCTATTTTAATGTTCTTGTTTGGATTTGCATCTCAAAACTTCATTTATTTTCAAGATGTCTGCCACTCAGGGTCCACGCCAAGGCGTGCCTGTAAATGGCGAGAGACCAAAAGGAAAGGAGGAGAGAAAGAGGAAGAGAGAGAGGATGGTTTCGAATTTATTTATATTGGAAATATATAAACATCCATTCTGTAAAAGGCAACACGTTTAATTAACGATGAGAGAGCAGTTAGGGGCAGAAAGCTAGTAAAATTGTGTGATAAATTTATGGCATTGTTAGCGTGCTTTTAATTATGGCTATTATGTTAATTATTTCACATTAGCATGGAGTTATCAGCAGCATGTCGGATTTAATAAAAACGAGCCTTTCTCTCGAAAATTGTTCTTTTCATCCACGAGGAGAAAGGTCCTGGACAGGATCGGGGCTTAAAAATGACTTGGCATTGAAAGCCGGAGTCTTTCTGACACCGTTTGGAGCGATGCGGCCAGGCCCGGCTGTCCGCTGGGTCCCTCCAGGCTACCGGCAGCTCGAGGAGGAGCCCAGGGCTGGGTTTTTAGGAATTCACCATTTTCACCCCCTTCGGAGCCGACACTTCATCATGCGAGATCATTCTGTCAAACAATATGATGCTGCTCATTTTTATCTGTCCCGCTTTACAAAATCCCCATTCAGCCGGCCGAGGAGCAACAAAAGCCTCTGAGCAGCTCCGCAGCCACTGGCGGCCACAGCCTCCCCGGCGCGCGAGAAAGGCGAGAGGGGCCGAGGAAAGCAGGCGGCGGGCGCGCGCCCCTCTCCGCCGGAGGGAACGCTGCCTGCCGGGGCCTGCCAGCCCAGGTGTCGGGTCCTCGGGTGTGGCCCGGGCGGGACACGCCTCCCTCAGGCCCGCGCCCGCCCTCGGCCTCCCTGCAGGCGCCGGGCGAAAGCCCCCAATCCCTCCCCTCAAGCGACTCGCCCACCCAGGCCACATCGATTCTTTAATCACCGCCGATCGATTTATTGGGAGCAAATAAATAGACCGTTTTGGAAACGTTTCAATTGCTGGCTTGACGGTTGGGGCGCTGACGCGGGAGGGCGGGCAGGGCCGTGGGGCGCGCGCGGGAAGGGACTTGTGGGAAGGAAGGGAGCGGAAAGGCCGAGCGCCACCCGCCCCGGGAGTCTCCAGAGCAGCGCGCGGGGCAGACCTCCTCGGGTCCTCCGGCGCTTCGGTCTCCGGAGACGCCCGGCCTCCTGAAGGGTTCGGCTTGTCCTCCTCTGGCGCTCAGCTCCCTCTGGCGGCCGGGCTGGCAGGACCTCAGCGCCCAGCCCTTCCGTCTTGTTACGTCCAGGCAAGTTGGCCTGGCTTTCGGATGCCTCTGGACAGTCCCCGTCCAGGCCCGCGACCCAGCCCGAATGGAGGCCCCGGGGCCCACAGAGCGCGGCCTCCCAGGCCTTCCAGCCCTGGCTGCGGACGCCGCAGCCTTCTCGCCCCTGGGCCGGACGCGGCCTTCCTGCCCAAGACCACTGGGGCCCCCGCCCCTCCCGGGACAGGGCTGTGGACAGGCCAGCTGCTGCCTTATTTTTAGCGCCATTCCATTCGCGCGGTTATATTTAACTCGACCCACTCCTCCGAGGAGGTCGCTCGGACATCGAATTCTCCACATCGCAGCTTGGGCCTGCCCGCCTTGCCTCAGGGGTAGTTCCTCAAGGGACAGATTGGAAAACCCCTGCTTAAGAATCCTTGACATATCTGGAGCTTGGAGAGGACGGGACTGGGGGAGAGATCTGGTTCTAGGGGCAGTGGCCACCGCGCCTGCAGTGCACTGCGTGGGGATTCCGCCTTGTGTGGGGCGGGGGAGGGGAGGAAGGGACAGGATCAGTCCTGTGGGAAGGATTCTCTGCGGGGAGTATTGTGTCCATTTCCTACTTCTGCATGACTCAGAACACTAGGTGACCTGGAAGACCTCTCACGACCCTGCCCTTGGAAAAGTTTATCATTTAGCGTGAGTGCAGGAATCCCCTCTTCTCTACCCTCCAGTGCACCCAACGGGATATTTGATTTCAATGGTATGTTAGCTCCTTAGTTCCAGCCCAGTCTTCCCTTGGCAAAATCTTAAAAAGACCATGCCAAAGGCTCACTCACATCCTGGGGAAAGGACCCACTTGGATAACATACGGAAACACCATTGTGATACACGCTTTATTCACACAGAATGTCAGTTAGCAAACAATGCAGAAGTCATGTACTAAAGGTACACTAACAGATGTGACATGGATCGCGGATATCGAAACACATTTTTTTGTTTTTCTTTGAGACAGGGTCTCACTCTGTGTCTCAGGCTGGAGTACAGTGGTGCAATTGTAGATGGCTGCAGCCCTCGACCTCCTGGGCTCAAGTGATCCTCCTGCCTTAGCCTCTCGAGTAGCTGGGAGTACAGATGCACACCACCACACCCAGGTAATTTTTTATTTTTATTTTTTGTAGAGATGGGATCTCGCTCTGTTGCCCAGGCTAGTCTCAAGCTCTTGGCCTCAAACGATCCTCCCACCTCAGCCTCTCAAAGTGCTGGGATTAAAGGTGTGAACCATCCTGCCAGGCCAAAACACATTTTAAAAATTTAAATTCTTCTAACATTTTTAAAGAAACAAGTTTTCCTTGGGTCAAAGCTGCCTTTTTTGGTAACTCTCATTTTAATCCAAAATTTCTTGGATTTAAGTCATACCCACAGCTGAATTCAGGGGGAGAGGATATATAAGTATACAATATATATTTATTTACTCATTTATTCCTTATTAGTAATTTATTGAACTGTTGTAGACCTGGAAAGTACCAGGAATGAAAAGAAGAATTAAACCCAAGGTTCCTTAAGGAAGAACCAGGCAAGAGAATCAGTGTTTGTCATGCAGGTTGATAGGTGCCATGGCAAGGGGAAACAGCGCAGAGGAGGGCCTTTCTCACTGGGTAGGGATAGAGAAAGTGTGAAGCCTTCAATACGGAAGATGCTACTGACCAGCTACCTCTGACTTTAGGGGTTTTCAGGGGAGATTGGGGAGAAGTAAGTTAGAACCCGGGATACTTTGGGAAAAGAAAGTGCTAAGTTGGATGCCTAATGGTACTTCTGGACAGCCAGAAAGTACTTGGTCTCAAGGGAAATGGACAATAGATGTATGATAAGGAAACAGAAAGGGATGGAAGAAGAGAGAAGGGAAATGTAAAAATTGAAATTTGCTTAGACATTTTGTCTAGGTATAGTACATTTAGACTACATGGAAGTATTTGACTAACAAACACATGGAAGAAATTTAAAAGGGAACGTAGATAAAGGAAAAGATCCTTTGAAAAGAAAATATTCAAAAGGCTAGTTGTTAGACCCAGCTGTTTTTCTAACCTTATCGTATTCATCAAGGGCCAGACACTGGAACCACAAAGGTGAGTAAGAAGATAGATTCCACCTTTAGAATGTTAATTCCAGAAGGGCAGGAATTTTTATCTGTTCACTGTTGTATCCCTAGCCTCCAGCCAAGTACTAGTGGTGTAGGGGTGGAGGTGTGGCTCAATAAATATTGCTTGAATAACCCGATCAGTAAGACACATTCTCACTCTAATGGGGGACTTATTCAGGGAAGTCCATAGCTAAAATGTAGTGTGATGAGTTATAAATATATGATAGAATGTTACAGGAGCGCAAAAGAAACATAACTAACTCTGCCTGGGAAAGAGAATAGGTGGGTAGGAAGGTTTCCCTAAGAAATAATACTTGAACTGTCCGGCGCGGTGGCTCACGCTTGTAATCCCAGCACTTTAGGAGGCCGAGGCGGGCGGGTCACGAGGTCAGGAGATCGAGACCACAGTGAAACCCCGTCTCTACTGAAAATACAAAAAATTAGCCGGGCGTGGTGGCCGGCGCCTGTAGTCCCAGCTATTCGGGAGGCTGAGGCAGGAGAATGGCGTGAACCCGGGGGGCGGAGCTTGCAGTGAGCAGAGATTGCCCCAATGCACTCCAGCCTGGGCTACAGAGCGAGACTCCGTCTCAAAAAAAAAAAAGGAAATAATATTTGAGCTGTTGTGAATGATAAGCAGCAGTTAGGTAAAGAAAAAGAGGAACAGAGTTCTGGGAAAAGAAAGAGAACACAGCACGAGTAAAGACACAGATTTATGCAAGACACGAGGAGCAGCATATAGTTTGGTTTAACTGAAATGAGATAAGGGAATGGCCAGAGTAAAATAATAAAGACTCTTGAATACTGGGCTGAAGAGCCCAAAGTTATTAAGAAGCCAGTAAAGTCTTTAACTGATTGGCATGATTGAAATAAAATTTTGGAACTATTCTTTGCGGGAATGTGAAGGATAAACTGAGGGAGTAAAAGACTGGAGATAGCAAGGAGGCTATTTCGTTATCTTAGTAAGAGATGAAGAAGGTATGATTTAAATTATTGGCAGTGAGACTGGAGAAGAGGAGATGATGATGACTTTGAGAGGACTGAAGAAGTAAAATGGATGGAACTAAGTGTCTGATTGCTAAGGGAGAAAGATTTCACAGTAACTCCCAGATATGAAATTTGCATGTCTAGAAGAAATGGTGTTATCATCAATTGAGGAGACTACAGATGGAGAAACACTCTCTAGTCCCTTGTTCCTCAGTCATAGACATGACTACTCAAATTATTTCCTTAAATGTCAGTTGGAGCACGCCAGTCACTCCTCTGATCAAAAACATTTAATGCACATTGAGCATGATGGCTCATGCCTGTAATTCCAGCACTTTGGGAGGCTGAGGCAGGAGGATCGCTTGAGCCAGCAGTTTGAGACCAATCTGGAAAACATAACAAGACCCTGTCTCTACAAAAAAGTAAAAAGTTAGCTGGGCATGGTGGTGCATGCTCATGGTCCCAGCTACTTGGGAGGCTGAGGCAAGAGGCTTGATTGAGCCCAGGAGGTTGAGGCTGTAGTGATCTATGATCCTGCCACTGCACTTTAGCCTGAGAGATAGAGACCTTGTCTCATACAAAACAAAACAAAAGCAAAACTGTTTAATGCTACCTCATTGCTTGTAGAAGAAAACCCAAACCCTTTAGTAAGATACTTCAGGTGTGCCATAATCTGGCTCCAATATACCTTCTAGTTTCCTTTGCACTCCATGCCCCTGACCTATGGGACTATAATGCATTTCCAGGACACACTGTGGCCTCCGTCCTTTACCAGTTATATGACCTTGGGTAAGTTCCTTAAACTCTCTGTGCCTCATATCCTTACTTGTAAAATGGAGATAATGGCATCTTCCTTATGGGGTTTTTGTAAGGATTAAGGACATCCAAATCACTTAGAATAGAGTTGGCACATAGTTAAGGATCACTCAAAAAATTTTCTTAATTGATTGTAATGCTTTTCCCTGTTTTTTTATTTTTTATTTATTTTTATTTTAATTTTATTAAGAGACATAGTCCCAGCCTTCTAGGAATTTTCAGTTTACTTGTGAAGAGTAAGAGAGGCAGATGTTGTAAGCCCTTGAAGGTAGAGACTGAGAGGCTTAGATTTTTTCTTTTTTCTTTTTTTTTTTCCTGAAAGTGACTATTACAGAATTTTGAGCAGGGAAGTGATGTAACTGGATATGTGTTTTAGCAATATCACTGTATCATCAGTGTGGACAATGGGCTGAAAGGGGGAAGATGAGTTTAGTTTTACACATACTGAATTTGAGGTGCTAGTGGAATTTCTAAGTAGAGATAATTAGTAGGAGGTAAGGAGCCATGTATGTACTTTTAAATTTCTAATACCCACATTTTAAAAAGTAAACAGATGGGTACAAAATATATTTAGAAAGAATGAGTAAGACAGTATTTGACAGCACAACAGGGTGACCATAGTCAATAATAACTTAATTGTACATTTAGAAATAACTAAAAGAGGCTGGGTGCGGTGGCTCACGCCTGTAATCCCAGCACTTTGGGAAGCCAAGGTGGGCAGATCATCTGAGGTCAGGAGTTTGAGACCAGCCTGGCCAACATGGTGAAACCCCTTCTCTACTAAAAATACAAAAATTAGTCAGGTGTGGTGGTGCGTGTCTGTAGCCCCAGCTACTCAGGAGGCTGAGGCGGGAGAATCACCGGGACCCCGGAGGTGGAGGTTGCAGTGAACCAAGATCATGCCACTGCATGCCAGCCTAGGTGACAGAGCCAGACTCTGTCTCAAAACAAAACAAAACAAAAAAACAAAACTAAAAGAGTACAATTGGATTGTTTGTAACACAAAGGATAAATGCTTGACGGGAAGGATACCCCATTTACCATGATGTGATTGTTGTGTATCGCATGCCTGTATCAAAGTATCTCATATACCCCATAAATATATACAACTACTATGTACCCACAAAAGTTTTTTTAAAAAACTAAACAGAAACACATAAAGTTGATTTTTTCTAATGTTATGCCATTAACCTAAGTAAAATTGATTTTAATGATACATTTTATTTAACCCAAAAATATTTATTTTTATTATACCTAAAAATATTAATATTTCAGCATGTAATCCATATAAAATTTAAGATTTTTTCTTTTTTTCTTTTTTTTTTTTTTTTGAGACGGAGTCTCGCTCTGTCTGTCGCCCAGGCTGAAGTCCAGTGGCACGATCTCAGCTCACTGCAAACTCTGCCTCCCAGGTTCACGCCATTCTCCTGCCTCAGCCTCCCGAGTAGCTGGGACTACAGGTGCCCGCCACCACGCCCAGCTAATTTTTTTGTATTTTTAGTAGAGATGGGGTTTCACCTTGTAAGCCAGGATGGTCTCGATCTCCTGACCTCATGATCTGCCCGCCTCGGCCTCCCAAAGTGCTGGGATTGCAGGCGTGAGCCACTGCGCCCGGCCCTATTTTTTTTTTTCATACTAAGTCTTTGAAATATGGTGTGTATCTCAATTTGAGCTATCCACATGTCAATTTTTTCATAATCACATGTAACTAATTGTTATCACATTGGACAGTTCAGATACAGACCTTAAAAGAGAGGTCAGGACTACAAATAAACATATGGGAGTCATCAGTGTTCAAGTGTGATATGTCTTGCAATGAGAGTGTGTTAGCTCAGCAAATTAGAGGGTGTGGAATAAAGGAAAAGGATAAGGAAATATCAGAGATGGTAGAAAGAAGAAGAAGATGGCTGGGCGTGGTTGCTCACGTCTGTAATCCCAGCACTTTGGGAGGCCGAGGCAGGCAGATCACAAGGTCAGGAGTTCGAGACCAGCCTGCGCAACATGGAGAAACCCTGCTTCTACTAAAAATACAAAAAATTAGCCGGGCATGGTAGCACACGCCTGTAATCCCAGCTACTCAGGAGGTTGAGGCAGGAGAATCTCTTGAACCCGGGAAGCGGAGGTTGCAGTGAGCTGAGATCGTGCCACCGCTCTCCAGCCTGGGTGACAGAACGAGACTCCGTCTCAAAAAAAGAAAGAAGAAAGGCCCGTAAAAGAAAGTTTGAAAATAAATAGAGCATAAATTGGGAGCAAGTATTATCACGGAAACCAAGGAAGAAGGAGTTTTGAGAAGATAGAGTAGTCAACAAGGTCAGGTGCTCTGAGATATATATTTATTATATGAATTTGTTTTTCCAGAGACAGGGTCTCATTCTGTTGTCTAGGCTGGACTCAAACTCCTGGGCACAAGCAATCCTGCTTCAGCCTCCTAAGTAGCTGGGACTACAGACACACACCACCTTGCCCAGCTATACGTGATGTTTATATAGATATTATGATAAGGGTTTGGCCACCTCTGATAGGAATTATTTAAGTAAAGTAAATTGCCTATTTAATAATTATTATGATAGGAATTATTTAAATATAAGTGGATTGCTTCTGGTGAGGTAGTTATTGGGAGTAGATACCATTTCCTCATTCTGTGCATAGATGTAAAATATTATTGTTCAATTTCATTACAAACTATGTGTATTGCTTTTCTATGAACTTATCCCACAGTCACAGTGACCAATCATTTATCCCGACTGGCCTGGAACAATTCCAGTTTAAGCCTGCTTTTCAAATATAATCTTTTCTATGGCCTTTTTAATTCTCAGAAGTGTCCCAGTTTGGATAAGAAATTATTTGGCTACCCCATATGAGTCGATGTAACTTTCTTTCTTCTTTGAGATGGAGTTTCGCTCTTGTTGCCCAGGCTGGAGTGCAATGGCACAATCTCGGCTTAGTGCAACCTCCGCCTCCCGGCTTCAAGCGATTCTCCTGCCTCAGCCTCCCAAGTAGCTGGGATTATAGGCATGCACCACCACACCTGGCTAATTTTTTGTATTTTTAGTAGAGACAAGGTTTCACCACGTTGGCCAGGCTGGTTTCGAACTCCCGACCTCAGGTGATCCACCCGCCTCAGCCTTCCAAAGTGCTGGGATTAGAGGCATGAGCCGCCGTGACCAGCCGTTGATGTAACTTTCAACACTTAGAGCCCAACTGTGAAGCTGCCCATCGGGATATACTAATGGCTAGGGAAGTGCTTGAAACAAATGTAGGTACCACTTACTATAGTTTTAACTGCCTCCCAGCTAGGTCAGGGCTTCTCTTTTCACTCTCTTGATGTTTTCTGAAGGGAAATTAAATCAGCAAGATCTGCCAAATAAGACTGTGACTGAATCTTCTTTGTGACCCCAAATACATCTACATATCCCCACCCTATCCACACCACGAGGATGATGAAGATGATGAAAGTGATTTATGATGCACTTGTTATGTGCCAGATGATCTCCTATGCAACTTACATGTATTTATTTACTACTTACGACAATCTTACGAAGGAGGAGTGCTAATTATTCTCATTTTACAAATGAGGAAGGTCATCAGACAGGATCTGGACCAATGCAGCTTGCCTTCAGAGCCTATGCTCTTCACCACGACTTTGTACTGCCTTGTAATATCATCTTGCTTTTCACATGCCCCTTCCTTCCCTTTCTCATCTCCAGTAGCTTTCTCACTGGCACCTACAACTGAATTAAACCTTTCAATGGGGGAATATTGTTTGTTTTTATAATTGCAGTATTAATTATTTGAATTATGGAAGATGATATACAAAGAACGACAAGAGATCTTTATTATCTAGTCATTATTGCAGAATTTGATATTTCGCTTTTTTATGAGATGAAGATGTGTCAATGATTTTGTGTTTTTCTTTTAAAGGGGCCATAGTTTTTTTTTTTTTTTTTGAGACAGAGTCTCATTCTGTCACCCAGGCAGGAGTGCAGTGGCATGATCTTGGCTCACTGCAACCTCTGCTTCCCAGGTTCAAGTGATTCTCCTGCCTCAGCCTCCCGAGTAGCTGGGATTACAGGTGAGTGCCACCACGCCTGGCTAATTTTTGTATTTTTAGTAGAGACGGGGGTTCACCATGTTGGTCAGCTGGTCTCAAACTCCTGACCTCATGATCTGCCTTCCTCGGCCTCCCAAAGTGCTGGGATTACATGCGTGAGCCACTGCACCCAGCCTCATAGTAATTTTTTGATAACTCATTTTGAGAGCCTTCTCAGAACGGACAGTTTTTGGGGGAAAAAATGAATACAGAATTTTTAGTAACTACTTATAATTATGATCTATTACTACATTCCCCAAAATATAGCAGCTTAAAATAACAAACACTTATTTTCCCATAGTTTCTGTGGATCGGGAATTCAGAAGGGGCATATCTTGGCAGTTCTTGCTCAGCATCTTTCATGACGTTACAGGCAAGCTGTTGATTGGGGCTGTGGTCATCTGAAGCCTTGACTGGGGCTCACTTACTTGGCTTTTTGGAGGTGGCCTGAGTTTATTGTCACATAGATCTTTCCATAAGACTGCTTAAGAGCCCTTATGACATGGAAGCTGACTTGCCAGAGCAAGTGATAGAAGAGGAAGCGCAAGAAAGAAATCACAAAGTTTTTTAGCCAGGCATGGTGGCTCACGCCTGTAATCCCAGCACTTTGGGAGGCTGAGGCAGGCAGATCACCTGAGGTCGGGAGTTTGAGACCAGCCTGACTAATATGGTGAAACCCTGTCTCTACTAAAAATACAAAAATTAGCCTTGCGTGGTGACCAGTACCTGTAGTCCCAGCTACACGGGAGGCTGAGGCAGGAGAATTGCTTGAACCTGGGAGGCGGAGGTTGCAGTGAGCCGAGATTGCGCCACTGCACTCCAGCCTGGGAGACAGAGCGAGACTCCGTCTCAAAAAAAAGAAAAAAGAAATCGCATTTTTTTTTTTGAGATGGAGTTTTACTCTTGTTGCCCAGGCTAGAATGCAATGGCAAGATCTCAGCTCACTGCGACCTCTGCCTCTCGAGGTCAAGCGATTCTCCTGTCTCAGCCTTGGGCATATGCCACCATGCCTGGCTAATTTTTGTATTTTCAGTAGAAACAGGGTTTCTCCATGTTGGCCAGGCTGGTATTGAACTCTTGACCTCAGGTGATCCCCCTGCCTCAGCCTCCCAAAGTGCTGGGATTACAGATGTGAGCCACCGCGCCCGGCAATCACAAAGTTTTTTATGACCTAGTTTCATCATGTACTATCACTTCTGTAGCATCTGTTGGTCACACAAGCCAACCCTGATGCAATGTGGGAGTGCACTATATAAGGATGTGAATACCAGAAGATAAGGATACCAGAAGGATCACTGGGGGCCATCTTGGAGGCTAGCTTCCACAATCTACCCTATATTAACATTGCTCTCACATGCAAAATGTACTCACTTTCCCCCAAGATTCTCAAAAGTCCCATTTAATTGCAGCATCACTTCAAAGTTTAGAATTTCATTGTATAAATCAGGTTCAGCTGTAAATGAGACTTCTCAGGTTTAGTTTCATAAGCACAGCTCCCTGAGTACTGTTTCTCTTGATCTGAAGACCTTTGAACTAAAGAAACAAGTTAGCTTCCTCCATGCATACTCAACATAAAATGGTAGGACAGGCATAAGTTAACTGCTACACAGACACTCCTATTCAGAAAAGGGGAATAGGGAAGTAACACAAGAGTAACTGGTCCTTAGCAATTCTGAAATTCAGTTAAGCACTGATTGGCTTTTCCATGATTAGGTCTCAAAGCCTGAGAATAATGTTCTACCTTCTTGGCTCTTATTTCCACCCTCTGAGTCATCTTTCTTTTTTCACGAAAGATAACATGTTTTTGCAACCAAGTAGCTTTTTTTTAATCTGCTTTCTGCTGGTAGAAGTTTCAAGGTGGGGGATCCAGAGGTCTCTTTTCATTTTGTACTGTCTATGTCACTTTCAGTCCAAGCTGGTAAGTGTTTCTGCCACTGTAATTCTCTTCTGCTAATATAATTCTCCAGATATCTCCTGTCTTCCTCATGGCCATGTATATTGTTGGAAATGAGCCCCATTCCAGTTCCAGAGGTTGAAATTTGCTGATTTAATCCAAACATAATAGTTTCATTCACCTTGCCAAGGATTAAGACTTGGTCAAGTGATGCCATCTGGCCAGTGAGACAGAAGGGGAAGATTGTTTAGGGGTTACTGTGAAAGGTTTTCTTTTCTGACAAAAGGATCTCCAGGGAAGAAAGCATCTCTCTTCTACTAGACATTGGTATGCCTGCATAACATAGTTGTCATTTCATGGTTTTGAGTCTGGCAGAAGAAAAAGATGGAAAGCACTTAGGTTCTTCATTATATAATTGTGCGACTGAATTAATCAATGCTGGAAAACGAAATTTTCTTTATTTTAAAATCGGTTGCGGGAGGCTGAGGCAGGAGAATCACTTGAACCCAGGAGGCGGAGGTTGCGGTGAGCTGAGATGGCGCCATTGCACTCCAGCCTGGGCAACAAGAGCGAAACTCCATCTCAAAAACAAACAAACAAACAAACAAAAAATCAGTTGCTAATTGTGGACATGAATTTCAAGTGAAACCTAGTCAGTATGGCTGTATGGTTGTTTTTTGGGGGGAATGTGAGCCAACTGCTCAGGTGAAGATGGAGAAAGTGGATAATGAGGTACAAGCAAGGTTATGTGATTAAGTGTTTGCCAAGTACAGTGGGTGTCCTTCACAAAGAGGGGACTATAATTGTGGTATTTCTTTTCTCTTTCCTTTCCCCCCTCACCCCTTTCCACTATCCCCACCTCTTCCCTGTGTCCCTACTCCTCTCTCCTGTCTTCTTCCCTTTCAGTTTTCCTCATTCAATATTCCCTTCCCCTTCCTCCTTCTCCTCCTTATTCTCAGTCTCGGAGCTACCATTTGTTTGTATGCATTGCCTTATTCAGTTCTCATAAAGACCCTGTCTAATAGGTACAGATAATATTCTCAGTATTTAGTTGAGAGATTAAGCAACTTGGTCATAATTATGCACCTAAAAAGTGGCCACTAGGCATCTAGCTCAAGCCTATATGATTCCAAAGTCTGTGCTTTAACCACTATGCAGGAGTGAAAGGAACTCTTCCACAAGAAGGACAATTTGCTAGCTGTCCGTGTTAAACTGGTTAAGTTCATATACCTAACTGGTGGATATAAACAGAAAACTAGGGTCAAAGCTGTAATTCTTGTGGGAGTCAACATTGTAGCTTTAAAAAAATCAAATTTTAAATGGTTATTTTCCTTTAAAATGAAGGAAATGGAAACCCAAAAGTTTAAAACAGGATCAAGATTCTAATTTCTCTAACTGGTTGTTTGCCTCCGTACAGACCCGATTATTTTGCCACAGTTTAGGTAGCTAGATGAGTAAAATTTCAGTCCCAGATCCTCTCACCCACCCCCACCTATAATGAACTGTTAAAAGGGTGGCAACCACCTCTGACATTTCTCTTTTTTCCTAGAATACTTTACACCATGCCATGGCCAAGAGACCTAAGGGGATGAATCTTTGTTTACTAGTGTCCTGATTATGCAGTTGTTTAATAGGAGTCATATTTAGTTTTGACAAGTATCTTTCCTTTTTAGAAATAGGAAATTGGTCTCAAAAATGCTTATGGAGTCTTCTGTTTCTGGTGATCTTATCAGTCTATAACCCATTGGGACTTCTTAGGAATTCAAGTTTTTTTGAAGACAGTGCCTTAAAGAGGAAAATGTTTTCTTTGTGATCTGATTTGGGTGTTGTTTAGAGAAAGTGAAATTTAGTTTGGAGGTAGGCAGTCCTCTTGTCCCAAGGCATTTACAGTTTTTGAATATTCACTTCTACTTATTTAAAAGCCTTAGAGGAAAACAGCTATACCTACTTTTTGTTATGTAAATTAATGTACATACTGACTGGAATTGTTTATATAGAGGATTTTGACTGTGGTATTGTTTGCCTAAGGAAGAAAACATGGTAACAATCTTGTCATGCAATATTTACAGTCTGCAAGCAGTATATATTTAGGGAATCTTGCTAAAATATTGCATGACAGGAGATTTCAATAAGCATGTTTAAATGAATTCTAAGAAACCAGACAGAAAGGAAATATGCCTCTTTGGTTCTGAAACATTTATCTCCCTGGGTGGAAAAGGGTAGGGGTAAGCCTTTGAATGATAGATAGTCCAACAGAAAAATTCACATTCATCTGTGGTTTAATGTGTTCCCTAAATGTCTTAATTGCTTTTAAAGCCCTGTAAATAAATAACATTCAAAGGATGTAAATTAATATCCTAAGAAAATGACTTTCCTGATCTAAGGGCTCCTATTTCAAGTAATATTTATAAGGTACTGCTTATAATTTTCAGCCTAGAATGAAGAAACCTGCAGTTGGGAAGCATGAATTTACCACCTATTAAGGTAGGAACATCTTTGTCTTGTTTTGTTTTTCCAAGAGGCTTATCCTTGCCCTAGGTATTCACATGTTATTTTACAAAGGAAGGAAGGATCAACTCTTCCAGGGAGAGGACAGGCTTAAGGAGAACCCCAGAGAATCTTGGATTGCTAGATCTTAGTGGCAATCACAGCACTTTGAAAATGAACTCAACATAACCATATTTCTTTTATTTCTGAACAAAACGTTTTCTGCCTTATATAAAGAGGTTAAAAAAAAGTTTGTTTTAAATTAGCATCGATTTTCTGAATTAAAAGTGAATGCATCTGATCATAATGTTTCCTGCTCTCCTCTCAAATAGTTAAAACATGACTGGGTGCGGTGGCTCACACCTGTAATCCTAGCACTTTGGGAGGCTGAGGTGGGTGGATCACCTGAGGTTGGGAGTTCGAGACCAACCTAACCAACATGGAGAAACCCTGTCTCTACTGAAAAAAAAATACAAAATTAGCCGGGTGTTGTGGTGCATACCTGTAATCCCAGCTACTCAGGAGGCTGAGGCAGGAGAATCGCTTGAACCCGGGAGGTGGAAGTTGCAGTGAGTTGAGATCGCGCCATTGCACTCCAGCCTGGGCAACAAGAGCAAAACTCCATCTCAAAAAAAAAAAAAAAAAAAGAAAGAAAAAGAAAGTTAAAACAGAAATCTATAAACTACCATTTTGGAGAAGTTTTAATATTGAACTTTGATTCATAAAACTCAGCTTATTCTCTCATTCTTGCATCTAGGAGTGACCCCTTCTTCCTCCTCCCCAACACATGAAGCTTCTGTGATATTTCGAACTTTGACCATGACTCATGATGAGAAATACATTTTATATCATGACCCAGTATATATAAAATACATGTAACTACGTATATACATACATGAAACACAAGTTTCACAGGACAAAATTCACATCGTGTAATACCACATTGTTTTCTATTCTAGTAAAAAAAAGAATGCTAGTCAGACCCACAAAATTGATTTCATGGCCCACTAATGAATTGGGACTAACAGTGTGATAAAACACTATCAAGATTTTAAGGCCGGGCGCGGTGGCTCACGCCTGTAATCCCAGCACTTTGGGAGGCTGAGGCGGGTGGATCACGAGGTCAGGAGATCGAGACCATCCTGGATAGCACAGTGAAACCACGACTCTACTAAAAATACAAAAAAATCGCTGGGTGCGCACCTGTAGCTACATGGGAGGCTGAGGCAGGAGAATGGCGTGAACCTGGGAGGCAGAGCTTGCAGTGAGCCAAGATGGCGCCACTGCACTCCAGTCTGGGCAACAGAGCAAGACTCTGTCTAAAAAAAAAAAAAAAAAAAAAGATTTTAAGAAGTAATAGAATTAAAGAAGCATATTCTTATTCACTCTGGGGAATGCCAAAGCGAAATAAAACCTCCCTTCCTTTATGTTGCCCTCCACATTTTTACCTAACTACTTATTTTCTTCACATGTTATACTCAGATCTGGGATTTTACAGACTGAAAGATGGAAAGGCGGCCAGGTGAGGTGGCTCATGTCTGTAATCCCAGCATTTTGGGAGGCCATAGTGGGTGGATCACCTGAGGTCAGGAGTTCGAGACCAGCCTGGCCAACATGGTGAAACCCCCGTCTCTACTAAAATACAAAAATTACCTGGACATGGTGGTATGTGCCTGCAGTCCCAGCTACTTGGGAGGCTGAGGCAGGAGAATTGCTTGAACCTGGGAGGCGGAGGCTGAAGTGAGCCAAGGTCATACAACTGCCCTCCAGCCTGGGCGACAGAGCAAGACTCTGTCTTAAAAAAAAAAAAAGAAAAGAAAAGAAAGAAAGATGGAAAGACAATTTAAAAAAACGACTTTATTTTTTAGAGCAGTTTTAGGTTTACAGCAAAACTGAGAGGAAGATACAGAGATTTCCCATATACCCGCTGCCTGCACACATGCATAGCCTCTCCCATTATCACCATGTCACATCAGAGTGGGGCATTTGTTACAACTGATGAACCTACAGAAATCCCATCTTATCCTCAGTTTCAGTTATCCATGGTCAATTGCTGTTTGAAAATATTAAATGGAATATTCCCGAAATAAACAATTGATAAGTTTAAACTGTGTGCCATTCTGAGTAGCATGTTGAAACCTTGTGCTGTCCTGTTCCATCCTGACTGGGATGTGAATCATCCATTTGTCCAGTGTATCCCTGCTGTATACACTCCCCACATATTGGTCTCGGTTACCAGATTATGCTGAGATACTGTGACAGTATATCAGGGCTTGTGCTCAAATAACACTTATTTTACTTAATAATGGCCCCAGGCTGGGTGTGGTGGCTCACACAGGCAATCCAGCACTTTGGGAGGCCAAGACATGAGGATCCTTTGAGCCCGGGAGTTTGAGGCAGCAGTGAGCTATGATGGTGCCACTGCACTCCGGCCTGGGCAACAGAGAAAAACCCTATTTCAAAAAAAAAAAAAAAGTAAAAAGGCCCCAAAGTGCAAGGGTAGTGATGCTGGCAATTTGGATATGCCAAAGAGAAGCCATAAAGTACTACCTTTCAGTGAAAAGGAGAAAGTTCTCTAATTAATAAAAAAGAAAAAAAATTGCATGCTGATGTTGCTAGGATCTATGGTAAGAACAACTCTTCTATCTGTGAAATTGTGAAGAATATAAAGAGGGCTTGATACTATCTGTGGTTTCAGGCATCCACTGGGGATCTTGGAATGTATCTTCCTCTGATAAGGGGGAGCTACTGTACATTGACAAATCCTTACCACCCAAACTCCATAGCTTACTTTAGGGTTCACTTTTGGTGTTGTACATTCTATGGGTTTGCGTAAATGCATAATGACATATCTCCATCATTATAGTGTCATACAAGGTATTTTCATTGCCCTAACAATTCTCTGTACCCCACCTATATTCATCCTCTCCCTAAAACCTAGTAACCACTGATCTTTTTGCTGTCTCCATAGTTGCCTAGAAAGGAAATTTTTATTAGGGCTAGCTTCAGGAGGGGAGGAAGTTGAAGCCAGGAAGTGTCTTATAGAATAAATGATCTGTTAATGAATGAAACAGCCATAACATGAGTATGATTATCAGATTCTTGCTGGATACACTTTCTTTTTTTATTAATTTTTTATTTTTTCTGAGACAGAGTCTTGTTCTGTCGCCCAGGCTGGAGTGCAGTGGCACAATCTCAGCTCACTGCAACCTCTGCCTCGGATGCGCTTTAAACCTATTGTAGAGGCCGGGCGCAGTGGCTCATGCCTGTAATCCCAGCACTCTGGGAGGCCGAGGCGGGCAGATCACCTGCTGTTGGGAGTTTGAGACCAGCCTGACCAACATGGAGAAACTCCGCCTCTACTAAAAATACAAAATTAGACGGGCATGGTGGTGCATGCCTGTAATCCCAGCTACTAGGGAGGCTGAGGCAGGAGAATCTCTTGAACCTGGGAGGCAGAGGTTGCAGTGAGTCGAGATCGTGCCATTGCACTCCAGCCTGGGCAACTAGAGTGAAACTCCATCTCAAAAACAAACAAACAAACAAACAAACAAACAAAAAACCGATTGTAGAGGTAGTCTTTTATTTTATTGTTTTATTTTTTATTTTTTGAGACAGAGTCTCGCTCTGTCACTCAGGCTGGAGTGCAGTGGCGTGATCTCCACTCACTGCAACCTCCGCCTCCCGGGTTCAAGAGATTCTCCTGCCTCAGCCTTCCGAGTAGCTAGGACTACAGGCGTGTGCCACCATGCCCGGCTAATTTTTTGTATTTTTAGTAGAGACGGGGTTTTGCAGTGTTAGCTAGGATGGTCTCAATCTCCCGACCTTGTGATCCGCCCGCCCTGGCCTCCCAAAGTGCTGGGATTACAGGCATGAGCCACTGCACCTGGCTGTAGAGGTAGTCTTTTATTGTAGCTATACTTATTTTATGTGATAGATGAGTCTTTAGAATGCTTATCTAAATACATTAATGAGAATGTATTTATTAAATGTTTATTAGGATACATTTAATGTTTCTGAATGGCCTTACTTTTTGTTTTGTTTTGAGACAGAGTTTCATTCCTGTTGCCCAGGCTGCAGTACAATTGGTGCAATCTCGGCTCACTGGTGATCTCGGCTTACTGCAACCTCCGCCTCCCGGGTTCAAGCGATTCTCCTGCCTCAGCCTCCCAAGTAGCTGGGATTACAGGCATGTGCCACCACGCCTGGCTAATTTTGTATTTTTAGTAGAGATGGGGTTTCTCCATGTTGGTCAGGCTGGTCTCGAACTCCCGACCTCAAGTGATCTGCCCGCCTTGGCCCCCCAAAGTGCTGGGATTACAGGCATGAGCCACTATGCCCGGCTACTTTTAGTTTATTTTATTTTTTTGAGATGGAGTCTTGCTCTGTCACCCAGGCTGGAATGCAGTGGCGTGATCTCGGCTCACTGCAACCTCCGCCTCACGGGTTCAAGCAATTCTCCTGTCTCAGCCTCCCAATTAGCTGGGATTACAGGTGCGTGCCACCATGCCCGGCTAATTTTTGTATTTTTAGTAGAGGCGGGATTTCACCATATTGGCCAGGCTGGTCTTGAACTCCTGACCTCATGATCTACCCACCTCGGCCTCCCAAAGTGCTGGAATTACAGGCATGAGCCACCATGCCCAGCCAACCCGGCTACATTTTAAGTATAGTTTATAGCTATTTAAAGGAATCCCCTTTTAAAAAATTCACCAAATTTCTAAAATTCACAAATTCTTTTGCATTATAGCAAATAATACTAGAATGTCAACTCCAGAAAGGCAGTGATCTTTGTGTATTTCGTTCACTGGTATATCCCTGACTCCTAGAATACTACCTGACACATACCTGGTACTCATTAAATATGTGTTCAGTGAATCTATACATAGAGTTTCCTAAAAGTTTCCCAAACAGGGACGCTGCTATATTCATATGGAATGGAAGGTTATACAGTGTTGCTGTGATAAGGTCAGCATTCCTTATCATATTGTCTAGAAGACCTTTGAGCCAAGATCACATTTAAAATAACCTCATTAAATTAGAATTGGTGCTTTAAGTGAAGCAATTGATGCAGAGAAAAGAAGAACAAATAACCAGTGGGAGACAAAAGAAATTCTAATATGAATAATAATATCAACCATTTATTGAGTGCTTAATAGCTTCACAGGGAGGGAGGAATATTATCATTCAGTTCTCACAACTCTGAGAAGCAGATACTATTTTTAGCTCCTTTTGGAAGAATTTGAGATTTGGAGGACTTAAGTAAATAGCTCAAAGTTACATAGCTAGTAAGTAATTAAACTGGAATTTGAACCCAGGTCCAATGTTTTAAACATAATAGTACTTGAGGTTGAAGCTCATTAAGATCCTGGAGTCAGACCGGACGCAGTGGCTCACGCCTGTAATCCCAGCACTTTGGGAGGCCAAGGCGGGCGGATCACCTGAGGTCAGGAGTTTAAGACCAGACTGGCCAACATGGAGAAACCCCATTTCTACTAAAAATACAAAAAAAAACACAAAAAAACAAAAACAAGCAGAAAAAGATCCTGAAGTCACCTTATACATTACAGTTTGAAATCCATGTATTTGGCTTTTTTTTTTTTCATTCATTTAGGCAAATGAATAGAGAACCTATAAAACACCAGGTATTAGATATGTAGTGGTAACCAAACAGACATGGTCACGCTCTCTCCACCATAGGGTCTGATGGAGCAGACAGATAAAAGACAAGAAACAACAAAGTACAAAATGTGATAAAGAGGCCGGGCATGGTGGCTCATACCTATAATCCCAGCACTTTGGAAGGCTGAGGTGGGTGGATCACCTGAGGTCAGGAGTTTGAGACTAGCCTGGCCAACATGGTGAAGTCCTGCCTCTACTAAAAATACAAAAATTAGCAGGGCGTGGTGGCTCATGTCTGTAATCCCAGCTACTTGGGAGGCTGAGGCAGGAGAATTGCTTAAATCTGGGAGGTGGAGGTTGCAGTAAGCAGAGATTGCACCACTGCACTCCAGCTTGGGTGACAGAGCGAGACTCCGTCTCCAAAAAACACCACCTCCAAAAAAAACATGATAAACAAGGAAAAGTGTTATGATAGAAAATATAGTATCCATAGTGGATTAGTTTCACAGCCCCCTCACCATAACGAAATCCATGAATACTGAAGTCCCTTATATAAAATGGTGTGGTATTTGCATATAACCTACACACATTCTCCCATACACTTTAAATCATCTCTGGATTACTTATAATACATAATAGAATGTAAATGTTATGTAAATAGTTATTATACTATATTGTATATTGTTTAGGGAACAATGACAAGAGAAAATCTATACATATTCAGTATAGATTTTATACATGCATGTGTGTGTGTGTATATATATATATTTAAATTTAATTATATATAGTTTTTGAGACAGAGTCTCACTCTGTCGCCCAGGCTGGAGTGCAGTGGCGCGATCTTGGCTCACCGCAATCTCCACCTCTCGGGTTCAAGTGATTCTTGTGCCTCAGCCTCCCAAGTAGCTGGATTACAGGCATGCACCAACACTCCTGGCTAATTTTTATGTTTTTTTTTAGAGATGGGGTTTCACCATGTTGACCAGGCTGTTCTTATACTCCTGACTTCAGGTGATCCGCCTGCCTTGGCCTCCCAAAGTGTTGGGATTACAGGCATGAGCCACGGAGCCCCGCCTGAGAAATTCTTTTTTTTTTTTCTTTTTGGGAGACAGAATCTCACTCTGTCACCCAGGCTGGAGTGCAGTGGCATGATCTCGGCTCACTGCAAACTCCACCTCCTGGGTTCATGCCATTCTCCTGCCTCAGCCTCTCGAGTAGCTGGGATGACAGGCACCCGCCACCACACCTGGCTAATTTTTTGTATTTTTAGTAGAGATGGGGTTTCACTGTGTTAGCCAGGATGGTCTCGATCTCCTGACCTCGTGATCTGCCCACCTTGGCCTTCCAAAGTGCTGGGATTACAGGCATGAGCCCGGACAGAGAAATTCTTAATTTCTTACTTGGTAAACCTATTGTATCAAATGAAATGTCAATATTCTAATCAAACTACTCTGTTTCCCTTTACTATTATCTAGCATTCTAACACCTTTTCAAGAGTGCGTGCATTTTCTTTGGTAATTTCTCTTTTGAAAATATCCAGCTCGCCGCCCCCACCACCCACCACACAGTAACTATATGAGGAGATAGACATATTAATGAGCTTGACTGTAGTCAAGCTAATGTATATCAAAACATATTGTACATTTTATTTTATTTTGATCTCTTATGTGTATAGCCATGTACATTTTAAATATATACAGTTTTTATTAAAAAAAAAAAGAAAATGTCCAGTGTTTTATTCCCACACTGTCTCTATAATACATTGGTTGGCATTCAGAAATAATTTACTGAAGTCTTACACTAAGTGGCTTAAAAACGGAGCCTAACCTAATGAACTTGCCGACTACTAGCAGAGTTAAGACGCTTAAAATGTTAGTAAGCCCTATGGGCAAGTAACAAGAGAAAAAAAATAATAATGTTAGTAAACCCTAATACCAAACCAGGGTTCCTAGCAGTTACGTTCTAATGCACACGATATTTTTAAAAAGGTTTTAAGGTTTTAAAAATGTATATTGAAAACACTTTTGTCTTTTATTTCAAAATTTTAGCATTTACCAATATCAAACAAGTTTGGGTACAGATGGTCTCATGGGAATGGGAAAGTAAGCTTTCTTGGAGATGGCATCCTAAGAAGAGGGTTAGTTTTATACATAACAAAATTATAGATGTGAGTACTTAAGGCCAACTATAAGACAGAACATTGGCCAGGCGCGGTGGCTCACGCCTGTAATCCCAGCACTTTGGGAGGCTGAGGTGGGCGGATCACGAGGTCAGGAGATCAAGACCATCCTGGTTAACACGGTGAAACCCCGTCTCTACTAAAAATACAAAAAAAAAAAAAAAATTAGCCGGGCGTGGTGGCGGGCGCCTGTAGTCCCAGCTACTTGGGAGGCTGAGGCAGGAGAATGGCATGAACCTGGGAGGTGGAGCTTGCAGTGAGCCAAGATTGCCCCACTGCACTCCAGCCTGAGCGACAGGCGAGATTCCATCTCCGAAAAAAAAAAAAAAAAAAGACAGAACATTAATGATACTAATTATATAAATGTTTTCTCAACTTCATATTTTTCTAAGATATAACAAAACTTTCATTATCCTATATATACATGTATATATAAACATGTGTATATAACATGTTTTAAATCTTGCATTATTTTGGACCAAACGAATAGGTCCATAAAACTGGTTCAATAGCTGAAAATAATGAGCTATTACTAATGGTTTTTGATCATCATAAATAATGAATATTATAATTTAAATGCGTTTTTTCCTTCTCCACTATCTTTTCTTTGTGGTACCATGTGTCATTTCTGAGTTCTCTTTTCTAAAGTACTCCAAAATTATTATGAAGTACTATAAAATTCATGAGATGTTATAAATAATCATAAGAAAATCTGTCTAATTACTTTATAGTGACATGCAACTTTTGATTCCCTAAATAGTACTAGCTCAATTATCCACTTGTTTTTGTTGTTGTTTGAGACAGTGTTTCGGTCTTGTGGCCAAGGCTGGAGTACAATAGTGCAATCTCGGCTCACTGCAACCTCTGCCTCCCGGGTTCAAGCGATTCTCCTGCCTCAGGCTCCCGAGTAGCTGGGACTACAGGCATGTGCCACCACACCCAGCTAACTTTTTGTATTTTTAGTAGAGACAGTATGGTCTCGATCTCCTGACCTCCTGATCCGCCCCGCCTTGGCCTCCCAAAGTGCTGGAATTACAGGCATAAGCCACTGCGCCCGGCCAATTATCCACTTTTCTACAACTCACTTTTAGAGGCTTTTGTCTAGAATTAGAGCCAGCATCAAATAATGACAATTTCTCATCCTTAAGGATGACCAATAGAATGTGCTTTAGTCTGCAAAGGCCTTTCCACACAGAATTCTAAAAATGCTTTGAGGATTTGAAAATAAGTTTATAACCTTCCAAAATGTTGTTTCAGAAAGACAACACTCATCAGGACAAGAAAAACAGCTTTAAACAACACCGATTTTTCTATATCTCTGTATCTGAAATATTTCCCATATAAACATAATGTATGTTACTGATGTGTGTGTGTACATGGGTGTGTGTGTGTGTGTGTGCATGTATGTGTATCCATCCCCACACCACGCCCCCACTGACACACACATACCACACCCATCATGTTCTCTGAGCTGTTGTATACTCTTGGTCTTTGAACTTTCAGGACATCTGAACTCTGGCCATCCACTCTCAATCCTCAGAGCTCTTTATCTTGCACTCCTGAGTTGAGTGTGTTAGGCAATGGATCTACTCTACTGTAGCCTCTCCCTGCCATTTATCCTGTGCTGTAGCAAACCTGTAATAGCTGACAAAAGACATACATGAATAGCACTTCGTTACAAAGTAACAAAGGAAGGGCATCATACTGGGTGTTAAAATGCATTTTCAAGGCAGCTTGAGGTGTCTTCAAGCGAAGGGTAGAGGAAAAGGAGTCAGGAACAGCCAGAAGCCCTTTCAACACTGGTAGAGCTCTTTGACATTATGAAGGGCATAATAAACATTACTGAAGTCTTGGAGGATTGACCGATAATTGTAGGAATGGTAGCACGAGGTGACTGTTACCTAAGGGATGCAGTGACTTCAGGGGATTTGAAGGGAACAATGCTGACTTACAAAAGCATCTCCACAGGGGCTATGCTAAACAACTACACATATACAGATTTAGTTTGCACACCTATTTCAGGAATGCAACCCACCCCCTCCCTTACCAGGACTAAACAGGATATTCATGCAATTAGCCTTTACTCTGGCAGAAAAACCTAATAATAGTCTGTGACATGAATTGGGAAGGTACCCGGATTTGCCATTTTCCTTAACGCTAAGGACAAATTATATAATTTGTGTTTTATTTTGCATTGGTTACTTAAAGTAGTAATCTCCTAAGTAGTGGTAAGTATAAATCAGATAAATGCAGTGTTTTGAGAGAAGAGTAGGAATTGCACAACACAGAGAGGCTTTCAGGGATCTTTCATTCTTTTGCTTGCTTCCAGCTTACTGAGCAGTAGTTGCAGTTAGCATTTTTTGGGTTAAGTAAATTTATAGATTATAATATGTAGTTAAAATAACCCTTAAAATTGTACCTATAATTTAAGCTTGAAAAGATTCTTGCAAAGAAATTTTGTTTTGCAGATGGTACTAATGATAAAATGGCAAAGCCAACTCTTTTTCCTTTTAATAGAGTTCTTCCTCAGCCACAATTACCAGATGAAAATAACGGTGATCTCATTAGAGCTCTTCTCTAACATATTACAAAATAAAGACAATGCAATGGTGATATCATTAGATCTGTCAAGAAATTGGACAAAAACTCAAAATTATCAAGAAGTTTTGAAATACGGATTTATCTTCACCATTATTGATAAACTTAATCCTAAGTATATTATACTTTCAGATAATTAATTCAACACTTTTTTGTTTTTTTTGAGATGGAGACTTGCTCTGTTATCCAGGCTGGAGTACAGTGGCAGGATCTTGGCTCACTGCAACCTCTGCCTCCCGGCTTCAAGCAATTCTCCTCCCTCAGCCTCCTGAATAGCTGGGATTACAGGAGCCCGCCACCACACCCAGCTAATTTTTGTATTTTTAGTAGAGACAGGGTTTCACCATGTTGGCCAGTCTGGTCTTGAACTCCTGACCTCGTGATCCACCCGCTTTGGCCTCCCAAAATGCTGGGATTACAGGCATGAGCCACCGTGCCTGGCCAACAAATCCTTATAGAGCACTTGTTGTAGGTCAGGCACAGTTCTAGGTGCTTGGGGTGCATCAGTGAAATGGGATTCCTACTCTAGTGGAGCTCACTTTCTACCAAGATAATAAGAGATAACAACATTTATACGTTATCTTAGAAGGTGGTTAAGTGCTAAGGAAAAAAGAAGAGGATAAAAGGGTTAAGAGTACTAGGAATGGTACTGTTGTAATTTTATTTATTTATTTATTATTTATTTATTTATTGAGACAGGGTCTCCTGCTGCCACCCAGGCTGGAGTGAATTGCAAACATTATGGCTCACTTCAGCCTCAAACTCCTGGGATCAAGCAATCTCCTACCTCAGCCTCCTGAGTAGCTGGTACTACAGGCGTGTGCCACCATGTCCAGCTAAGTTTTGTGGTTTTTTTAGAGATGGAGTCTCACTATGTTGCCCAGGCTGGTCTCAAACTCCTGGACCCAAGTGATTTGCCTGCCTCAGCCTCCCAAAGTGCTGGGACTACAGGCGCGGCCACAATTTTTAAATATGGTTGTTAAGGTAGGCCTTAAAGGTGACATTTGAGCAAAGATTTTAAGGGAAGTGTATATTTGGTATACTATCATCCTAAGATAAATGTGTATCTTTAAATTGGGATTTATAGTTATTGAAAATAGTATTATGAAAGTGCTGGGTCCATATTATGTACTAGTTTGAATAGCTATATAGAGGAAAGGTAGACTAATATTTATTAAATAGCCATTATGGGGCAGGTACTCATTAGGGTTTTTACATACATTCTGTTGTATAATTCTGTAAGATAAGTATTATCAATCCATTTTATAACCAAGGCTTATGGGTGCACAGTACCTTGTTTAAGGTCACACAGATATGTAGGAAGTAGAGCTGATGCTGGACATCTAATTCCAAATCCTGTTTTTTTTTTTTTTTTTAAGGTGGAGTCTCGCTTTGTTGCCCAGGGTGGAGTGCATGGCACGATCTCAGATCACTGCAAACTCTGCCTCCTGGGTTCACGCCATTCTCCTGCCTCTCAGCCTCCCGAGTAGCTGGGACTACAGGCGCCCGCCACCACGCCCAGCTAATTTTTTGTATTTTTTTAGTAGAGACAGGGTTTCACTGTGTTAGCCAGGATGATCTCCTGACCTCATGATCTGCCCACTTTGGCCTCCCAAAGTGCTGGGATTACAGGCGTGAGCCACCGCACCCGGCCTTTTTTTTTTTTTTTGAGACAGTGTCTCGCTGTGTGGCCCAGGCTGGAGTGCAGTGGCACGGTCTCGGCTCACGGCAACCTCCGCCTCCTGCGTTCAAGCGATTCTCCTGCTTCAGCCTCCTGAGTAGCTGGGACTAGAGGCACACGCCAACACGCCCGGCTAATTTTTGAATTTTTAGTAGAGATGGGGTTTCACCATGTTGGTCATCTCTGTTTCCTGACCTCGTGATCCACCTGCCTCGGCCTCCCAAAGTGCTGGGATTATGGGCGTGAGCCACCGCGCCCGGCCAAATCCTGTTCTTTTTTACAGTGCCCGGGCCTGCAAAGAAGTTTCTTCAATTGATCATTGCTGCTAGAAGAATAGGAGAATCGCGCTGAGGAAAATTCTTTTTTTTTTTTTTTTTTTTTTTTGAGATGGAGTCTCACTCTGTCACCCTGGCTGGAGTGCAGTGATGCAATATTGGCTCACTGCAACCTCTGCCTGTGGGTTCAAGCGATTCTCCCACTTCAGCCTCCCAAGTAGCTGGGACTACAGGTGTGCACCACCATGCTCAGCTAATTTAGCTAATTTTTGTATTTTTAGTAGAGATGGGGTTTCACCATGTTGGCCAGGTTGGTATCAAACTTCTGATCTCAAGTGATCCAGCCTCCCAAAGTGATGGGATTACAGGCATGAGCCACTGTGACTGGCTTGTGTTGAGGAAAATTCTGAGGCTAAATCTAGGATCCAGCCAAAAGAAATACTTTGATCAATGTAATATGTGATATATAACAAAGTGAGTACTAGCATGCTGGTTCTTGAGATGAACATCTTAAAAACAAATGAAAGATAATTTAGATACAGTGATGTCAATCTTGAGCAGTACTTTGAAAGGATCCATATTCCTTATAGCAATTCAATTTGTCTTTCTAAAACATACCTTGGATTGTTACTTTCCCAATAACCTTCAATATTCCACCTCTGTTAAATGAATAAGGTGTTACTGATGTGGCCTCAGCCTACCTATCCATCATCCTCCTTCTCTGCCCACCCCACCTTTTTTAAAATCTATGTGGTCTCCTCTGTCTAGATGCTTACATAGTCCATTAAAATTACCTACATTTCAAATTACAGCTTCCTAGAAAAGTAGAATGCTCTATTACTAGAAATTTCTACACAGAAAGTCGATGTCAGAGATAACATAGAAGGAATAACTGTACTATATTATGAGGCATACAAATTTAAAAATTTTAATTAAAATTTTAATAGAGATGGTATAATGTAGTGGTTATTAGACATCTTGGAGTTAACCTTGTACTCACTAATTGTGTCTGTTTTTATGCCAGTACTCTGCTCTTTTGATTAGGTCTGTAGTATATTTTCAAATCAGATAATATGATGTCTCCCACTTTGTTCTTTTTGCTCAAGATTGTTTTGGCTATTTGAGGTCTTTCATAGTTTGATATGAATTTTAAGATTATTTTTCTATTTCTATGAAAAGTGTCTTGGAATTTTGGTAGGGATTGCATTAAATCTATAGATTGCTTTGGGTAGTGTGGACATTTTAACAATATTAATTCTTTCAATCCATGAACATGAGATATCTTTCCATTTATTTGTGTTTTCAATTTCTTTTGTCAATTTTTTTTTTCAGTTTTCAGCATATAGATATTTCACCTGGTTAAATTAATTCCTAAGTATTTTATTTTTTGTAGCTTTTGTAAATGAAATTATTTTCTCAATTTCTTTTTGGGATAGTTTGTTGTTAGTGTATACAAATGCTACTGATTTTTATATGTTCATTTTGTGTCCTGCAACTTTACTGAATTTGTTTATTAGTTCTAACAGTTTTTTTGGGGGGGAGGCTTTAGAGTTTTCTATACATAAGATCATGTCATTTGCAAACAGACAATTTAACTCTTCCTTTCCATTGTGGATATCTTTTGTTTCTTTTTCTTGCCTAGTTGCTCTGGCTAAGACTTCCAGTACTATGCTGAATAGAAGTGGTAAAAACGGGCATCCTTTTTGTACCTGATCTTAGAGGAAATGCCTTCAACTTCTCACTGTTGAGTTTATTGCTAGCTGTGGGTTTGTCATATGTGGCCTTTATTGTGTTGAGGCACATTCCCTCGATACTTAATTTGCTGAAAATATTTATTTATTTATTTATTTTTGAGACAGAGTCTTGCTGTGTCACCCAGGCTAGAGTGCAGTGGCGTGATTTTGGCTCACTGCAACCTCCATCTCCCAGGTTCAAGCAATTCTCCTGCCTCAGCCTCCCGAGTAGCTGGGACTACAGGTGCATGCCACTATGCCTGGCTAATTTTTTGTATTTTAGTAGAGATGGGTTTCACCATGTTGGCCAGACTGGTCTTGAACTCCTGACCTCAGGTGATTCGCCTGCCTTGGCCTCCCAAAGTGCTAGGATTACAGGCATGAGCCACTGCACCCGGCCTCTTGTTACAGTTTTCTACTTTAAGTCTATGTTTTCTGATGTAAGTATAGCTATACTTGCTCTCTTGGTTTCCATTTGTGTGGAATGTCTTTTTCCAATGCTTTACTTTCAGTGTATTTGTGTCATTGAAGGTGAAATAAGTCTCTTGTAGGCAGCATATAGTTTGGTATCTTTGTTTGTTTTGTTTTTAAGCCACTCTATGTCTTTTGATTGGGGAATTTTATTAATAGGTAGGAAGTTATTACTGCCATTTTGGTAATTGTTTCCTGGTTGTTTTAGATCCTTTGTTCTTTTCTTACTCTCTTGCTGTCTTTCTTTGCGATTAGATGATTTTCCTTAGTGGTATGCTTTGATTCCTTACTTTTCATTTTTTGTGTGTCTACTATAGATTTTTGCTTTGTAGTTACTACAGTTACTATGAAGCTTACATGAACCATTTTATAATTATAACAGCTATTGTAAGCTGAGAACAACTTAATATCAGTTGCATAAAAGTCTCTACACATTTATACCCCTCCCCCACATTTTTTTGATGCTCTAATTTACATCTTTTTATGTTGGGCATCCCTTAACAAATTATTACAGCTATTATTATTTTTAATAGTTTTGTCTTTTAACCTTCATACTAAAAGTATACATGATTTACACACCACCATTGCAGTATTAAAATTTTCTGGATTTGATTATATACTTACTTTTACTAAGGAGTTTTATACTTTTGTATGTTTTCTTGTTATTAGTGTCTTTTTTTTGTAATTTGAAGAGCTATCTTTAGAATTTTTTGGAAGGCAGGTCTAGTGGTGATGAACTCCTACAACTTGTCTATCTGGGAAAGTCCTTACCTGTACTTTAGTTCTGAAGGACAGCCTTGCTGGGCATAGTATGCTTGGTTGGCAGTTTTATTCTTTCATTACTATGACTATATCATCCCACTGTCTTCTGGCCTGCAAGGTTTCTGTTGAGAAATCTGGAGGTTCCATTGTATATGATAAGTTGCTTTTCTCTTGTTTCTTTCAAAATTCTCTCTTTTACTTTGGAGAGTTTGATGATAATGTGTCTTGCTGACACATTAAGATCTTTTTATATTTAATCTATTTGGGGTTCTTTGGGCTTTATATTTTTTGTTTTTTTGTGTGTTTTTTGAGACGAAGTCTCGCTCTGTTGTCCAGGCTGGAGTACAGTGACGAGATCTCAGTTCACTGCAACCTCTGCCTCCTGGGTTCAAGTAATTCTCCTGCCCCAGCCTCCGGAGTAGCTGGGACTGCAGGTATGTGCCACCACACCCAGCTAATTTTTTCTTTTCTTTTCTATTCTTTTTTTGAGATGGAGTCTTGCTCTGTCACCCAAGCTGGAGTTCAGTGGCACAATCTCGGTTCACTGCAAACTCCATCTCCCAGGTTCAAGCAATTCTCCTGCCTCAGCTTCCCGAGTAGCTGGGATTACAGGTGTGCACCATCATGCCCAACTAATTTTTGTATTTTTAGTAAAGACAGGGTTTCACTATGTTGGTCAGGCTGGTCTTGAACTCCTGACCTCAAGTGTTCCTCCCACCTTGGCCTCCCAAAGTGCTAAGATTATAGGCATGAGCCACCGCACCCAGACTCTTTGGGCTTTATGAATCTGGTTGTTTATTTCTCTTTCCAAATTTGAAAAATTTTCTATCATTATTTTTTTAAATAAGCTTTTTTGCCCTGATATGGTTTGGATTTGTGTCTCCACTCAAATCTCATGTTGAATTGTAATCCCCAGTGTTGGAGGAGAGGCCTGGTGGGAGGTTATTAGACCATAGGGATTTACATCCCCCTTGCTGTTCTCATGATTAGTGAGTGAGTTCTCATGAGATCTAGTTGTTTAAGTGTGTAGCACCTCCCCATTCTCTCTCTCTTCCTCCTTCTCTGGCCATGTAAGACATGTCTGCTTTCCCTTCGCCTTCCACCATTATTGTAAGTTTCCTGAGGCCCCTCAAGCCATGCTTCCTGTACAGCCTGTGGAACTGTGAGTCAATTAAACCTCTTCATTACAAATTACCCAGTCTCAGGTAGTTCTTTATAGCAATACCCCTTTCTCTTTCTCTGCCCCTTTCTCTTTCTTTGCTCCTTTAGGACACCCAGAATGTGTCTACATTGGTTTACTTGATAATGTTGTATAATTTCTGTAGGCTTTCTTTATTATTTTTCTTTGCTTCTTTTGTTCCTCTAACTGCATAATTTCAAATGACTTGTCTTCAAGCTACCTGATTCTTTCTTTTTATTGATTGAGCCTACTGTTGAAGACTCTTTATGGAAACCATCAGTTCAGAGTTCAGTCATCTTTTTTTTTTTTTCGTAATTTCTTTATCTTTGTTGAACTTCTCATTTTGTTCATGTATTGTTTTTATAATTTCATTTAGTTGTCTATTTGTATTCTCTTGTAGCTCACCGAGCATTTTAAAGACAATTGTTTGAATTATTTTTTAGTCAGTTTATAAATCTCCTTTTCTGTTAGATCTGGTTACTGGTGTTTTATTTTCTTTCTTTGGTGGTGTCATGTTTTTCCTGATTGTTTGTGATACTTGTAGCCATGTGTTGATGCCTGTGCATTTAAAGAGGTAGGGATTTATTCCAGTTTTTGCAGACTGGCTTTGGCAGGGAAAACCCTTTACCAGTCAGCCTGCCCAGAGATTCTGGGCAGGCTAGCTGGTGTTGCTTGTAAGAGGGCTTACTGCTGGAGCCCTTGGGTAGTATTGTCTGGTGCCTGGATCAGCAGGTGGAGGACCTCACATCTGGGTCCACAGAGTTGGGCCTTGTGTCTCAGTCCACTGGGGCAGGCCTAGAGCTTGGGTCTGATGGAATGATCCTGGATTCTGGGTCTGTGGGGGCTGGTCTGGCACCAGGGTCCACTGGGGTAGATCTGTTGACTGAGTCTGTTGCAACAGGCTTAGATATTGTGTCTGTGAGGGCAGATGCAGAGCCTGTGTCCATGGGGGCTTTCCTGAATCCTGAGCCCACTGGGGCCAATCTGCCACCAAGGCAGGTCTTGAGCCTGAGTCTGCAGGGGCTGGCCAGAAACTGGGACAGGCCTGGCATCTGTCCATAGGCATAGGCCTGGAGCCTGGGTCTACAGGGGTGGACCTGGATCCTGGGTCTGCAGGAGCTGGCCTGGACCAGCCTGGTTTGCAGGTATAGCCCTGGAGCCTCAATTAACAGGGGCCAAGCTGTTTTTAGTGTCTAATATGGTGGGCCTGGACCCTGGGTTCATTAGAACCTGAGGGCCTGGGGACTGGCCCAGAGCCTGGATTCATGGGGATGGTCCTGTTCCCTGGGTCCATGGGGAACAGACTGGAGGCTGGCTGTGTAGGTACTGGCTGGAAGGCTAGGTCCATGATGTCTGGGCTGGTGCCTGGTGTTTTGAGGGATGGCTTAGCTCTAGGTTGGCTTGGAGGCTGGGTCTGTGAGAGTCTACCTGGGGCCACTGGGGCCAGCCTGGAAACTGGGACTCAGAAATGATCCTGGAGGATGGGTCTATAGGTACCTTCCTAGTGCTATTGTCTACTGGGTCTGGGCTCTGGGTCTGCTGAAGTGTGGGCCCACAAGGAATGGCCTGGAGCCTGTGTCCATGGGGGTCAGCCTGGCATTGGGCTGATCTGGAGTCTAGGGCGGGCCCGAAGCTTGAGTCCTTGGGGACTGGCATGGAGCTGGGACCCAAGGGCTGGCATGGTAGGGTGAATTTGGAACCTGTATCCTCTGGGGCAGGCCTGGAGGTGGAGTCTGAGGGTACTGGCCTGGTTCTTGAGGCCATAGGGGTGGGCTTTGATCTACTGGGTCTGCAAATACCAACCTGGTGCTGGGGTGGGCCTGAAGCCTGGGGCCGTGTAGGCTGGCATGGTGCTGGGCCAGTCTGGGGCCTGGGGAAGGTCTTGATCCTTAGCTCATGGGGCCTGGCCTGGCACTTGGCAGGTCTGGAGCTTGTATCCACAGGGACTAGTCCTGATCCAGGGTCTGTGGTTGCCAACCTGGTGTAGCAGTGGGGCTAGAGGCTGGGTCTGTGGGTACTGGCCTGGAGTCTAGGGCTGTGAGGGCTGGCTTGGTGCGGGGATAGGCCTGGAGGCCAGGCCAGCAGGGGCTAGCCTGGCACTGGGATGGGCCTGGAAGATGGGTCAGAGGCTGAGTCTGTGGAGGCAGGCCTGGGTTCTGGGACTACACAGTCAACCTGATGTTGCAATCTGTAGGTACTGCCCTGGAGGATGGGTCTACAGAGGCTGGCCTGGAGGCTGGGGCCATGGGGGCTAGCCTAGTGCTGGGAGTGGTCTGGAAGCTGGGACCTATGGGATAAGCCTAGTAGTGGGGCATGCCTACAGTCTCCAGCTGGTGTCTGAATCTGGGGGGTAGGCCTAAGGTCTGGAGTTGGGAGGACTGGCTTAGTGCTGGGGTGGGCCTGAAGTGTGGGGCTTTGGAGGCCTGCCTGGTGCTGGGTTTTACTTAAGTGGGCCTGGTATTGCGGTCTGAGGCAATGTCCAGTGCTCACTTCCTTCTCCTAATAGTATCTCTCTCCATGCTGTGCTGCTTGTGGTTGGGGGTGAGGTAACGTGGGTAATGTGAAACTGTCCTCCCTATGCTGTCTTCAGTGTGTCTGAGTTCTGTGATATACTTATGTGATATAATGTCTCACCTGATTTTTGTGATGCTACTTTGGTGTACAGATACTAATTAATGTTTCCCCAGGCTTCATGAATGGGATGAGCTCTAAAAAGTTCTATTCTGACATCTCGCTAATGTCACTCCTCTTTCTTGCTTTAGCAGTTATACATTTATGGCCGGGAGTGGTGGCTCACGCCTATAATCCCAGCACTTTAGGAGGCCGAGGCGGGTGGATCACGAGGTCAGGAGATCGAGACCATCCTAGCTAATACGGTGAAACCTTGTCTCTACTAAAAATACAAAAAACTAGCTGGGCATGGTGGCAGGTGCTTGTAGTCCCAGCTACTCGGGAGGCTGAGGCAGGAGAATGGAAGGAATCCAGGAGGCAGAGCTTGCAGTGAGCCGAGATTGCGCCACTGTACTCTAGCCTGGGCGACAGAGTGAGACTCTGTCTCAAAAAAAAGAAGTTATACATTTTATTCTATTATTTTTTTATGATTGATCTTGCAGGTTTTATTACTGTCACCTTAATTTACAATTCTTTTTTAAGACAGTTTCACTCCGTCACTGAAGGTGGAGTGCAGTGGTGTGATCTCAGCTTACTGCAACCCCTGCCTTCCGGGTTCCAGCAATTCTCCTTTCAGCCTCCCAAGTAGTTGGGATTACAGGTGTGTGCCACCACGCCGGGCTAATTTTTGTATTTTTAGTAGAGACGAGGTTTCACCATGTTGGCCAGGCTGGTCTTGAACTCCTGGCCTCAAGTGATCTGCCCACCTTGGCCTCCCAAAGTGCTGGGATTACAGATGTGAGCCTTCACACCCAGCCTCTATTCTATTCTTTTAGTGATTACCTATACCTATATATGTTACTGAAATTTTTACTATAAAATATTTTATACATACAAAATGATACGTATTATGTACATGTAAGTTATTAAGAAAAATAAAATGAGGCCGGGCGCAGTGGCTCATGCCTGTAATCCCAGCACTTTGGGAGGCTGAGGCAGGCAGATCACAAGGTCAGGAGATCGAGACCATACTGGCTAACACGGTGAAACCCCGTCTCTACTAAAAAATATTTAAAAAATTAGCCGGGCATGGTGGTGGGCGCCTGTAGTCCCAGCTACTTGGGAGGCTGAGGCAGGAAAATGGCATGAACCCGGGAGGCGGAGCTTGCAGTGAGCCGAGATCACGCTACTGCATTCCAGCCTGGGCGACAAAGTGAGACTCCGTCTCAAAAAAAAAAAAAAAAAAAAAAAAAGAATAATAAAATGAACAGCCGTGTAACCAACCTATAGCTTAAAAAATAGAACTTTAATAATTTGACTGAAACCTTCAATTTGCCATTTAACCATTCTTGCTAGAGATAATTATAATTCTGAAATTTTTGTTCTTTTTTTTTTTTTTTTTTTTTTGAGATAGAGTCTCTCTCTGTCATCCAGGCTGGAGTGCAGTGGCGTGATCTTGGCTCACTGCAACCTCCGCTTCCCGGGTTTAGTAGCTGGGATTACAGGACCTGCCACCACACCCAGCTAATTTTTTTTTATTTTAGTAGAGGCGGGTTTTCACCATTTTGGCCAGGCTGGTCTCAAACTCCTGACCTCAGGTGATCCACCCACCTTGGCTTCCCAAAGTGTTGGGATTACAGGCATGAGCCACTGTGCCCGACCTATTTTCTTTGATTTTCTTTATACTTTTATTATGTATGTCTCCTGCACACACACACACTCACGAATACATATACTTTACAGATTTTTGAACTTAAGTGAAGTCATACTGTATGTCTTCTTTTGCAACTTGCTTTTTCCTTGCTTTTTTTTTTCTTTTTTTTTTTTTTTTTGGAGTGTTTTGGGGTGATCTCGGCTCACTGCAACCTCCGCCTCCCAGGTTCAAGCAATTCTACTGCCTCAGCCTCCTGAGTAGCTGGGATTACAGGCATGCACCACTACGCCCAGCTAATTTTTGTATTTTTAGTAGAGACAGGGTTTCACCATGTTGGCCAGGCTGGTCTGGAACTCCTGACCTCATGTTCTGCCTGCCTCAGCCTCCCAAAATGTTGGGATTACAGGCGTGAGCCACTGCGCCCAGCAGCAACTTGCTTTTTCCTTCCTCTACATTATACTTTATATTTGTGATATTTATTGAGCTTATTTGTTTTTGGTTTGTTTGTTTGTTTATTTGTTTGTTTTTTGAGACGGAGTCTTGCTTTGTCGCCCAGGCTGGAGTGCAGTGGCGCCATCTCGGCTCACTGCAAGCTCCGCCTCCAGGTTCATGCCATTCTCCTGCCTCAGCCTCCCGAGTAGCTGGGACTACAGGCACCCACCATCACGCCCGGCTAATTTTTTGTATTTTTAGTAGAGACGGGGTTTCACCATGTTAGCCAGAATGGTCTCCATCTTCTGACCTCGTGATCTGCCCGCCTCGGCATCCCAAAGTGCTGGGATTACAGGCGTGAGCCACCGCGCCCAGGTGAAGAATATAATTAATTTAAACAAAGCATATCTGATTAAAATGCTGTGTAGAAGTAATGTTTTTCATGTTCTTAGAAGAATGATGGAGGGAAAAAAATAGTATTTTCAATCTGATTGAAAATCAGTCTTTATGTGATATCAAAATGGATACTATTCTATTTCCTCTCTATAACAGATATCATATTTGTAATTCTGTCTATGTGTGTGCAGTCCTACTTTTGTTAATGTGTCTTCATTTCTGGGTAAAATGAAAGCTGACCTAGAACTGTGGTCATTCCTGTGTCAGAGTTGCAACAACTGTGGTCACTGAGCAATTACTATGGCAATCTGACTGGTCCTAAAGGGATAGTTGTGTTAGACCAAGATCTAAAACAATCTGTAAAAGGCGAATGAACTGCAGTTTCAAACTGTAATAGTTTGAGCTTGTATCAGTATTTAACCAAAAGAAACAAATATGCAGGCAACTTATTCTTGGAAGGATAAAAGTCCTAGAAAACTTTGAAATGCTTCTTTACTCAGTTGCTTTTTCTTAACAATTTTATTTTAATACTGAAATATTGACAGAGCTCTAAGAAATGACATAGATGACTATGTGGTTTCTATGCCAAATAAAGTGGGTTTTTTTTTTTTAGAACCATCAATTTCTTTTGAACTGGCGTAAAAATAAAGATGTTATTTCTTTCTTAACATGATATCCTAAAATATTTATGAGGTGCTTAATTGAGAGATTATTAATATACAAAAGGAAATAAGAAAGTGACAAAATATTTAACAGCAGCACATGTATTGTTATTCTTTTTTTCCCCCCAAAGGGGTTATAGATTTGTACTGATTCAGCTACCTTTTCTAACCTTCCTCGTATACATTTTTTAGGTCGTGAAATTTTTAGCTAGAGTTAGTGCATAGCTGTAAGACAATGAATATCCTGCCTTTTTCCAAACTGATTTTTGTTTCTTTATCTGCATTCTTTCATCCATTCAACATATGCTGAACTCCTGTTCTGTACAGGCATTGTGGTAGGTGGTTGGGATACTTTATTGAGTAAGACAATCAGGGCTCTCTTGATGAGTCTCTAGTGCTGGATAATTTTTCCCCTCCTCTTTCATTCTTACGCTTCTCTGCCACTTTCTTTCTCTAAACTTTCTCTTCTTTACCTTTCTTTCTTTCCCTCATTTCCTTATTTCTCTTGCTTTCTCTCTTTGTCAGAAAATTGCTAAGGGACTTCCCTGTCTTCTTCAAGCTCGTCTAGGCCCAATAGATGAGACTTCTTTCTTTGCACTACACTCTTTTCCCATGGGAATTCAGGGACATTCATAACTTTTGGCTTGACTTAGCTATGTCTGTACCTCCTCTGAGGGAAATTGGTTGCCAGCTGATGAGAGTACCATTTCTTCTACTGCCATGGAGTCACACTCCTCTGCCTTTCATCATGCTGCCAAACTCTGTGAAGAGTGGATCCTTTGGGGAAAGACATCTTCCTGTCTATGTCTATGAGCAATCATTTTTTGGTTGAAACCATTTTTTAAGCATTGGTTTTATATTCGTGTACCTAAATTTATTTCCAATTTGGTTTCATTGATCACATTACTGGCTGATTATTTTCATTTCTGTTGAGCTTCCCACCATGAATAGTGCCGAGTATTTTTCCAGCACTATTTGGTGAGATAGGGAAAGGTTAGGGAGGAAAGCCTGATATAAATTCAGAAATGGCCATTGTCCTATTGTTTTCTGATGCAGTGTAGTAAAAAAAAAAAAAAAGAAAGAAAATTGGTGTAGAGTCACAACCAAAAGTAGGTAGGGATAAGCAAGCTGGGTTCACCTGAAAGCACAGATTAATCAGAATTGTCAAATTTATTTTAGTCCTGGAAGAGTTATTTTGATCTAACCTTGGATCTTTAAAGTTGAGGATCAGAGATGTCAAGTTACTTGCCAGATATCACCCAGCAAGTTAATGACAGAGCTGGGGCTAGAACCCAGGTCTCAGTTGCCAGTTTCCTTTTTCACCAGGCAGGATACAGAAGGTAGGATATAGGAGTAATTATCTTTTGTTACAGATTGATTTGTTAAAACCTCAGAGATTCAGACTTTTATGCTCTTCACCTTGGAATTAAAGAATCTAGTTTCATATGATCCTTGTGCAACCAGCTAAGGTGTTGAAAAGAACTGGTATGATAAAATTAACTGCTACCTACTGAATATATGGTCTGCATTGTTAGTATATCCATAGGTGTGAGTTTATTTTATATCTTGGTTATTGATGTTAGTTATTGCTTAGGGGGAAAATGTTTTTCCCCTAACCCCAAGTGCTGCAGTTATAGGTAAAGTTGGGGAAGGTGAATTTGTTTTTGGTGAATTCAGGGGATAAGTAATACATTGAAGAGTTCTGGATATAAAAACCACAGGACAGAGGAGTTTAAACTTGAAAAAAAAAAGAACTTGAATAAGGAGTCAGAAATTTAAGTTTATCTACTTATTTAATTAACGTATTATATGAGGTGGCTTAGTACAGAGTTTAATCTCTCTTCTTGGGAAATCATTTGATCTCTGGCTTTCTACCCCCTGAAAAGCCAAAAAAATTATTACTTCTCTGCTCCATTGGTGTGGATATTTATTTTCATTGGTGTGGCAGCCAGGCCCCAAAATGGTCCCCAATGATTCCTTGCCTCCTAGTAATCATGGCTTGTAGGGTCTTTTCCCACATTATAGTGGGTTTTTTTCTGTGTGACCAATAGAATATGGCAAAATAATGGTATGTCACTTCTGAGGCTAGCTCGTGGAACACATTGTGGCTTCGGCCTTGTACTTTCTCAGATCCTTTACTCTGGGGAAAGCAAGCTGCCAGGTTATGAAGGTACTGAGACAGCTCTCCACGTAGCAAGGAACTGAGGCCTTCTACCAATGACCAATGAGAATTTGTAGTCTTCTGTCAATAGCCATGTGAGTGAACCATCTTGGAAATAGATCTGCCGACTCTGGTCAAACCTTCAAGTGACTGCAGCACCTGAGGTTGCTTGAATGTAACCTCATGAGAGACCCTGAGCCAGAACCATCAGCTTAGCCACTCTCAGATGCTTGACCCCAGAAACTGCATGAGATAATAAATGCTTGTTGTTTTAAACTGTTACATTTTGAGGATAATTTGCTATGCAGCAATAGGTAATTAATACAGTTGAGAAGATAAAAGTTAAATATCCTTAGTTAATTAATTGATTTTATGAGATGGGGTTTTGCTATGTTGCCCAGGCTGGTCTTGAACTCCTGGGCTCAAGCAATCTTCTCATCTCAGCCTCCCTAGTAGCTGGGATTACAGATGCACACCACTGTGCCTGTCTCACTAGCATTTTTTTTTTTTTTTTTTTGAGATAGAGTCTTGCTCTGTTGCCCAGGCTGGAGTACAATGGCATGATCTCAGCTCACTGCAGCTTCTTCCTCCTGGGTTCAAGCAATTCTCCTGCCTCAGCCTCCCAAGTAGCTGGGATTACAGGCATCCGCCACCATGTCCGGCTAATTTTATTTTTGGTAGAAATGGGGTTTCACCATATTGGTCAGGCTGGTCTCGAACTCCTGACCTCGTGATCCACCCGCCTCAGCCTCCCAAAGTGCTGGGATTACAGACGTGAGCCACTGTGCCCAGTCTCTAGCATTCTTAATTTAAAAGAAATAATAATAATAAATGGAGATTTTAATTGTGAGATTTGACCCTTATAAGCAATCACACTATATTTATTTGGCCTGTATTCAGTATTTTCATTTGATTAAAAAGAAAATTGAAGAACAGGAAAGTTAAGTGGTTTAGTTTTTGGAGGAGCTGGTAGTTGCTGAGAATTGAAATACACTTCTATTCTTTTTCCACTTCTTTTTAAAGTATGGCTCTATTCAAACAGATAGAAGTAAAGATGAAATCCAAAATGACACCAGCAAATTCAAAAGAGAGTTATGGTTTGTGCAAATTTTGTTTAAGGGTAAGTTTTCTGAGAGCTACTGTTTTAGTATTAAATCATTTCAAGTGGTCTGAGTCATTTTATCCTTACACACAGGTCAGTTATGCCACTTTCAGTTAATAAATGTGGAGGGGGTTCAAGGGATCATTTAAGATAGGCCTAGATATGAATATTTTTGATCAATTCAACAGACACTTGTAAAGAGCACCACCACTGGCCAGGGGATACAAAAATAAATAAGATAATAACATCTGTGCTAAAATGTTTATAGGTTGGTGGTGGGGCCAATAATTTCAATAATGATACAGGTATTTATAGGGTACAGGTAGAGTATAGAGGAGGTACATCTAACCGAGAGAGGGAGCTCAGGGAGGACAAATTACTTTCTCAAAGACACACAGCTGTGTGTGGCATCTTGAATCTGTCTTGGCTGTTTTCTAGAGACCTGGGAGTGATAGTAACAGGATTGTATGTTGCCTTCCTGTTCCTTTTCACGTATGGGTAAGGTACTGTCTATGTTTCTTTAAGACTCCATTCTGTGACCTCACTATTCACTGAGATATTATCCAAGCTATTTTTTCTTTTTTCTTTATAGAGATGGTGTCTCCTTATGTTGCCCAGGCTGGTCTTGAACTACTGGGCTCAAGCAATTCTCCCACCTTGGCCTCCCAAAGTGCTGGGATGAGAAAGGTGTGAGCCACTGCACCTGGCTCAAACTTTTTTTTTTTTAAATGACTTGCTCTGTCAACCAGGATAAGTAGAAGGGGACGGAAAGACTAAGAAACAGAAACATTAAAATACAAAACAAAACCCAGGAAGTATAGAAGTTTTGGAAACGAGTTAGGAGGCTGAAATACATAAGGCCAAACTGTAAGAATAAAACATTTGGGGTGTGGGATTCTTTAAAAAAAGTATTAAACAATTCTTCTTAATGCTTCATCACATATTTCTAGCTAGTAGTCAATAAGAAATTTGTGGCAATGTGCTGGTTTGGCTTTAAGGAAAGATTATACCCATGGATCAATTTGGTAGAATCTAGAACTTAATTCTATCAGTTTGAACAAGCAAGTTTCAGACATTATAGAGCCAAGGAACTTCCAACAGTCTTCCATGAATGAGGCAATCTGAATGAAGAGGCCTTTTATAACTTCATTTTGAACTCTGCCCACAAATCAAAGGTCAGCAGGCCCTTCAATTCAAAGAGGCTGCAAAATGCCTGGAGGTGCTGCTGTGCCAGTTGTTGCTCCTGTGTGGTAGGCAGAGGGAAAAAAGAAACAAGGAAGAGGAGGCAAAAGGCAAAAAGAGGGAACTGGAAAAAGAAAAGAGGGAGAGAAGGAAAGGAGAAGAAAAAGGAAGCACTAATAACTATTGTTTGTTGAGCACCACCAGCCACCATGCTAAGTACTTTGCAAACTTGATCTCAGTCCTCACAGCAGCCGTATGAGGTAGTACTGGCAGTACTTTTGTTTTACTGATTAGGATATTGAAGCTAAAAGAAGATAATTTGTCAAAAGTCATACAGCTAATAAGTAGCAAAGCTGAACTTTGAACCCAGGTCTGTCTGCCTTCAAAATCTAGCACTCCTCACTACAATGCCACAGAGGAAACATGTTCACCTATTAGGATCTGAGAGATACCTACCACTGACGATGACTGAGTGGGCTCTTCTGTGGCTGGCCCCTGGATTTTTTTTAAGTTTGTAGACAAGTCTTTAACAGGATAAAGATCCCTTAATTGGATTTGCCTGTTATCCAGTATTGCACACCACATCACATGCTGTGCTTCAGTTCCCTACATGAATCAGTTAAAACCTTCCCATTTAGTCTAATGAACCCTAATTTCAGACAAAGGTAACTGTCACCTTTTGTTTCATCCTGTGCTTTTATTTTTCAAATACCAGAGCCGACCTCTGAACTCAATCTGCACTTGCCTATTGATGCATAAATATCTATAATATCACAGTAAATTAAATTCTATTTTAAAGGGTTTCTATTTAACAATCTGTCAGAATTTTCACAGCATTTGATTTCTGGTCCCCTCTGTCCAGTGACAGGTTTATCTCAATATGGCTTGATTAATGAAACCTTTTATTTGGTGTAAGCACACCTATTATTACCATAGTCTCTCAATGCTTGCTTAGGCAACACTGAAGTCTGGCAGCAGGGACTCTCAAAACTTCTAGCTTCTTTAGCTCCACCAGAACATCGGGTGCGATTAACGGGCTGGGAGACTGATCCCCTCCTAGTGGGGAGCATGGTGATGTTAGTGTCAGTTAAATGATACAGCACTCTGTCTCAGAGGCTTGGCCAAACTCTCTTTTAACCTCTAGGGTTTAAAAAATGTTTCCGACTTAGTGCCAACAAATCCGCCTTTCTCTCCATTCCTACGTTGTCCTTGTATGTCAGTCACTGAGGGGCATTGTGGACGTCTCCCTCGGGAGCCAATAAATTGCAGTGTGCACTGTGTAGCTGAGAAGTGGGATGCAGTCTAAAATAAAATAACATACTGAAAAAAAGGGCCTTAATGAAGCCAAGGGGCCAGGCACTAATAGCTCTTAAGAAATAGAAATGACTTTATGATGGATATTCCACAAGCAGCCTTTTCAGAAAACAAGAGTGCAATTGAATTATGTTTTGTTCTTGACGAGTATTTACCTCGGAGAGAAGCTGCCGTTTCTACTGGACTATCTCCTTCGTGTCCCACATGCTTTCAAAACCCCGGGGAAAGAAATGCCTTGGTTTGCACATACACTCAAAATGTTGTCACTCTGTTTTACATTGCTATTAAATATTTAATAACATTAAAAGTGAGACATGGAAAATAAAATTTGAAACTTATTTGTGCTGGAGACGTTGTCTTCTCTGCAGTTTTCCCATCTAGTGTTTTCTGTACTGGTAAAATGATTTGCTTCTGCCATATATTATGCTGTTTCTTATTTGTACCCCTGTCTCCTGCTGGTACTTAAAACAGTTCATACTTTTTTTTAAACGTTCTTTTTTTAGTTTGTGGTCATTATGACTTTAAGTGTAGTAAATTCCATCTGGAGAATTTAACAGTTTGGCTGTTATTTTTAAATGTCCTGAGGTAGGAAAGAGAATACAGTAATATTAACAGGTATGATTCAAGTTTATAATAAATAATAAAAAAAGATCAACGAAACAAATGAGTCTGTTATTTAAAAAGAACATTATGATAGTTAACATTCTGTTAAGACTTGAATATTTAAAGGGAAACTAACCCCTAAAAACATTAGAAAAAAGTATTTTGTTTACTTACTGTTCCAGATTATTAATTTGATTACTTGAGTTTGCAGTTTGTTATTCAATATATATGCTTACATAGACCTTAAAGCAGAGAAGTTTTCCTTCTGAAGTTTTAGTAGTGAAGAGGAAAATATGACAGGAAATATTTATTGTAAAGGGGTAACATCAGATTTTTATTATCAGTTTAGTGTTAATAGAATTCCTTGTAATCATACTGGAAAAATAAAGTATAGTTTAACTGTACTTTCAAAATTAGATATATGGTTTAAGAATATTCAATAAAGTAGAAAGTAGAGAAACTAGTTTAATTTAAAATGATGCTGAAAGTTAATTAAATAATTTTCAGTAACATAATTAACTAGTATTTGGATCTTGTGTTCTATTTGAAATACATATATATATATATGCCATTTTTCTTCATTAAAAATGTTCTTTTGCAAGAAAATACAGAAACCTCTTAATGAGATTCTGAGTGGAGAATTATGATTCTCCAACATGTTTCTCAGGTTTTAGTTTATTTCACATCATGCTTTTTAACCTTTGACAACAAATATTGTTGTACCATGAAGACAGCAAATCTAAACAATTACATATGTAGTCCAAAGGCATACACAAGAAAATCAATATTTGACATCTTTGCAACTCCCTCTTTGCAGTAGCATTCAATAGCTCTTATTCATTATACACTTATATCTCTTTCAGATTCGGCTTTGTCACTAGAAACCCATTTTTTTTTTCTCCTTTGACTTCCACATAACTTCTTTGCCCTGTACTTTTACAGATGCCTTCTGGCTATAAATACTAATGAAATCTCTTTGCTTAATTCAATTTTGCTGTTACACTTACAGTTATGACCTAACTTTCCCACGAGAGAGACTGATTGAACATTCCACTACCTTATGGATGGGAGCAAACATTCTTACAGAACTGGACTGACAATTTCCATAATTATAGAATTCACAGCCTAATGACCTTAAAAAACAATAAAAAGATCTCTTGTTAATTCCATCTCTGTTACTGACATTCAAGATATTTCATTTTTCACGGGACAACAAATTTACTTTTTTATTTTCCAAAGAGCAGTCTATCCTTTCCCCCAAGATTAAATTTTCTGAATATTGAAGTATCCCATTGAATATTTAGCATTTCTTTGTCTTTTAAAAGTTAGAATATTTATGATCCTTAGAATGAGTCTGACTGATTTATAGCAATCAATTATAAGAGTACATTTTCAAATAGCCCTTTTAAAAATGAAGAATAGAATAATTAAAAAGATCACAAGTCCTCCCTTGCATATAATTATTTCATTATTTCATTACAGTGCAGAAATTATTTTTGCTGACTGTGAGCAATTTTAATTGAGCAAGATCTGTGTTAATATTCAATAGCAAGTAGTTCTTCCTATGAAATAAGATCATTAATTGCCTAAATTTTATTCAGTACAGTGAGTCTTATGAGTCACATTGCAATATAAACATAATCACTAGGTAAAGTGGGTAAATACCTTTTCTGTAGTGTAGTTATCCTAAAAGCATAACCTGCCTGCTAATTTATTCCTTCAACAGGTTTATTGCCTTATTAAGCATTTGTTTTGTAGAATATTCTTAATCTATCCAGATTATCACAGAAAAACTGTGATAATGAAACATTAAAATTCAGGCTTGAAGTCTACTAAAGCCAGCATGAATAATCAAAGCTGAAACACAGCATCTTTGATTCTTTCTCAATACCAAAATGCTCAGCACCCTGGAATATATTCTGGAAGCTTTTGGCTTACAAATAAAGACTTTGTGAGGTATGGAAATCTTCACTATAGTAAGATAGCCTGTTATTAAGTGAAGCTAAATTAAATGTTAATAATAGCCATTTTCTTGGAAAAATCTAACATTCATCATAAACGTTATAATAATCTTGGCATATCTATATATTTTATACATATCTAAGATATTTTCTTCCCATAAATATTTTACATATATTTATTGCTATGGGAAGAATGTATAAATTGTAATAAAATTCATCAGAACCACTATCTTAATGACCTAGACTGTTTTGATAAAGTGTGAGTGAACATATTAAAAAACTTATTTGTCATTATATATATTTTAGTATTGAATATGCTGCTGTTGCTGGTCTGACTTAGACCTTAAGTGAGAAGTACAGTATTCTTACTTTAACTTCTTGTTTGCTTTTGTGTGTATTTTTTGTTGTTGTTGTTTGTTTGTTTTGTTTTGTTTTTTTAAGACACAAGGTCTCACTCTGCTGCCCAGGTTGGAGTGCAGTGGTGTGATCACAGCTCATTGCAGCCTGGAACTCCTGGGCTTAGGTGATCCTCCCACCTCAGCCTCCTAAGTAACTAAGACTACAAACAGGTGCCACCATGCCTGGCTAATTTTTAAAAAATACAGACAGGGTCTTGCTATGTTGTCCAGGCTGCTTAGTTTAACTTTTGAAAGTGGAAATAAAATACATGAAAAACTCACTGGTATTAATTGGTAAATTTGTGTATTCATTTAGCAAATATTTACTGAGCACCTCTATGTGTTAGGTATAAGTCTAATGTGCTAAAACTAGTTTTCCACACCCGTTCAAGAGAAACATTAGCATTTTTGCCTTCTTTGCTTGGATTCACGTATGTTCATTTGCTGCTAAAAGGAGAAATTGGCCAGACACAGCAGTGCAAGCCTGTAATCCTAGCACTTTGGGAGGCTGAGGCAGGAGAATTGCTTGATCCCAGGAGTTTGAGACCAGCTTGGGGGACACAGCAAGAATCTGTCCTACCAAAGGAAATAAAAAGAGAGAGAGAGAGAGAAGGACAGAGAGATTGGCCAGCTTGATACTTAACTACCAATTTAGAAGTTATGGAGTTGTTTACAAAGATAATTTCTGGATTTCAGTATTTAATGTGTCAGCAATAACTGAAGCCTACTGGAACTCTGTAAGAAATGAGTTACTATTGTGAATAGGACAATTTTTGTATTTGGAACTTTTTTACTGGAGAGTAAGTATTACGAGTGTTACAGAAGGCAAAACAAACTATCGACTATAGGAGTTATTCTTATAGTGAAAGAATTTTAGCATGGTGTGTTGGGAGGATGATGTGATCTGGAAGAATAAGAACTAGACTATCCAGAGTCCTGGGTTCTGCTACTGCTCCTACCTAGCTATAAGACTTTGGGCATCTTGAAACCTCTCTGAACCTTAGTTCCAGATCTGGAAAATGTGGATCATAGTCCTTGCTCTGCCTCTTCGTGGGGATGCTATCATGATAAATAGTAGCTTCCTCATTTGTAAAGTGAAAGTTTTCAAATTAGAGCAGTTCTTAAAGTGAGAGTAATTCACGAATCCCCTTGAAACAATGCAGTTTTATATGTGTATATATATATATACATATATATATATACACATCTGTTCATCTTTCTGGGTATGAGGTCCATAGCTTTTGTCAGATTCTCAAATAGGCAAGTGATCCAAAGAAGGTTAAGAAATGCTGAATTAGAGAATCTCTAACATCCTTTCTACTCTTAAATTCAAATTCCATTCTCCGTCTCTGAATAATAGATATAAAAGCACTTTGAAAGAGTGCTAAACAAATGCAAAGTATCATTCTCCATCTCTCTTTATGGATCTACTCTATGTAAAAGTCATAGCCATACTTGGAATACTGATATTATATTATGTTGCATGGGTTATTGAATAAACATATTGCCTGAGGGAATTCCTCAAATGCAAGGTTCAGTATTAAACCCCCTAGGAGAATTAGAGTGTGCCATAGAGACTCAGAGAAAATAGAAAATAAATCTAGGTGAGAGTGCAAACATTTTTTTTTTTGAGATGGTGTCTCGCTCTGTTGCCAGGCTGGAGTGCAGTGGCATGATCTTGGCTCACTGCACCCTCTGCCTCCCGGGTTCAAGTGATTCTCCTGCCTCAGCCTCCCGAGTAGCTGGAACTACAGGCACACGCCACTACACCCAGCTAATTTTTGTATTTTTAGTAGAGATGGGGTTTCACCATTTTGGCCAGGATGATCTCAATCTCTTGACCTCGTGATCTGCCCACCTCGGCCTCCCGAAGTGCTGGGATTACAGGCGTGAGCCACTGCGCCCGGCCGCAAAAATATTTTAATATAGGTACACAGTAGTTTGTTGGGCAACATTAAACTATTAATTTAACATTAACTATTAATCAGTATGAGGCTACTGATCTAGTTCTACTCTGGATTATGACAATGGTAGCTGGGCCTCAATTTCGTCTTCTCTAATTCAAAGCTCAGAGGCGGGTAGGTGAAGATTAGGTTAGTGTAGTTGAAAGTGTTCTTAGTTAACTGTACAGTGTTACACAAAAACAAGGCATTCTCTATTCAAAGCATGAAATCCCACTATTAAGGATTTCCTTATTGGTCTGGGGCAAGGTTTCTGGGGAGATTGGGGGCTAGAGTACTCTTAACCACAGTGAACAAAATCTACTGCATAGAGATAATGTTTTTCATCTAAGAAATAATTTATCTTTTCCTTTCTAGATTTGAATCAGAATAGAGTGAAAAGAATATTTTGTTCCAGAAGTTGTTCTCTTTCTTACTAAGGGTGACTCTGAGTTCCTAGATAGATCTTACACTTTTTTTCTTTCTTTTTTTTTTTTTTGAGATAGAGTCTCGCTCTGTTGCCCAGGCTGGAGTGCAGTGGCGTGATCTCGGCTCACTGCAACCTCTGCCTCCTGGGTTCAAGCAATTCTTCTGCCTCAGCCTCCCGAGTAGCTGGGACTATAGGCACATGCCACCACACCTGGCTAATTTTTTGTGTTGCCCAGGCTGGTCTCAAACTCCTGAGCTCAAGTGATCTGCCTGCCTTGGGCCTCCCAAAGTGCTGGGATTACAAGCGTGAGCCAACACACCCTGCCAGATTGTATACGTTTTAATATCCATAGCCCTATGCCAGGACTCAGTAAAATGTATACATTGAATGCCCTTGGGCTGGTTACTTACTTCCTCTGAGCAATGTTTTCACTATTTGTAGGACTAATAATAATAACAATAATAAAACCCTGGCTACCATTGAAGTACGCTGCACCAAGTACTTTACCTATGTTATTTTGTCCCAGCCTAATAACAACCGTGTGAAATATTATTCTCATTTTAAAGGCTAGGATTCTGGCCAAGCGCAGTGGCTCACGCCTGTAATCCCAGCATTTTGGGAGGCCAAGGCAGGTGGATCACCTAAGGTCAGGAGTTCAAGACCAGCTTGGCCAACATGGCAAAACCCCATCTCTACTAAAAATACAAAAATTAGCCAGGCGTTGTGGCACACGCCTGTAATCCCAGCTACTTGGGGAACTGAGGCAGGAGAATCACTTGAACCCAGCAGATGGAGGTTGCAGTGAGCTGAAATTGCACCACTGCACTCCAGCCTGGGCGACAGAGTGGGACTCCATCTCAAAAATAAATAAATAAATAAAAATAAAATAAAGGCTAGGATTCTGGTTGGTGGATGTGGTGGCTAATGCCTGTAATCCCCACACTTTGGGAGGCGAGGTGGGTGGATCACTTGAGGCCCGGAGTTCAAGATCACCCTGGCCAACATGGTGAAACCCCGGCTCTACTAAATATACAAAAATTAACTGAGTGTGGTGGCGGGTGCCTGTAGTCCCAGCTACTCGGGAGGCTGAGGCAGGAGAATCGCTTGAACCCGGGAGGCAGAGGTTGCAGTGAGCCAAGATCCAGCCATTGCACTCCAACCTGGGTGACAGTGAGACTGTCTCAAAATAAATAAATAAATAAATAAAAATAAAATAATAAAGGTTAGGATTCTGAGGTTCACAGAAGATAAGTGACTTACTTAAGGCTATAACCACCTTATAAATTTATTGGAAAGATAAAATTGTGTAATGTACTTGATCATGCTTTGAAAACTGTTTAGGCTACATAAATGTAATGCTGCTGCTGCTCCTCTTTCACTTTTTGTTCCTTTTGTCAGATGATCCAGCTTCAAAGATTTTACTTTATTAACAGCCTTCCCATTGAAAGAAGAAGGTGATTTGCTAAAGGTTTATGGTACATTGTGTCCCAGAAGTGCAGATTTGGCAATGACAAGAAATGGTTGTTGCCAGGTCGTTTTTGAATCGGCTAGATTTATCTGTCGTGTCACCAAATAGCTCTGCTGTTAGCTGAGAGAAGGAATGAAGAGGAACTATGACTGTTTGATGAATAAGACCCTTTGTAAATATTCTGCTTGGAGCTCCTCCCATTCCCTCACTATTAAAGTAGATTAGTGTCTAGATTAAAATCACAAAAGCCAAGGAATTCAGATCTAAAGCTAAGATTTAAGGTTGGAGTATCAGTCTTAACTTATGAGTGCAAACCCAGGAATCTTGGTAGGATCAAGATCATGAGTTTGCTCTGAATCTCTTGGTTTCTGTGGAGCTGAGATTTATATTCACTATAATATACAAAGTTGAAATACTTTAAAACTTCATAACATAGCAAAGACAGGATTATAATTGTAGAATAGGACCATCTCCCAACTTGTCACTGGAGGAATGGTAAAGTCAAATTAGAGTAGAACTGCTGATTACTGTGGGGAATTACCTTTTATTTCTGAAAACTGTATTTCTCTTTGGTTTAAAAAATACCCTTTTATGGGGCAATTTGATTTTGTGCAATGTTTTACGCTTAAAAAATCTAATAGGAGACCTGATGGAGAGATTTGATCATTTATTACCCATCTATACATTTACTAGTAATGATGAAAGATTTGTTGGTTGTCTAGTTTATCTGAGAGAGAGCGATGAGCCACACCAGAAGAGAGGGTGGGAAATCTGGGCTCAGTGCCCAGGATTTTTCTTTGCTATTTGGATCACTGTGTTTGCTAGAATATTTAATTAATCCCACTCTTGGAGTAATGCTTATTGCTAATGGCCATTGCTGAGCTGAAATATTAAACCATATGTAATATATCTTCAATAAAATTTAGATTTAAAAGTCCCTAAATGATGTATGTGTTTGACAGTCCTTAATGAAAACTGATTAAAGAAATTCCAGAGAATGGATAGGCTTAATAGTAACAGTTCTTTTCATTCATGTGAAAGGAAGTTCAGTATTATAAAATGAAACATAAGGAATTAGCACAATATTTGGGGTAGGGCTGTACCAGTTCTTGAATATATAGGTTTTGGTTTTTAGTTTTGTTAAATATTTGGCTCTTCTACTGTATCTCTGGTGAAGGTCTTTCCTGAGTTATTTAAGACAGTTCTTTTTGGAATACGGTTTAGCCATAGGTAGACCAGGGATTATCAGGGAACTCTGATAATTCTCTTTTGAGTAATTCAATACATGGCATGATCTTCTCTTACTATTGAACCAATGCCTCAGCAAAGGGTTAGAGGAATTCTGCTGTTTGTAGCGAAAATCTTGTGCCAGGAGCATTAACCTTGAAGTTCTAAACACTTTGCAGGTCAGGCAATTACCACAGTTATCCTAGTTACTTATTTAAGGATGTGGCAAGGAGAGCCTCCAAAAAGTGAACGGATAAATATGAGTGGAGGAAAAAAATCAATTTCTTTCTTTTGAAAGGACAGATCTAGAATTGTAATGATGGAAAGAATTCTAAGATTCAGTTAAAATATCTCTTGAACAGGTCAAAACAGGCAAAGGGTCTGACATATTGGAGTGTGTCTGGGTAGTCCAGGGATAGAATATTAGAAATGAGACAGTACTTAAGAATTTGGTCAAATTGAGTTGTCTTCAAACTTTGTAACTCCTTGAGTTACTTTATGCAAACAAACTTTTTTTTTTTTTTTTTTGAGACGGAGTTTCACTCTTGTTGCCCAGGCTGGAGTGCAATGGCGCCATCTCAGCTCACCGCAACCTCTGCCTCCCGGGTTCGAGCGATTCTCCTGCCTCAGCCTCCCAAGTAACTGGGATTACAGGCATGCGCCACCACGCCCGGCTAATTTTATATTTTTAGTAGAGATGGGTTTTCTCCATGTTGGTGAGGCTGGTCTCGAACTCCCGATCTCAAGTATCTGCCTGCCTCGGCCTCCCAAAGTGCTGGGATTACAGGCGTGAGCCACTGCGCCTGGCCTACAAACTCTTATATACTTAATATGTAAAACAGATTTGAGGGGAGCTATTCTCCTTGAAGCCAAAGAGCTTGAACCTGTTCATAATGCTTCCCCCTTTTTCCATCATTATTAGCATAGTCTGAAAATCAGTTATCTACTTCAACTCTTTCATTTGACATATATGAGCATTTATTTCCAAGAGGAGTAAATTGACTTGTTCAAGGGTGTATAACTAAATGGTGTCAGGGCTTAGTCTCAGACCAGTGCTCTGCTCTGTTATATACTTTCTACTTCAAACACTCTCTGCTTCTTGCAGGGAATTTTGGTTAGAGAGCAACCTTCTCTACAAGAATTCTAGGAAAAAGTAATGTAGTCAGGAGTTGCAAAGACAAGTGGGGCATATGGTCACAAATATTATTCCTTAATACATTCATAAAACAGGAGTTTATTGATCATCTATTATGTGCAAGGCACAGCTTGAGGCTCCAGAGAAAGTACAGAATTCCAGAATAGAAGAAGTCATGTCTTTACTATTCTTTGTCCTATATTTTCTCCTTAAAAATATGAACAAAGCAATAATTTATAGAATATGAATCATACACTCACTATAGTGTTTTTTTTGGGTATAGACTCTGGAGTCAGACTATCTAGTTTTGAAGTCTGGCTCTGAAGTTATCTTGGGCAAATCACTTAACTACTTCTCCCCGTCCCCCTCCCCAACTCCCACTCCCACCTCCTCCTCCTTCTCCTCCTCCTCCTTCTTCTCCTTCTTCCCCTTCTCCTCCTCTTCCTCCTCCTTCTCCTTTTCCTTCTCCTTCTCCTCCTCCTCTTCCCCCTCCTCCTCTTCCTCCTCCTCCTCCTTCTCTTTCTCCTACTCCTCCTTCTTCTTTTGAGACAGGGTCTTGCTCTGTCGCCCAAACTGGAGTGCAGTGGTGCAGTCATGGCTTATTGCAACCTCTGCCTCCCAGGCTCAAGCGATCCTCTCATCTCAGCCTCCCAAGTAGCTGGGAATACTGGTGCACCCCACTATGCTCAGCTTATTTTTTTTTTTTAATTTGTAGAGATGAGGTCTTGCTATATTGCCCAGACTGGTCTTGAACTCCTGGGGTCAAGTGATCCTCCTGTCTCGGCCTCCCAAAGTGCTGGGATTACAGGTGTGAGCCACTATGCCCAGTGAAATTGCTTAATCTCTCATGCCTCAGATTTCTCATCTGTAAAGTAGGAATAATAATGTTACAACATCATAGAATATTTGTGAGAATTAAATGAATATATGCATTCATTTATTATATAAATGTACATTTTTGATATATTAGAATAAATCTTAGCTGCTATTATTATGTCTTATGTCACTCACCAGGACAATTTGAGAGTCTCCTCTAAATCAGTATTTTGGCTTCTTATGTGTATTGTTCAACAAATCATATGGAATTACATTTTGCATACCTAAGTTACTAAAGCATTGTCAATTCAATTTGGTAATCTTATTTTAGCAAATGGTTAACACCTATACAGTATATATAATATATACAGTATGATATACTTCACTAGCTCATAAATTTTTTTTTTTGAGACGGAGTCTCACTCTGTCACCCAGGCTGGAGTGCAGTGGCGTGATCTCTGCTCATTGCAACCTCTGCCTCTTGGGTTCAAGCAATTCTCATGCCTCAGCCTCCCGGGTAGCTGGGATCACAGGTGTGCACCACCATGCCCAGCTAATTTTTTGTATTTTTAGTAAAGATAGGGTTTCGCTATGTTGACCAGACTGGTCTTGAACTCCTGGCCTTAAACTCCTGGACTTAAGTGATCTGCCTGCCTCAGCTTCCCAAAGCGCTGGGATTATAGGCGTGAGCCACCGCACCTGGCCTTATAAATCTTTTTTGTTGTTGTTTTTTTAAAGACAGACTCTTGTTCTGCCACCCAGGCTAAAGTGCAGTAGTGCGATTGTAGCTCATTGCAGCCTCAAACTCCTGAGCTAAAGTGATCCTCCCACTTCAGCCTCCTCAGTGGCTGGGACTACAGGTGTGTGCCACCATACCTGGCTAACTTTAAAAAAATTTTTGTACTTGGGATGTTGCTGTGTTTCTCAGCCGGTCTCAAGCTTCTGGGCTCAAGCGATCATCCTGCCTTGGCCTCCCAAAGTGTTGGGATCACAGGTGTGAGCCACCATGCCTGGCTCACTCATGACTCTTAAGATGCTTTGTACTTCTTGAATGGGAATCTTGATGATCAGAAATATGTGACATTCACAAGTGATATCCTTAGGCCATTGCTTATTCTTTCAATACATATGGTATATCCTCAAACAAAAAGTAAGACCTTGGACATGGACATCATCATATGTGTCTCTTCATGTTTCTAGAGTCCAGGCCTGTAACTTGAGATGTTTCCTATGTATTTATGTCACAGATTCTATTGTTAGTGGCAATATCTCTTCTCAATTTTAGTTTTTCTTTTCTAATTTTAAGCTATCAGCCTAATTATAATATCTTCTGTACTAATTTTTCTTTGTTCCACTGGATCTAAAGTTAATAAATTTGTTGAACCATGAATAAAAGCAAAAAGCTAGCACAGGTAGATACAAGCCATATGCATTGCTTTAATGAATAGTCACCGTGACATACGGAGGAGGACTGCCTGATTAATTATTGGGTTTGATGGAGTTGCTGCTCGCCTGCATGAGTTAGTCCAGGGGCCAATTTATAGTGTTAAAATCCTGTGATGGGCTGGTCTGACCAATAAACAAAGTAAATAAATGAACCAAGTTGATTCAGTAGCCCAGATAATTTGTGAGATTAGCATAAAAACATTATATTGCTTTTTATTTTTTTAAGACAGTGTCTCACTCTATCACCCAGGCTGGAGTGCAGTGTGCAATCATGGCTCACTGAAGTCTTGACCTCTGGGGCTCAAGCAATCCGCCTGCCTCAGCTTCCTGAGTAGCTGGTACTATAGGCACACACTACCATACCTGGCAATATTTTAAAAATTTTTTTGTAGAGACAGGGTCTCGCTATGTTGCCCAGGCTTGTCTCGAATTCCTGGGCTCAGGCGATCCTCCCACCTTGGCCTCCCAAAGTGTTGGAGTTACAGGTATGAGCCACCATATCCGGTCAATAATTAGTAATATTACTTAAAATTTGTAGTATATTGGAGCACTGGAAAATAGGTATATATCCAACAGGACTCTTCAGGTTGTGAGTAACCAAAAACCCAACTCAAACCAGATTGAGCAAGAGGTGAAATCTACTAGGTCAAACAACTGAAAAATTCAGAGGTAAATTTTTCTGACTTTCATTTACACTTGATCTAGGGGGCAACGTCTGCCTCCATCTGTTAGCTTACCTCTCCCCCATAATGGTATGCCACAAGGAGGCAACGTGCCATTTAGCAACCCCATGCCTATATCTTCCCAGGATTCAGCCCAGCAAAAAGTAGAGTGATTCTTGGCAACTACCATGTGAGTCTTGGGCATTGGAACAACTTAGGTCACAGGTCAACCCCTGAGTCAACAATGTTAGTAGGAGGATTTGATACTCTGATTGGCAAGGACTAAGGCACATGGTCTCTTCCTGGTGAAGCCCTAGCAACTACATGGGAAAGTGATGATTTTCCAAAGGACATTTGAGTAGCTCCCAGAAATAATAAGGAGCAGACAAATATCTATTAGAAGGGAAAATAAAATTCTTTTTAAACAAACTAATATCAAAATGCCAGATAAGAAAACAGACATTCTTATATATTATTTCAAGTGGGCTATTTGGGAATATCTACCAAAAATTCAAGTGCCCATTGTCTTACACAATTTCACATCAAGAAATTTATCCTACAGATAAATCATACCAGGGTACAAAGATGTTATTTAAAGGATGATCACTGAAGCATTGACTGTAACAGCAAAACACTGTCCATTGACATGGAAGTTGTTAAATTATGATACATTTATAGAGGAGAATATTGCACAATTATTTTTAATGAGGTAGATCTATATGTTCTAATATGGAAAGAAGTCTATGATAATTTAAGAGAAAAAAAGCAAATTGCAAGAAAATAGGCAAATATGGCCTTGCTTGTATAAATGCATGAAAAATACCTGGAAGAATATCCAAAAGTGTTTAACGCTGCTTATTGCTAGGGAAGAAATTCTAGGGAGTTAGGAGTGGCAGGAAGAAGACATTTGCTTTTCACTTTATGTCCTGTGGGGCTTTAATTTGTTTACCTGAGTACTTGTTAATTTCATTACTTTAAAAAGTCAGTCTAGCCGGGCATGATGGCTCATTCCTATAATCCCAGCACTTTGAGAGGCCAAGGCAGGAGGATCACTTGAGCCCAGGAGTTTGAGACCAGTCTGGGCAACATAGACTCCATCTCTACAAAAAATGAAAAAAAAAAAAAATCAGCCAGTATAGTGGTGTGTGCCTGTGGTCCCAGCTACTCAGGAGGCGGAAGTGGGAGGATTACTTGAGGCTGGGAGATCAAGTCTGCAGTGAACTGTGAGCATGCCACTGCACTCCAGCCTGGGTGACAGAGTGAGACCCTGTCTAAAAAGGAAAAAAAAAAAAAAGGGAATTCCCTTTCATTGAGCACCTGTTATGTTAGTAGCTGTATGGCTTTGGTGAATTCAATTAATTTCCCTGACCCTCAGTTTCTTTGTTTTTCAAGTGGGGGTAATCATATTAATAATATTTGCCTTACATTGTAACTGGGAAATTATAGATAAAATATGCTAAATGCTTGAGTGTAGTAGACATCTAGTAAATCATTGCTATTATTAGTCGTAATTACTTCAGTTTGTGAGTAATTACTTCTTTTTCTTTTCTTTCTTTCTTTTTTTTTTTTTGTTTGAGACAGAGTCTCACTCTGTCACCCAGGCTAGAGTCTAGAGTGCAGTGGCACCATCTCGGCTCACTGCAACCTCTACCTCCCAGGTTCAAGAGATTCTCATGCCTCAGCCTCCCAAGTAGCTGTGACTACAGGCATATGACACAATACTCAGCTAATTTTTGTATTTTTAGTAGAGTCAGGGTTTCACCATGTTGGCCAGGCTGGTCTCGAGCTCCTGGCCTCAAGTGATCCTCCTGCCTTGGTTTCCCAAACTGCTGGGACTGCAGGCTTGAGCCACTGTGCCCAGCCTATTTTCTTTACTGTTCTTCCTCTGCAGAAGTAGTCATCAGGCATGACCTCCCATGGGTGCTCACAGAAGATGGTGCCGTGCATGTGCAGAACTTCCCAGGCCAAGATCCACCACATTGGACCCACTGAGTGAGCCCCCTTGTCATTGCATGAGATGGTGATGATCACATAGCGTAGAGGAGAGTATGTGTGACACAGAGCAATGGTAGTCAGTTTAACATACGATAGCCCTGTGAAAGGTGTGTGGTCAGCCCTGGGATCAGTAACCATCAGAAGACATGGCTCCCAGAAGGCTACCTGGATCTGGTTAGCAAAGGAACCAGAAATAAGAGTGGCTCCAGTGGCAGCAGCAAACTTCAGCATAGCCTGCTGGCTGACATTCCTGGAGGATGTGACACTGACAGCAGCTGAGTTTCCAAATGGCAACAATGGCACAAGCTGCCAGCCAAAGCTTCTTGCAGGTCCTCTTCAGATTTATCATGTAGATGCCATCACTTTTCCTTTTGTAGTGTATCATTTGGAAGTCAAGGTGGGTGCCACCTAAGTGGATTCCTGCTGGAAGGAATGTGAGGACATTCTCCTCCTTCATCTTCAGGGCATAAAGGGCTCCAAACATTGTGAAAGTTTCTCTTTAAATTACGACATGCTGTATGGATCTCTGACTGGGGAACATGGACAAGTACACTCAAAGTTTGATTGCTAGTATAGCTCACTCTTCTGTGGCTAGAAGTCCTGAAGAATAAAACGTTAAGCAAGTTATTATGCTGACTACAACACCCAGGCTTAGGAACTAGTGAGCATAAGACCTCAAATTTCTTTCTGGCTCTCATTATGAAAGTCATGATTGTTTCCCTTGCATCATCCTCTGCATGTGGCTTTTCATCTTACATTCTGGCTTTGCTCCAGGAGACACACTGCCTTATGCCAGGGACCTGGTGGAAAGGTCACCCCCAGAATGGACAGGCTGGGAAGAGCTCACTTAACAGTGTAAGTCCTTAACTGCATTTCTTCAAGCGCCATCTTAATGGCATATAAGCAAAAGTGAAAAATTCCAAAGGGGACTAAAATTTAGATTTTGGCCTGATAGTATAACTAGAAGGTTTTTTTGCTTTGAATTACCATAAGTAGGAGTGAGTGAGTTTCTGTCATTCCCCTACCGAATAAAATATTGAATTTATGATGAATAGTTGTTAAATAGAGTGATCTGGACTTATTCTTTCCAGCCTAGTGAGACCCATCCCAACCTTTTACAGACAGTTTCTTTAAATATAGCATGAGAAACCTCAGTGTCCTCTGGAGGGTTTTGTAAATGGATGCCAGCCCAGTCTTTATTAAACTGGGCTTGTATGTCATATAATTGCCTGTCTTGACATACCTCTTCCAGGCTTTGCTGGAAGGGTTTGTTAAGGATTCTTTTCTGCTGTAAATAATGATCCTTGGTGTTTTTGTTGTTGTTTTTGTTGCTTCAACTTTATCTTTTTCTGTGTTTTTCCTGAATTTTTTGAAGTTTGTATCTTTTTCAATTAGTTTTCTTTTCCTTTTAAATCTACTTAGATGATGTCTACTGATTCCTTTCAATCCAATTCAAAGTCCTATAGCAAACATTTACTGACCATTTACTCTACACAAATCATGCTGGTGCTGTTTTCCAAAGCTTCAACATGATTTTAGAGTTGTAACATCCAATATGGTAGCTATTATCTGTATATGGCTATTTAAATGTAAATTAATTAAAATTAAATTAAATTAAAATTTCAGTTCCTTTTCTGTACTAGCCTTATTTCAAATGCTCAGTAGCCACATGTGACTAGTGGCTACTGTATTAGCTAGTGTGGGTATAGAAAGTTTCCATCACTGTGGAAAGTTCTACTGGACAGTGCTATTATAGTGCATCAGTTATTTAGAACTACAACTCACTACCTGTCTTTCATTTATAAAATAGTCAAAAACTCCTATCTTCCAATCAGAACTTTTTTTTCTTTTTTTGAAACAGGGTCTCATTCTGCTGCCCAGGGTGGAGTGCAGTGGTGTAATCACGGCTCACTGCAGCCTTGAAGTACCCAGGCTCAGTGATCCTCCCACCTCAGCCTCCTGAGTAGCTGGAACTACAGGTGAGCGCCACCACACCTGGCTAATTTTTGTATTTTTTTGTAGAAACAGGATTTTGTCATGTTGCCCAGTCTGGTCTTGAACTCCTGGGCTCAAGCAATCTGCTCACCTCAGCCTCCCAAAGTGCTGGGATTACAGGTGTGAGCCACCACACCAGGCCAAGAACTTAGTTTTTAGCAAGTCAAGTGAGATTTATTGAATTTTACTGTTAGGCACTATGGAAAACACAAGGACAGGTAAAATATGTTTCTTGCCCTCAAGGAACTTAAAATATATTGAGGAAAACTGACACATAAGATAGCTAACGAGATTGGAAGGCAGGATATGCAAAGTGATGTAACTGAGGCATAGTTAAGGTACAATGGACTCATTGAGGAGGGATTTCTTTCTATTCTGCATCAGGGCCTTCATGCAGAAGGTGGTGCATCTAGGAAGGAAAGGACATGGGGAAGGTAGAAAGTCATTTTAGGTGCTGAGGAAATAATATGAGTAAAGACATGGAATAGGGAAAGTAGCTCTGTGAGGCAGATAATATAGCACAGAGATTCAGAGCACAGAGATTCAGATATAGCCTCTGGGGACAAACTGCCTGGACTAAAAAAACTGGCTTTGCCTCTAGTTAGCAAGTAAATTCATCTTACTAAATCTCAATTTCTTCATCTGTGAAATGGTGCTAATAATAGTTGCTACCTAACCGGGTATTTGTGAGGATTAAATGAGATGTGCTGTTGAGGGGTTTAGCACAGTGCCTGTCATAGCAGGCCACTAGGGGAGGATCTGGAGGAAAGGGAGGTAGTTATACTGAGGCTATTGCTTGAGAGTGGTCTCAATTTGTGAAGAGTCTCCAAATGTAGTGGCTGAAATAAGATAGAAAATAATTTGCCTTCCAGTTCAAAATTTGGGGATAGTCCATCCATGACTGGTATGGTGGCTGTGCTCCATGAAGTCCTCAGGGACCCAGTTCCTTCTCATTTTCTGCTTTGCCATCCCTAGGGTGTGGCCCTTGTCATCATAGTCCAGCATGGAACTTCAGTCATGTCATGTCCCATGACCCATGACCTCAAGGCTCCCAGAAGCTGCCACGTGACATTTTCACTTGCATCCCATTAGCCTCAGCGTGGTCATATGGCCTCACCTAGCTTCAGGGGAACTGGACAGCATAGTCTTTTTTCTGGGAGACCCATGTTTCTAGCTAAAATTTTTATTACAAATAGAAGAAGGGGAAATGGATATAGTCTCTGTAACAAAGAGACACAAGACTGAAGCCAGATTACAGAGGTCTTTAACACAGCCTAAGAAAGAGTTTGTATTTTCTTTCTTGGGCTCTGTGGAGTTATTGACACTCTCAGTGTGGGATTTAACACAATTAGAGTCTGTTCATGGTAATAGACTTGACACGGTTCTTTAAACCATCAATACCCACCCCAGGAATACTGAGAAACTTTCAAGAACAGTTATTTTCAATTTTTTCAAAAAATTTGTTTTCCCTAATATTCTTACATTCTTCTCAATTTTCCTTTCTCTTTGAGGAAGGGAAAAGATAACCCTTTCTCCTGGCAGCTCTCCTTTAGACCATGTCCAGTGTATCAACGGTCCTCTAAAATGAGCTGTCCAGGAGTCTGAGTCTGCAGTAAACTATGATTGCACCACTGCGCTCTAGTTGGAAGACAGAGTGAAACCCTGACTCTAAAAAAAAAAAAAAAAATTCTGATAATGGAACTAGTTCTTCATATGCAGGGTTGGGGATTGTGCCAAGTAGACAGAAGTGGTACCTTTTTTTTTTTTTTTTGAGACAAAATCTCACTCTGTCGCCCAGGCTGGAGTGCAGTGATGCCTCTTAGCTCATAGCAACCTACGCCTCCCGGGTTCAAGCAATTCTCCTGCCTCAGCCTCCTGAGTAGCTAGGACTACAGGCATGTGCCATCACGCCAGGCTAATTTTTGTATTTTTAGCAGAGATGGGGTTTCACCATATTGGCCAGGCTGGTCTAGAACTCCTGACCTCAAGTGATCCACCCGCCTCGGCCTCCCAAAGTGCTGGGATTACAGGTGTGAGCCACTGCGTCTGGCCTGGTACCTTTTTTTAATCAAAATACTGTTCTCTCTCTTTGGGCACCTTGTGCTTTCTTTCCTCAGACACTGTGCTTACCACACGACAGTGCATTATTGACAGTGTGTTACTCTAGATTCTAAGCGGCTTGAGGACACAGTTCAGATCTTACTAGAGTCTATCTCCTCTTTGGTTTACTCAGTGCCCAGTACCAGGCACACATTAGGTTATCAAATGTCTGGATAAAGGCTGAGTGTAGAATGCTGCCTAGATTATGTTGGCTTTAAAGCAGCTGAACTAGCACGTAAAGCCTCGTACTGTTGATTATTGCTGGGTTGGTTGTGAAAGCACTCCAGGCAAAGGCTAAGAGAAAGAACTGTGTAAAATGTAGTTTAGTCCACATGGAGTATGGTCCTGCGCAGCGTACACTGGACTGTGAAACTATGAGATCAGGTTGAATGCTTTGTGCTCAATACCAAAGTCTGTTTTCTCTTTTCTTACTTTGTCTATGTTATTGCAGGCACTGGTTTACTGAGACAATTCAAAACACACATTCATTTTGTGTGCTTATGAAATATATCCCAAGGTAAGCCCCTCCAACAAGATTTTTAAACCAACAAACGTTTACTGAGTATGTGTGAGGCATATGGTTGGGGCCATGAGGAATAAAAATAACTGAAAAAAAACCATTCATTGATTTCAAGGAATTTAGTCAACAGACACTGTGCTGGGTTGTAGGAATCTAAATATGGTTGACAAGGCTCCTACCCACAAGGGGCTTCCCATATGGTATGAAAAATAGACAGATATGCAGATGATTACAGACACTGCGATCTAGTGTTTGAAGCTTTCCTGGGACCAAATGTACACATCTTGATTAAAAATGTGAAGGAATTGTACAGTTGAGATTTTGTAAAATTTGTACATACATTCTAGTTAGGTGGCATATAAGATATTTTCAGGGAGTTGAATCTATTTTAGGAGTGACAGTGATCTGATATGCAACCAGGAGAGAGAGACTGGGGAGGGAAAAAAAGAGGGTTGATCGTTTTGAAATGACAGTAAATTATCTTTTGACACCAGCTGTATCTTTTTTATAACAGAAAATGGAAACAACTCTGTCCTTGACCTTCAAAAAGAAATTGACTTACCTAGCTTAACTATTCAAACAAACAACTGTGTACTCTCTTCAATTCCGATGATGATTTTGATTTACTGTAAATGACTGAATTTAATGAACTAAATTATGCTATTTAAATGCATTTTGTGAATGGTATTGTAGTTTGTTACAAAGCATTATGTCCATGCTAAATTGTGCTGTAAATGATATGGTATGGAACATATGTGCTGTATTCATAATTTAACTGTTGCTGTGGATTGCCTTCTTGGATAGGACACATTGAAAAAAGGAGCCTTTATTTACCTGGTGAAATGAAGGTGATATCTCAGCAAATCACTAGGTCTTACTGACCTTGGCAGAATTACAGTGCTAATATTTTCACATGGATGAACTGTTCTTAAACAATTTCTCTAATGTATATGGCAGAAATCGGCTTTCCATTAAAACTAGGTATATATGGTATATTTTCTCTTTCCATTTTTTTCCCCTTCAACAAACATTTACTGCAGTCATTGCAAGGATAATTCCATCTCCATTAAGGTTCATGTTTTCTCCTGGCCTCTCAAATGGTAGAGATAATGGAATAGAGAAGTTTGTCCTGCAGTTACGCTGGTGGTCTCTAAAGGGACCTGCATTAAATAATTCCCTGCTTTTCTTCTTTCTGAATGATTCAATAATTTTTTTTTTTAAAAAGTAAATACTGAGGCCAAAATACCACCTTTGTTATGGATACAGGCTGAGTTGGCTTTGTGTGGGAGCTAAATGGGCTTTCTAACAGAAACCTGGCATTAGATACACTAACCTACAAGGTCCCAACTTGCATACATGAGAGGCCAGCCCAGTAGGATTTACAACATGGAAAAGCAAAGAATTTGTGCTTTCTGTGGACAAGTTCATCTCAGGAGAAAGAACAGTTGAGCCAAGTGGAGCATTCTCAGTTATTCTTTACAAAAGTTACTAGTTAGGTTTAAATGAGTTAAGTGGGTAGAGAGAGACCTATCTCCTCATATGAAGAAAATATTAGACACAAGTTAAAAAATCATTTCCCAATAACAAGTGGAATATTTTAAGAAAGGAATTCATTCAAAAGTTCATCACTACAGAGAAATCCACCAGATATGTTACACATTTATGATGTTGCTTCCATTTCTCCCCTCGGAAGTGTATCTTTATGACAGCAGTCCTTCTGTTACTTGAGGGAAGATGAAAAAACGGCAGCTTTTGGGGCAGCCACAATTATAGGTTCAGAAAAAATTACATGAAGTTTATGTGATCATTCTCAGTAGTTCAGTGCTGGCCATTACACTACACTGATATAAACGAAGACAGAGTCAAGAGGCTTGGGTTTTAGAAATTTTATGATCATTAGCTCTGTTTCACTCAACTTAGGCTGCTATAACGAAATACTATAGCCTGGGTAGCTTTAAACAACAGACATTTATTTCCTCAAAGATCTGGAGGCTGGAAGTCCAAGATCAAGGTGCCAGCATGGTGAGTTTCTTGTGAGGCCTCCCTTCCTGCCTTCTAGGTGGCCACCATCTCACTGTATGCTCACATGACCTCTTCTGTGTGTGTGTATGCAGAGAGACAGAGAGGGCATCTCTTCTTATAAGGACACTAATTGTATGGTATCAGGACCCCAGCTTTATGACCTCATTTAACCTGAATTACCTCCTTGAAGGCCCTATCTCCAAATACAGTCACACTGGAGGTTAAGCCTTCGAAATATGAATTTGGGTATGGAGTTGGGGAACATAATTCAGTCCATGGCAAGCTCATTGTGTGACAAGGCAAGCGCTTTGTCTTATTTTCCCTTTCTATAAATGAGGGCCCATACTTTATGCCACCTGATAAGGTTACTAGTGTATCGAGTGAAATCATGGACATTAACACATTGAAATGTTTAAAGTGCCATACCTATGGCATTATTTTTATTCACTTTTGAATCTAATAGTTACTGAGGGCAGGCTTTTCTTACTATTTAGCCACCCTTAGTTCTTTTTCTCTTACCTGAGTATTTCTCAGTGACAGACAGGAAGTTGGGTAATGCTTGATTGTGGTCTCACTCCCTTAAGAAAAATTTTCTAGAGGCAGAGGACAGCATGAAGTAGACATTGCACAACAAGGAATGCTGATTTTCCCAAAATGACTTAAAACATTTAGCAACTAGATTTCGCAAAAGACTGATCTGATCCTCTAGTAAGAAGTTAGAGTTTAGTTTATTTTGATAATTTTTTTTGTAGTAGAGTTTTTTGTTTTTGTTTTTTGAGACAGGGTCTAACTCTGTCACCCAGGCTGGAGTGCAGTGACATGATCTTGGCTCATTGCAGCCTCAACCTCCTGGGCTCAGGCAATCCTTCCACCTCAGCCTCCCAAGTAGCTGAGACTACAGGCACACAACACCACTCCCAGCTAATTTTACAAATTTTAAAATTTTTTTGTAGAGAACAAGTTCTCACTATGTTGCCCAGGCTGGTCTTGAACTCCTGGGCTCAAGGGTTCCTCCTGTCTTGGTCTCCCAAAGTGCTGGGATTACAGGTGTAAGCCACCGCACCTGGCCAATTTTTTTTTTTTTTTAAATCAAATGCATGAAAGTTTAAGAGAAGAAATCTGCAATAGTCCATCTCCAATTGTACTGCAAAGGAATATCATAATGTGAACATTAGACAGAGAAAATTAAGCCAGTGGGAGTGTTTTCTCATTTTAGTGAGATTGCTTCTGAACTTAGCAACTTAGCGTTAGGTATACACAAATGACTAGACAGTCAATTTTGATGAGTTGCTGCAAGAAAAGAATTAGTTTTACTCATTTTTCTGTGCCATATTTAGCATTTTCTTCAGAGTGATTCAGTTAACATGTCTCTTGGTAATATTCTCTCTATATTTATTTTGGAAGCAACAGTAAATGATACAACTAATATTTTAGAATATTGTAATAGCAAGTAAGTTCTAAAAACTTGAAGAACTTGGAGCTTATCTATTTGCTTGCTCTTTTTAAATGATTATAGCATGAAGCTTTGCTTCAGAAGCAGGGGCAATATGACTCTTAATCAGGAATGTGAAACTGTTTGGTAACACAATCTGAAAATGAAATGTTTGAGCTGGTCTGTGAAGGTCATTGATAAATGGAGTAGTGTCTAGGACCTTTCTCTGTGATTGGCCACCATGAATAAATATGGGTGGAGCTAACAGATAGAAGTCAGTTATGACCATAAGATTTCCCACATCAGCAACATGGAGTTATAACGCTAGAGATTTTGCATTTTTCTGAATGTCACAAACAGAATCTTGGTTGGTTGCTCTAGCAAGGTGTTGGGTGGACATTCAGCTAAGAGTTGGAGACTTGAAGAAGCAAAGTCTATAAAGTAGCATAACTCTTGTGACATGTCTTTAGAGCCCCCAGGCCACACTTGCAGGTAACAAAACCAAGAAATATTAAGTGACTTGTTCAGTCACCCAACAAATTAGTGATGGAGCCAGAACTACCCTAGATTTCCTCCTTCCAGTCCAATATTTTCTATATGCAAGAAAGGGGGAGATATTTTTCCTGTGGAAAAAGTTGAGGCAAAGGAAGCCCCTTGTCTGACCACCAGAGCATTTAGGATCATAGAGTCGGATTATCTGAATGTTTAGAAAGACTTACAGATTAAGGTTTTTGTTTTGTTTTTTTCAGAGATGAGGTCTCATTATGTTGCCCAGGCTGGAGTGTGGTGGCTATTCACAGGTTCGATTATAGTGTACTGCACCTTCAAGCTCCTGGCTCAAGCAATCTTTCTTCCTCAACCTCCTGAGCAACCGGGACTACAGGAATGCACCACTGTGCCTGCTTTAAGATTATGTTTTTGTTTTTGTTTTTTTGAGATGGAGTCTTGCCCTGTCTCCCAGACTGGAGTGCAGTGGCGCATCTCGGCTCACTGCAACTTCCACCTCCTGGGTTTAAGCAATTCTCTTGCCTCAGCCTCCCGAGTAGCTTGGACTACAGGCACGCACCACCATGCCCGGCTAATTTTTGTATTTTTAGTAGAGATGGGTTTCACCATCTTGGCCAGGCTGGCCTTGAACTCCTGAGCTCAAGTTATCTGCCTGCCTCGGCCTCCCAAAGCACTGGGATTACAGGCATGAGCCACCGTGCCCGGCCAAGATTAGGTTTTTAAATGTTTTCTAATTCAATCACCAATACAACACTTGAATCTAATCTACAAAATCCCTGCCAAATGGTCAGTCTATGTTTACACACTTAGAGTGATGAGAAACTTGGCCTTTGATTTTCATTTGGCTTAGACTATTAGAAAGTTTAGTCTTATATTGGGCCTAACTTTGTCCTCCTGTGGCTACAACTCTTAGGTTTTAATTCTACTTTCTGGTAATTCAAAAAGCACACAATTAGCCATGGGAGTATATTATCCTTTACCCTCTTTCATGTGTATTAGTCTTGTCTTTCCTTTCTTTCAATGCTTTATGTTTTAGTAGGACATACTCAAATGCCCACTGGACCAATCAAATCTATAAATACGCCTCTTACCAATGTCTTTCAAGTTCATTGTGTAAAATAGGCCTGAAAACTCTCAAAGAGGGATAATGAAAGGGGAATTAGAGTCTAATTCAGGCCAGCTGTTTGACATCCTTGAGGTCCTTTGCAAATGCTGATTTCATGTGGGTCTCAGTGTGATTAATATAATCTACTTGGCCAGGTTATCTCAACCCATTTTCTAAAACTCATTGTTTGCTTCGTTATCTCTATGTATTTTGTGATACTACAATTTCCATTGTCCATGGATAGTACTCAGCAAATTATATAAAGGTACCATCTTTCATCCAGGTCTGCAAATATACTTTAACAATTTAGTTTTGTGTACCTTGTTTATTTTGTTTTGTTTTGTTTTGTTTTGAGATGGAGTTTCACTCTGTTGCCCAGGCTGGAGTGCAGTGGCACGATCTCAGCTCACTGCAACTTCTACCTCCCGGGGTTCAAGTGATCCTCGCACCTCAGCCTCCCAAGTAGCTGGGATTACAAGGGTGTGCCACCACGCCTGGCTAATTTTTGTATTTTTAGTAGAAATGGGGTTTTACCATGTTGGTCAGGCTGGTCTCAAACTGCTGACCTCAAGTGATTTGCCTGCATTGGCCTCTTAAAGTGCTGGGATTACAGGCGTGAGCCACTGTGCCTGGCCGTGTACCTTGTATTAAGCAAATTTGATATCTAAAAATCAGATTTAGACCAAAAAATTCAGAAAATGGGCCAGGCAGGGTGGCTCACGCCTGTCATTTCAGCCCTTTGGGAGGCCAAAGTGGGTGGATTGCTTGAGCCCAGGAGTTCGAGACCAGCCTGGGCAACACCTCTACAAAGAAAACAAAAAATTAGTGAGGCTTGGTGGCATACGCCTGTAGTCACAGCTATTCAGGAGGCTGAGATGGGAAAATCACCTGAGCCCCGTAAGTTAAGGCCACAGTGAACTGTGGCATGCAGACCCGCCCCACTGTTCTCCGGCCTGGGAAACAGAAGTAAAACCCTGTTTCCAAAAAAAAAAAAAAAATCAGAAAATGATTTCTTTTAAACAACAAGTTCCCTAAATGCCCCTGAAGTATAAATAGATAGAAAAAGTTCTGTTCCAACCTAAGGTGTCTGGAATACTTCAATTAAATAAAGCAAGATATAGACATTTGAAATCTCCATAAGTAAAAATAGAATTACAGAAATAAACTTGTAGATGAACAAATAGAAATGAGGAGATGAAATTCAACACAGAAAGTTGATCTGAATATTCTCACATTTTTTAGGGCTACAGACATGCTCTAAGCTTTACTATTGAAAGTTAGTGGAGCTTGTTGTGGCTCAACCTAAGACATTTAGGTATCATTTCAACCAATCAAATGTTCACAGACTTGTAGAAAAGGCAAGTTGGGTGTACATCAGATTTTACTAGGATTATATCCAAACCATCTAGTCAAAACAGAAACTGGGCTGGGCGTGGTGACTCATACCTGTGAACCCAGCACTTTGGGAGGCCGAGGTAGGAGAACTACATGAGTCCAGCAGTTTGAGACCCACCTAGGCAACACATAAAAGGTCTCTTTTATAGAGAGACCTTATCTCTATAAAAAATTAAAAAAAAAAATTAACCAGCCACGGTGGCAGGTGCCTGTAGTCCTAGCAACACAGGAGACTGAGGCGGGAGGATCACTTGAGCCCAGGAGGTCGAGGCTGCATGAGCCCTGTATTGTGCCACTGCATTTCAGTCTGGGCGACAGAGTGAGACCCTGTCTCACAAACCAACCAACCAGAAACAGAATTTGAAATTTTCAGAAAATTCCACTATTTTTGTTTTTAATCCATTCCAATGTCAGGAAGCTTTTTCTTATGATCAAATCTAAGCCTCTAGTTTTGAGTCTCATGAAAGAAAAGTTGCAGCTGGTCACCACCTCTTTGTAAGACCCTATATGCACAGATTCCATTTCTTTCTGGATCATGAATACCTGAACTAGTTATAATGATTTTATGAGGGCCTAATAAGTGGGAAGATTCTCTTACTCATCTTATTCCCTATGTCCAAGTGAATAAGAGCCAATTAAGGCATAGAGGTAATGCTCACAGTACTTATTTGTCTGGTTCAGGCTTCTGCCTCTGCACTGACAGGGGCCTAATTTGATATTTTATAGTAATGTTTCGACGTCTGAGGCTAAGTACTACTATTATAAGAAGAACAGGAAACATCATTTTATAAGGTCTATAAATAAAGAGTATAATTCATTAAAAATTTCTGAAATCTCTTATACTCAGTGGCAAAATTAAGTGTATTAGGTTGAAAATTCTTTCTAGAAAATATTATGGGCTGGCCGGGCGTGGTGGCTCATGCCTTTGGGAGGCTGAGGAGGTGGATCACCTGAGGTCGGGAGTTCGAGACCAGCCTGACCAACATGGAGAAGCCCCGTTTCTACTAAAAATACAAAAAATTAGCCAGACATGGTGGTGCATGCCTGTAATCCCAGCTACTCGGGAGGCTGAGGCAGGAGAATCGCTTGAACCCAGGAGGCGGAGGTTGCGGTGAGCTGAGTTGGTGCCATTGCACTTCAGCCTTGGTAACGAGAGTGAAACTGTCTCAAAAAAAAGAAAAGAAAAGAAAAGAAAAGAAAATATTATGGGCCAACGTCATAGGAACAAAGCACAAAACTGACTTTGGATCAGGTCTAGGCCGTTTAGTCGTTCCTCAGTATCTGTGGGGAATTTGTTCCAGAACCACTTGTGGATACCAAAATCTGCTCATACTCCAGTCCCGCCATCGGTACTGCAGAAATCGTGGATATGCAAAGTCGGCCCTCTTTACACGTGGGATTTGCATCCCTCCAATACTGAATTTTCAATCTGTGTTTGGTTGTGAATTTGGAACTGGCTGGTATGGAGGGCTGACTATACTTATTGCAAAAAATTATTGTGTTAAGTGGACCCACTCAGTTCAAACTCACATTGTTTGAGGACCAACTGTATTTTGTTTTTTGCGGGAGACATTTAAAATATTTTCAAAATTCACTTAAATTCAGTGTATTTTAGGCTATTTAATTACTGATATGCCTTTGTATAGCTTTTTTCATGTTTCATGGTTGTGTTGTTTTAATCAAAATTAAAAATTTTGGGGTCATTGTTTCTTCAAACTGCTTTTCTCTTCCCTTCCACTCTCTCTTCTCCTTTTGGGACTTCAATTACTCATATATTAGGCTGCTTAAAATTGTCGCACAGCTCAATGATGTTCTGTACATTTTTTTTTGTCTGCAGTATTAAACTATTTTTAATTCTACATGTTTTTTTTTTTTCTTTACCTAAGACATTGTATTTTTCATCTTCAGAAGTTTGACTTAGGTTATTTTTATATCTACCATGTCTCTTTTTACCATGCTTATGCTTTCCTCTCTTTTTTATAATATGAAATATATTTCTAATCATTGTTTTAATGTTCCTTTTTCCTAATTTCTAATCTTGATAATTTCTTGGTCTGCTTCTACTGATTGATTTTTTTCTTATGATTTTAAGTCATATTTTCTGGCTACTTTCATGATTTTGTGAATTTGGGGCTAGACATTGTGAAATTTACATTGTTTGGTGGTGGATTCTTTTGTATTCCTAAATATTATTGAGCTTTGTTTTAGAGTTTTCAAATAATTTAAAAATAGATTCATCCTTTTGACATTTGTCTTAGGTTTTGTTAGGTAGGACCAGAGCAACTTTTAGTTTAGGGCTACTTTGCCCCAACTACTGAGACAATATCTGCCTGTTGCCTTATATATTCTGAGGTGTTCATTTTTAACTCTGGCTGTTGAGAATGTGAACTATTCCCAGGCCTCTGTGAGCTCTGAAAATTATTTGACCTGCTCCTGGAAAAGTGGTTCTTTTTCCAAATTTGAGTGGTTGCCTCACATGCATGTGCTGATCAACACTAAGCTTAAGACTTAAGGGGGACCCTCCACAGATCTTTGGGTTCTTTTCCTTTGGTGTTTTGATACTATTGTCTTCTATTTGTCTGGTGAATTCCAGCCACCTTGGCTTGCCTAACTTCTCCACTTTGTCTCTCAACTCAGGAAAACCATCTCATTTCTTTCCTTTCCTCTCAGAGATCATTGTCCTGTATTGGCTGTTATCTAATGTCTGATAAATATTATTTCATATATTTATCTGATTTTTTTAGTTACTCCATCTCAGCCAGAAATGGCGTCCTGAAGGTCAGTATATTTTAGGGCTCCTAAGTGAGAGGAATGATTTCCAACTTTCTATTAGTATATCCTAAAAATGTTTAATATACAATATTTAAAGGTATTTATGTAAACAATTGAAATCTTTCTTGGGGGAAATTAAAACAACAAAACTTGATTGCATATTGTGATTTCATATTTTGCAAATGTTAATATTTAATCATATGCAGAGCCATTTAGCTTAAGTGCATTAATGTAACTCATTTAAAAGAGGCCAGTAATTGTCCTATTAACTCCCAGTCTGGATATTATCTGCTCTGCCCTGCTGGTAAGGCCAGAGGGGGACTCTTCTATTGGCACCCACAGAGATTGCTCTGATCTGTTGAAAATCCTGTTAAAATCTAATTACTTAGGAGAATCAGCCAGGGAATATCTAATGAGCTCCAGGAAACCCACTAGAAGAAACTCTGTGTTACTAACGAATGAAATGTCTTCTGTCTTTCAATTATACTGATACCACATGAACATAATTGCTGCCTTATAAAATGTGACCCTTGTTTGTTGTTTTTTAATTGTGTGTCATGAATTTTTTCGGTCATGTGAAAATAACTTAATTTCCCATGGAGGAGAAATGATGATGCGAAGCTTAAATAAGTATACTTCATTTCCTCACAAATATTTGATTCTTGTTATCAAATGCTTATTAAAAAGTATGTACATAATTTAGTGAAACCACTACACAGGTGTAAATAAACAAGATGATTAAAAAACCTTGAATTTTTAATCTAGAATGAAAAATGTGTTTATCAAGAAACTCTGAAAAGAATCATTCTCTGCAATCATCTTCAAATATTACCAAAAGAAAATGATTTATTAAAAATGAAAATTCATTTATCTTATTTTGTAAATATACCTTTGAGAATCTTACCATGGTTTACATTTCCTTCTCTCTTTAACAATTAACAACATCTTTTTCTTTTTTTTCCATACCTTACCTAATTTTATATTTCTACTTTGTTGACTTTCCATTCCCCTATATTTAGGACTTTGTTTTCGTTTTCCTATCTTTTGTCTGTTTTTTTTTTTGAGACAGCGTCTCACACTGTCGCCCAGGCTGGCATGTAGTGGCACGATCTTGGCTCACTGCAACCTCTGTCTCCCGGGTTCAAGTGATCTTCCTGCCTTAGTCTCCCTACTAGCTGGGACTACAGGTGCGCACCACCACGCCTGGCTAATTTTTTTTGTATTTTTAGTAGAGATGGGGTTTCCCCATGTTGTCCAGGCTGGTTTCAAACTCCTACCTCAAGTAATTCTCCCACCTAGGCCTTCCAAAGTGCTGGGATTACAGGCATGAGCCACTGCACCAGACCGGGACTTTGTTTTCTTAAAATTACATGGGTAATACGTCATATTGGTTAACAGCACAGGTTTTGGAATCAGATACACCTGATGTATTCAAATCCCAGCTCTTCTATTATTTATCTAATATTTACAACAAATTTCTTAGTCTTCTGAGTCTCAGTTTCCATTTCTGTACAATGGGGACACTAATTATTATGTACAGCATTGCATAAGATTGTTTGGAAGACTCTGTGAAGTATGTAAAGTTATTAGCACAGTATCTTGCATGTTGTAAGAGCTCAAGAAATGGTAGTTATTATTTTTGAAGACTAATTAAATTTTGGAATATGAAAGAATTGTGATATCTAAGATTCATTAAAAACTGATGTAGGGTGAATTTCTATTATCCTAATGTACTTCTATCACCATGCTCCTATTAAATTTGTTGAAAAAATTAAAATGGGTCTATTTTTAGTAGCAGTCAGTGAACTTCATTCCAAAGTTTATCAAGTTTTTAGCCAATGTGTCATTTTATAACATGGATTGATTTCAGCAGATGACACTAGAAACAAAATGTGGTTTGGTGATACATTACTTAGAAAAATACCTGTCTTAGTGACAAATTATTATTAGCATATTATATAAGATTTTAATGATTGAGGAGAAAAAAGACTATTACATATTATTTCAACAATTAACAATGTAACTATTATTTAAAATTATTATCTGGCCTATAGAACTCTGGCAGTTGGAATACTTGTATTGACAGTGCTTTTATTTTCAATCATTTAATAACACTAAAATTAGATTTTCTCTTTTGCCTAATATATAGTCTAAAACATTTTTTTAATCAGACTATTTTGAAGCTTACAAGTTGCCTTGTAAAATGGTTCTTCGCATTATAATTAGATAAGGAGGTAGGATTGTTATAATAATGTTTTCACTTAGAATAGGCTCTTTTATACTTAAAATTTCTTTCTTACATAATTCATTAATTCTTATAGCAACTTTTTGAACTAGCGATACAGTACTATATTATAGGCAAAAAAAGAAGCACAGTTTTTGTATACATGCAGTTCTGATTACATTTCTAGTATAAAAGATGTACATATAAATTACATAAGAATTAGAATGTTTCAACAAATATTTAAATGCTTAAAATATTTCTTTAGTTAACACTTTATATAGATTTTGTTTGGCTTGTGGTAGCACTTTGGGAGGCCAAGGTGGAGGCCAGGAGTTCTTGACTAGCCTGGGCAACATGGTGAAACCCCATCTTTAAAAAAAGAAAAAAAGGCTGGGCATGGTGGCTCATGCCTGTAATCCCAGCACTTTGGGAGACTGAGGCAAATAGATCACTTGAGGCCAGGAGTTCGAGACCAGTGTGGACAACATGGTGAAACCCCATCTCTACTAAAAGTACAAAAATTAGCCAGGTGTGGTGGTGCATGCCTGTAATCCCAGCTACTTGGGAGGCTGAGGCAGGAGAATCGCTTGAAGCTGTGAGGCAGAGGTTGCAGTGAGCCAAGATCATGCCACTGACTCCAGCCTGGGTGATACAGTGAGACTCTGTCTCAAAATAAATAAATTAAAAAAAATAAAATAACAAAAGAAAAAAATTAAATTTAAAAATCCAATTGAGAGATAATAGTACTATTTGGCAGGGGAAGATGTCAGAATTAATGAATTTATGGTCATTTTTACTGTTTGTTGAAAAGTTTATAAGTAGTAATAAACATTGTGAACTTTTTTTTTTGGCAGAAATTATTATACTATATTTGAGGACCAAGCACCAGCTAATTTGTTCATACAACAAATATTTATTGAGGGCTTATTATTTGCCAGAATAGGGATGGCTAAGGTTTGAATATATGTGTCCCTCCAAAATTCATATGTTGGAACTTAAACCCCAAGATGATGGTATTAAGAGGTGAGGCCTTTGGGAAGTGATTAAGTCACGAGGGCTCCTCCCTTGTGAATGAGATTAATGCCCTTATGAAAAAGGCTTCAGGCTGCTAGGCACTTCCATCTCATCAGCCATGTGAGGACACAGTGTTCACTTCTTGTGCCCTCTGCTTTCTGCTCTGCGAGGATGCAGCAACAAGGCTCTGTTATGAAGCAGAGAACAAGCCTTCACCAGACATCATATCTGCTGGAGCCTTGATCTTGGATTTCGATTTCCTAGCCTCCAGAAATTTGAGGAATACATTTCTGTTGTTTACTAATTACCCAATCTAAGATATTTTGTTATAGCAGCATGAATGGACTAAGACTGGGTTGTAGTGTTGAACAAGACAGGCAAGGAAGAAGAATGATCAGACTTGTTATTAAAGTGGATACTTTGCTGCAATGTCAATTCATTAAACTTCACTCAGTCTAAGTCCCTGACGGAAAGTGCTTTGGTTGTTGATATTAGCATATGAAACTACTGCCTAAGCCTGACTTTGCTGGGGAATTCATATATAATTTATTAAGTCAACACATCTTTATTAAAACAGTTTCTGTTTAATAGAAAACAAATACTTCACTTTGACAATAGAAGTAAAAGCAAAAAAAAAAAAAAAAAAGTAGCTTTATTTCTTTTCTTTGTGCCTTTCCGAGGTTAAACTCTCCTCAGCAAACTTTAAATGTCCAACTCTCTGTAAAGTATGTCACACTGCTCCCTCACTCCAATTTTGCCTGACCCATGGGTCAGGCACTTGATGAATTAATGTAACTAATAATCTGTTATTCTAATGGTCCATACTTCTAGTTCTGTTGTTGATTCTCCCATGATAATCTGGCATAAAGCAGTCACAGGATCTACCCATTTTCCTGTATAAAAATGAATACAATGTTTTAATTTACCTAGTTAAAATGTATTGAGGATTATAAGATATTCGTTTGAACTATTTATTCCTTAACAATTTATTTTTATTTCTTATTTTTTGATTTTTTTGATTCTTCAACCAAGACAGCAGAAGAGGTGATTTACTGTATGCTTGTTACACTTGGCCACAAGTGAACACAGAAATGAGCCCAGAATGTTACAGGTCCAGGGTAAATGACCAACAGGGACTGTTTTGGTATGAGCAAGGTAGGTCTCTCAGAGGTGGTCTTGGTGATCAGATGGTGATGGAACTTCTAGGTCCTTTGAGAGACAAGTTCTAGACAGTAGCATGTTGTCCAACAACTTATACTGGCATCCCCAGCCTCTGGCACTCCATGTTTCTGCTCCTGGGGCCTCCATGGGTGCACAAGCTAGCGGTTTACTTGGACACCCGTGCCTCATCTTTTGAGCTTCAGCCTGCACATTTGCTTCTTCCTCCACTTGGCTCTCATGGAGCAGAGGTTTCCAAGAGGATGGTGCTAAGGCCGAAAGAAAGCTTATTTTTTATTTATTATTATTATTTTTTACAGACAGGGTCTTTCTCTGTCACCCAGGCTGGAGTGGTACCTTCCTGTGCTCAAGTGATCCTCCCACTTTAGTTTCCTGAGTAGCTAGGACTAAAGATGTGAGCCACTGTGGTCAGCAGTTCGAACTATTTGAAATAGCTGACATTTGATCATTTTTTTGACCTACAGAAAAACAAAAATTTTAGACAATTCAAACTAATAATTTTTGCTGAGGTGTTTTAACTTGACCAAAAATGTGATAAAGTTACCAAAATAATCACAACTGCAAATATGTTAATTACATTACTGTTGATAGTTTTCTTTCTACCTTTCTTTCTATTTCACCTTGATTGCTGATATTTGCCTTGCTTTCTTCACTGAATGGTATTTTATTACCAAAAAATTAATTGAGTAATATACCTGTCACTCTAAATACTAAATTATATATTTTTTAGTGTTAATGAGCCGAGAGTCCAATAGGCTAGGTCTAGCAAGCAGTATTATTTGACTTCTTTAAGGACTTTTAAGCATCAGGGTATAGTGAGTAGTATTTAATTTCCAAATTTAGTTACAGTTTAAAAAAATCAATTTATTTCACTATTAGAAAGTATACCTAAAACTAATTTTCATTGTTTCTGACAATTTGGAAGTCTTCATTAGTTTATAATTTGGAAATTATTACTGTGTTTACCCTGAAAACTAGAATTTCAAGCCCTGTTACACTCATTTCTGATTTATTCTGATACTACTCTGGAATAATCTTATAATCTTTGCAAAATACAGTTATGACAAAATGTTTTCTCCAGAAGTTTATTATTCTATCTCTGAAGAAAATGTAACATCCCCAAAGTTTTTTTTTTCCAGAAAGGCCAAAGATTATAATTCTTTTATTTTCTAAATATAAAGCAACCCCACTGAATGAGCTACAGCTCCCCTAAGGTAGATCTCGAGCTGTTCTCTGTTTCACATCTTTTAAGGCAAGTCAACATAATTTAATTTGCCTAGCATTTGCCAAGAAATATGGCTGAAAAAGAGAGATGTAACCTGGTTCTTTATGCAAATATCAGGAAACCCTGATAGCTAGCTATTTATCAGTCAGTCAATCTAGGAGCCCTAAACAAGTAACTCAAATTAGTAGTCCCCAAATTTAAGACCTATGCCTAGGCCTTCACGGGTTAACAGCAAAATGAAAAAACTAAGGACAATATAAATTTTCCATAAACCAAAATTTATTAAACTTAAATGAATGTTTATATTTTTTCTCCTTTTTACTTTTTGTTTTTAATACAGCCTATCTTTTATGAAATTATACTAATTTTTTTTAACTGTTTCTATTTGCTAAGATAAACAGCAATCCCATGTGATGTCCCCAAATCTCTTTTGAAATATCCTTGAAATCCTAAACTCTTGGAAGCACCTATTACTTTTATATATCTGTTTTCTCACCTGTTAGATGGAGGGTATTCATTCTTATTCCATTGGATCAGCGTGAAGGTTATATGAGATCTGTAGGTGGAAGTGGCTGGGACAGTACCTGGCACTTTATACATACTCCCAACATTAGTTCAATTGAAAACCTTGTTCATGTCCTTCGCCCACTTTTTGATGGGGTTGTTTGTTTTTTTCTTGTAAATTTGTTTGAGTTCATTGTAGATTCTGGATATTAGCCCTTTGTCAGATGAGTAGGTTGCGAAAATTTTCTCCCATGTTGTAGGTTGCCTGTTCACTCTGATGGTAGTTTCTTTTGCTGTGCAGAAGCTCTTTAGTTTAATTAGATCCCATTTGTCAATTTTGGCTTTTGTTGCCATTGCTTTTGGTGTTTTGGACATGAAGTCCTTGCCCACGCCTATGTCCTCAATGGTAATGCCTAGGTTTTCTTCTAGGGTTTTTATGGTTTTAGGTCTAACGTTTAAATCTTTAATCCATCTTGAACTGATTTTTGTATAAGGTGTAAGGAAGGGATCCAGTTTCAGCTTTCTACATATGGCTAGCCAGTTTTCCCAGCACCATTTATTAAATAGGGAATCCTTTCCCCATTGCTTGTTTTTCTCAGGTTTGTCAAAGATCAGATAGTTGTAGATATGCGGCATTATTTCTGAGGGCTCTGTTCTGTTCCATTGATCTATATCTCTGTTTTGGTACCAGTACCATGCTGTTTTGGTTACTGTAGCCTTGTAGTATAGTTTGAAGTCAGGTAGTGTGATGCCTCCAGCTTTGTTCTTTTGGCTTAGGATTGACTTGGCGATGCGGGCTCTTTTTTGGTTCCATATGAACTTTAAAGTAGTTTTTTCCAATTCTGTGAAGAAAGTCATTGGTAGCTTGATGGGGATGGCATTGAATCTGTAAATTACCTTGGGCAGTATGGCCATTTTCACGATATTGATTCTTCCTACCCATGAGCATGGAATGTTCTTCCATTTGTTTGTGTCCTCTTTTATTTCCTTGAGCAGTGGTTTGTAGTTCTCCTTGAAGAGGTCCTTCACCTCCCTTGTAAGTTGGATTCCTAGGTATTTTATTCTCTTTGAAGCAATTGTGAATGGGAGTTCACTCATGATTTGGCTCTCTGGTTGTCTGTTGTTGGTGTATAAGAATGCTTGTGATTTTTGTACATTGATTTTGTATCCTGAGACTTTGCTGAAGTTGCTTATCAGCTTAAGGAGATTTTGGGCTGAGACGATGGGGTTTTCTAGATAAACAATCATGTCATCTGCAAACAGGGACAATCTGACTTCCTCTTTTCCTAATTGAATACCCTTTATTTCCTTCTCCTGCCTGATTGCCCTGGCCAGAACTTCCAACACTATGTTGAATAGGAGCGGTGAGAGAGGGCATCCCTGTCTTGTGCCAGTTTTCAAAGGGAATGCTTCCAGTTTTTGCCCATTCAGTATGATATTGGCTGTGGTTTTGTCATAGATAGCTCTTATTATTTTGAAATACGTCCCATCAATACCTAATTTATTGAGAGTTTTTAGCATGAAGGGTTGTTGAATTTTGTCAAAGGCTTTTTCTGCATCTATTGAGATAATCATGTGGTTTTTGTCTTTGGCTCTGTTTATATGCTGGATTACATTTATTGATTTGCGTATATTGAACCAGCCTTGCATCCCAGGGATGAAGCCCACTTGATCATGGTGGATAAGCTTTTTGATGTGCTGCTGGATTCAGTTTGCCAGTATTTTATTGAGGATTTTTGCATCAATGTTCATCAAGGATATTGGTCTAAAATTCTCTTTTTTGGTTGTGTCTCTGCCCGGCTTTGGTATCAGAATGATGCTGGCCTCATAAAATGAGTTAGGGAGGATTCCCTCTTTTTCTATTGATTGGAATAGTTTCAGAAGGAATGGTACCAGTTCCTCCTTGTACCTCTGGTAGAATTCGGCTGTGAATCCATCTGGTCCTGGACTCTTTTTGGTTGGTAAACTATTGATTATTGCCACAATTTCAGAGCCTGTTATTGGTCTATTCAGAGATTCAACTTCTTCCTGGTTTAGTCTTGGGCGAAGGACATGAACAGACACTTCTCAAAAGAAGACATTTATGCAGCCAAAAAACACATGAAGAAATGCTCATCATCACTGGCCATCAGAGAAATGCAAATCAAAACCACTATGAGATATCATCTCACACCAGTTAGAATGGCAATCATTAAAAAGTCAGGAAACAACAGGTGCTGGAGAGGATGTGGAGAAATAGGAACACTTTTACACTGTTGGTGGGACTGTAAACTAGTTCAACCATTGTGGAAGTCAGTGTGGCGATTCCTCAGGGATCTAGAACTAGAAATACCATTTGACCCAGCCATCCCATTACTGGGTATATACCCAAATGACTATAAATCATGCTGCTATAAAGACACATGCACACGTATGTTTATTGCGGCACTATTCACAATAGCAAAGACTTGGAACCAACCCAAATGTCCAACAATGATAGACTGGATTAAGAAAATGTGGCACATATACACCATGGAATACTATGCAGCCATAAAAAATGATGAGTTCATGTCCTTTGTAGGGACATGGATGAAATTGGAAACCATCATTCTCAGTAAACTATCGCAAGAACAAAAAACCAAACACCGCATATTCTCACTCATAGGTGGGAATTGAACAATGAGATCACATGGACACAGGAAGGGGAATATCACACTCTGGGGACTGTGGTGGGGTCGGGGGAAGGGGGAGGGATAGCATTGGGAGATATACCTAATGCTAGATGACACGTTAGTGGGTGCAGCGCACCAGCATGGCACATGTATACATATGTAACTAACCTGCACAATGTGCACATGTACCCTAAAACTTAGAGTATAATAAAAATAAATAAATAAATAAATAAATAAATAAATAAATAAATAAAAAGAAAACCTTGGTGTAGGCTCAAGATTTCATCCAGTTTTCTTTTGTGGAGAATGAAGATTATAAGTTCAGATTGGGACGCTACTTGGTACATAGTAGATGTCAAATAAATATTTTTCGTCTATGGAATACTAAAGTAGAAGAGTCTTGTAGGCAGATTGATAGGAGGGTCAGGAGTACTAGAATGAGTTCTGGACAGGGAATCAGCAGTGCATAGATGGTAACTAAGTCACAAAAATATGAAGACAAGAGGCCCTGGGGCAGACAGTAATGATTTTAAAGCCCACAAAGCTGCACTGCCTCCTCAACAAACACGAAAAGGAAGGACAAACGTTTGTGACATCCCACTACGTCCTCATAGCAGTGGTTTGGACCATGTTCCTCTTAATATTTTGGACTTTTTAATCTTCAACGAACGCCTGAAAGTCTTTGGACCCCCCTTGTTGAATCCTTAATTCCAGAGATAGAACCTCTTTTCCTGTGAGGCTTCAGCCACTCTGGGTGCCATTGACATTAGAGATAATTCTTTAGGGTGAACAATATGTCAGAACTAAGAGATTATTTAGGGGGTTCTTGAGTCAAGTGGGGTTATTCCCTGCTAAGAACTATATTATTCTTGACAGCATGCAGCTGAAGAAAAGATGTACATGGGAAGGTTAGGATGAAGGAGACCCCAGCCTAGCCAGCCAGAACTAATGAAGCCAGCCTGGCAATCAATGGGGTGACAGATGTTGTAGCCAGATCACTCTCACACCCAGAAGAAATGTGTGATTTTCCTACTTCTGTGTAAAAGGGCAGCCAGAAAGACCTTTTTACAGCCCAGCCTTTGTTACCAGCTGTCTGGCTGTTGGTAGGGCTTGTCTTTGTTTATGGCACCCTCGCCATTGCATCCCAAGGGTTCATTTACTTGACAAACTTCATTCTCATGTGCTGGGTCAGTCTGTCAGTTTGAATAGTTTTAAAGTTTTCTTGGCCTGGCTTTCCTTCCTAGATTTCTTCTTATTGAGAGTGGGCCCCAGCTAAACTGTGAAGTTGAAAAAGTTCATTGTCCACAACTCTGGGATTCTTTCTGCGACCCTCACTCCCTGGCCCCCTGATGCCTTCTCCCTTTTGAGAGACCACACACCATATTTATAAAGTCCTTGCCTTCGTGGAGATCAGACAGTTTGATAAATCAATACACTACAATATTTATGGCAAATGCAACTTTCTCAGACCCCTAACAAGCTAATCTGTGTTCACATCCACCCTTTACTTCTAGTTTCAATGTGTATTAGTCAGGGTTCTCTAGAGGGTTAGAACTAATAGGATATATGCATATATGAAAGAGAGTTTATTTTTTATTTTCTATTTATTTATTTATTTATTTATTTGAGACAGAGTTTCACTCTTGTTGCCCAGGCTGGAGTGCAATGGCACGATCTCGGCTCACTGCAACCTCCGCCTCCCGGGTTCAAGCAATTTTCCTGCATCAGCCTCCCCAGTATCTGGGATTACAGGCTTGTGCCACCATGCCTGACTAATTTTTGTATTTTTAGTAGAGATGGGGTTTCACCATGTTGGCCAGGCTAGTCTCGAACTCCTGACCTCAGGAGATCCACTCGCCTCGGCCTCCCAAATGCTGAGATTACAGGTGTGAGCCACCGCACCCGGCCAAAAGAGAGTTTATTAAGGAGAACTGACTCACACGATCACACGGTAAAGCCCCACAGTAGGCCGTTTGCAAGCTGAGGAGGAAGGAAGCCAGTGATGGATCAGTCTGAGTCCCAAAACCTCAAAAGTAGGGAAGCCCAGTGCAGCCTTCAGTCTGTAGCCAAAGTCTCAAAGGCCTCTGGCAAACCACTGGTGTAAGTCCAAGAATCCAAAAGCTGATGTTTGAGGGCAGGAAGCATGCAGCACAGGAGAAAGATAAAGGCCTGAAGACTCAGCAAGTCTGCTCCTCCATTTTATCCTGCCTGCTTTATTCTGGCTGCACTGGCAGCTGATTAGATGGTGCCCACCCAGACTGAGGGTGGGTCTGCCTGTCCTGGTCCAATGACGCGATTTTTTTTTTCTTTTTTTTTTTTTTTTTGAGACACAGTCTTGCTCTGTGCCCAGGCTGGAGTGCAGTGGCACGATCTTGGCTCACTATAAACTCCACCTCCCAGGTTAAAGCGATTCTCCTGCCTTAGCCTCCTGAGTACCTGGGACTACAGGCATGTGCCACCATGCCCGACTAATTTTTGTATTTTTAGTAGAGATGGGTTTTGCCATGTTGTCCAGGCTAGTCTGGACAACAAAACTTTAAAAAAGTATAACTGATAAATGAATTCAGCAAAGTTGCAGGATACAAAATCAACACATAAAAATCAGTCGCATTTCTATACACTAACCTGACCTCATGTGATTCCCCTGCCTCAGCCTCCCAAAGTGCTAGGATTACAGGCTTGAGCCACTGCACCTGGCCAGACAATGCTTATTTTAATTAAAAAATGTTTTTCAGTGATCATGTCTTGATAATTTATAAAACACCTCATTTTCATTCTTCTTCCTGCTGACTTCCCCCACTTGTCATTTACACTGATATGTGAATTTATTGATCTCTCCAAACAAATAAGTCCAGATGGGGACAATATATTTGAGTAGATATGTGCCAACATCATTCTGAAAAATGTTCCCAGAGGTACTGTCACTAAGACAAGTCTGTTTAGAATTTTGTCTATGTAAAGAGAAGAAAGCGATGATTATCCCATAGAAATTAATCTTTTGCGATAGGATTTAAGACCCCTGATTGGGGAAGATGCTTTGGGGTAAGTTGCTGCTCTGAAGCTTTCAAATAAAATCATATAGGTGATTGTGTAGATGAAAAGGCAGTGAATGAGGTTTCAGTAACTGTGCACCAGCTGCACTGCTGGACCCCTTGCCTGTATGGAGGAAAGTTGACTTGGGGAGAATTACAGGACCTAGGAGAAGGATGTTGGTATCTTTCTTTCTTTTTTTTTGTTTGAGACGGAGTGTTGCTCTGTCGCCCAGGCTGGAGTGCAGTGGCACAATCTCGTCTCACTGTAGCCTCTGCCCCCTGGGTTCCAGCGATTCTTCTGCCTCAGCCTCCTCGGTAGCTACGATTACAGGTGCAGGCGACCATGCCTGGCTAATTTTTGCATTTTTAGTAGAGATGGGGTTTCGCCATGTTGGCCAGGCTGGTCTTCGACTCCTGACTTCAGGTGATCCACCCGCCTTGGCCTCCCAAAGTGCTGGTATTACAGGTGTGAGTCACCACATCTGGTTGGATGTTGGTTTCTTAATGCCCACACAGAGATAAGAGATTTGGCTAATAAGCCTATGCAAGGTACAGAACCTGAAATTGTTGCCCCTGTATACAGCCTAGAACTTAGAGGTTCTTACACTCACAGGTTAGAAAAACTCTTCCTCTTCCTCTGTCCCAGATATGTGGTAAAGAAGTTTGCCATCTGTCTGGGGGCATTGCCATCTGTCCAGGGAACTGAAATCTCAGGTTTATGCTGTATGTATGTGTGGGGCTTAAATTTATTCTACGTGCGTGATGTAGGATTCATAATTCAAGAAATAATCCAGGACTATTGATACCATTGGAAGAAACATGTCTGCAGAAACAACTGAAAATATTGTGTCATTGTCCATACCTTTAAAACGCAGAGGCACCTATCTCTGCCATAGAGTATATAAAATCCTCTAAAAATGAAATAGAAAAAAATTACAAACCTTACAAGAAAAAACCCTCCATGAGGAAGAGTTAGCAGATGTAACTAATAGTATTTGCACACTAAGAACCAGAAATAATAGAATAATTTGAAAGAGCTTGTAAAATAAATGTTTATAATGATATAAAAATTAAAGGAAGAATAGAAGCCATACTGAAGAAAGTGCAATTGTATAAAAAATGTGCAAGTAACAAAAATGTGGTACAAAATCTATATGAGGAAAATCACAAAACTTTAAAAAAGCATAACTGATAAATGAATGTAGCAAAGTTGCAGGATAAATCAGTCGCATTTCTATACACTAACATGAAAAATTCAAAAAGGAAATTCAGTAAACAATTCTATTTATAATAGTATCAAAAAGAATAAAACACTTTAAGAATAACCTAACCAAAGAGATGAAAGACATGTACACTGAAAACTACAAAACATTGCTGAAAGAAGTTTAAAAAGACAAACAAATGGAAAGACATCCCATATTCATGGATCAGAAGTCTTAATATTGTTAAGATGTCCATACTACCCAAATCAATCTACAATTCACTATAATCCTTTCAAAATCCCAATGACATTTATTGCAGAAATAGAAAAATTTATCCTAAAATTTACGGAATCTCAAGGGACCCCAAAAGCTAAAAATTTTTTAAAAAGAACAAAGTTGGAAGATTCACACTTCCTGATTTCAAAGTATATTACAAAGCCATGGTAATCAAAACAATGTGGTATTGACATAAAGACAGATGGAACAATAAAATGGCATAAACAGCCTAGAAATAAACCCTCCACATAAGGTCAAATGATCTTTGACAAGAATGTCAAGACCACTCAATGGGGGAAAGGACAGCGTCTTCAACAAATGATGTTGATAAAAGGAGATATTCAAATGCTAAAGAGTGAAATTAGACCCTTATCTTACATCATATTCAAAAATTAACTCAAAATAGATTAAAGACCTAAACATGAGACTCAATACTATAAAATCCCTTGAAGAAGGCCGGGCACAGTGGCTCATGCCTGTAATCCCAGCACTTTGGGAGGCTGAGGTGGGCAGATCACCTGAGGTCAGGAGTTCAAGACCAGCCTGACCAACATGGAGAAACCCCGTCTGTACTAAAAATACAAAATTAGCCGGGTATGTTGGCACATGCCTGTAATCCCAGCTACTCAGGAGGCTGAGGCAGAAGAATCATTTGAACCCGGGAGGTGGAGGTTGCGGTGAGCCAAGATTGCACCATTGCACTCCAGCCTGGGCAACAAGAGCAAAACTCTGTCTTAAAAAAAAAAAATCCCTTGAAGAAAACAGGGGAAAAGTTTTATGACATTGGACTTTGCAACGATCTCTTGGCTATGACAGTGAATGCACAGTAACTAAAAGCAAAAATAGGCAAATGAGACTTCATCAAACTTAAATACTTTTGTGCATAAGAGGACACAATCAACAGAGTCAAAGGCACCCTACAGAATAGGGAGAAAATATTTGCAAATCGTAAACCTAATAAGGATTAAATTCACAATATTTAAAGAATTCCTATGACTCAACAACAAAAAAGCAAATAAGCTGATTAAAAAATGGAAAAAGACTTAAATAGATGTTTCTCCAAAGAGGATGTACAAATTGCCAACAAGCATATGAAAAGATGCTCAACATTACTAATCATTAGGGAAGAGCAAATCAAAACAACAGTGAGATATACCTGATACTCATTAGAATGGCTACTTTAAAAAAACAATAACAAGTGTTGGTGAGAATGTAGAGAAATTGGAACCCTTATAGGATTGTAAAATGGTGCAACTGCTATGGAAAACAGTATGGAGTTTCATTAAAAAATTAAAAATAGAACTACCATATAATCTAGCACTCTCACTTCTGGATATATATATCTGATATGGTTAGGCTTTTTGTCCCCACCCAAATCTCATCTTGAATTGTAATTCCCATAATCCCCATGTGTTGAGCTAGAGACCTGGTGGGAGGTGATTGGATCATGGGGGTGGTGTACCCCATGCTGTTCTTGTGATAGAGAGTGAGTTCTTATGAGAGCTGATGGTTTTATAAGCCTCGATAGCTCCTCCTTCACACACTCACTCTCTCACCTGCTGCCATGTAAGATGTGCCTCTTCTCCTTCCTCCATGATTATGTTTCCTGAGGCCTCCCAAGCCACGTGGGACTGTGAGTCAATTAAACTTCTTCTTTTTTTTTTTTTTTTGAGACAGTCTCACTCTGTTGCCCCAGCTGGAGTGCAATGGCGCGGTCTCAGCTCATTGCAACCTCCGCCTCCTGGGTTCAAGCGATTCTCCTGCCTCAGCCTCCCGAGTAGTTGGGATTACAGGAATGCGCCACCATGCCTGGCTAATTTTTGTATTCTTGTAGAGACGGTGTTTCACCAAGTTGGCCAGGCTGGTCTCAGACTCCTGACCTGCCTGCCTCGGCCTCCCAAAGTGCTAGGATTACAGGCGTGAGCCACCATGCCTGGCCTAAACTTCTTTTCTTTATAAATTACCCAGTTTCAGATATGTCTTTATTGGAGGGTAAAAATTGACTATTATAATATCCAGCAGAACAGAAAGTAAAGTTTCAGAGAGACATTTGTATACCCATGTTCATAGCAGCATCCATTTATGCCTAGTGTTCCATTAGCAGAACACTAAGCATGTGGGAGTTATATCCTACTGCTCAAGGTCAGTGCCAAGGTCTGATTTTTCACATATGTCATAAAATTCAAAAGCTTGCAACTTCAGGCATAAATGGGTTTAAGCAGCATTAGTCACAGTAGTTAACAGTAGGAAACAACCCAAATGTCCATCAATGGCCAAATGAATAAACAAAATGTAGTATGGACATGCAATAGAATATTATTCAACCTTAAAAAGGAAGGGAATCTTGTCACATGCTAACATGAATAAACCTAGAGGAAATTATGTTAAATGAAACAAATTGTCCACAGACAAATACTGCATGATTGTATTTATATGAGGTATGTAACGTTATTAAATTTATAGAAACAGAAAGTAAAATGGTGATTACACACATTTACCTATGTAACAAACCTGCACATCTTGTAAATGTACCCCTGAACTTAAAATAAAAGTTAAAAAAAGAATGGTGATTACAAGGGACTAGTGGGAGAGAGGAAAGGGCATTTGTTTAATGTGTATAGTTTCAGATATGCAGGATAAAAAAGTTCTGGAGAACTGTTTCACAACAACATGAATGTATTTAACACTATTGAACTGTATAATTAGAAATAGTTAAAATGGTAAAAGAAAAGGGGAAGAAATATGTGAATCAATTAAAAATTACATAAACATGCCTCAATGACAATATTAAGTGTACATGAATGTTTGTTACATTATTCTGTTACTTTTACATACATTAGAAATATTTTATAATAAAAGTAATTTATTGCTCTTAAAAATTCTGATGAAAGAAATAAAAGTACAACTAAATACTGGAAGGGATTCTCCATGTTCATGGACAGGAGTCTCAATATTGTCAAGATGTCTGTTCCTTCCAGCTTGATTTATAGATTCAATGCAATCTAAAATGCCTGCAAGTTATTTTGTAGATATTGACCAACTGATTTTAAAGTTCATATAGAGAGGCAAAAGACCTAGGATATATAACACAATAATGAATTAGAAGAACAAAGTCAGAGGACTGACACTTCTTGCCTTTAAGACTTACTATAAAGCTACAGTAACCAGGACAGTGTGGTATTGGTGAAAGAATCGACAAATAGATCAATGACAGAATAGAGGGCCTAGAAATAGACCCCCATAACTACAGTCAACTGATCTTTGACAAAGGGGCACAGGTAGTACAATGGAGAAAAAACCATCTTTTCAACAAATGGTGTTGGAACAAGAGGACATCCACATGCAAAAAAATGAATCTAGACACAGATTTTACCCCGTCACAAAAATTAACTCAAAGTGGATTATAGATCAAAATGTAGAACACAAAACTATAAAACTCCTAGAAAATAACATAGCAGAAAATCTAGATGACTTTGGGCATGGCAATGACTTTTTAAATAAAACACCGAAGACATAGTCCATGAAAGAATTAATTGATCAGCTAGAGTTATTAAAATTAAAATTCCTGCTCTGTGCAAAAGACACTGTCAAGAGAATGAGAAGAGAGGCCACAGACAGGAGGAAAATATTTGCAAAAGGCATATCTGATACAGGACTGTTATCCAAAATATACAGATAACTCTTACAAGTCAACAATAAGAAAACAACCCAATTAAAAAATAGGCCAAAGATGTGAAAAAATACCTCACCAAAGAAGGTCTACAGATGGCAAAAAGCATACAAAATGCTTTTGGATTTTGGATCATATGATAAAAGTATGTTTAGCTTTATAAGCAACTTCCAGACTATCTTCCAAAGTGGCTGTACCATTCTGTGTTCTCACCAGCAATGAAATAGAGTTCCTGTTGCTCCATATCTTTGCCAGCATCTAGTGTCATCATTGCTTTGGATTTTGGCAGAACAGCCCCATAGCTAGTTCTGGCCAATCAGCCCTAAGAAGAGGTCATTTTGGGGTCAAAGTATTTAATTGCAGATATGAGGAATGTCAGTGCATATTTCTTGTTTTGTTGACACAGGGAGCCACTCATTTAAAATAGTGGAGTTTCCTCCACCAGAGGGGATGCATCATGACTATCTTGTTCTGCTTTCCATATAATACTTGCTTTCTAGCTGCCTTGCAGCTTGGGATGGCCATGGGCCTCATTTTGACCAATGAGACATAAAGTAATGCCTGATATAGGGCTTTTGGGAATGTTTTTCTTCTCAGATAAAATAGAAGAGCTTCCTGAGTAGAAAGCTTTTTATGCCCTTCTTCTCTGCTTGGTACAGTGGTGTAGGGACATTATGTTGGGAACTGTGGCATCTCCATTTATTCATGAGACAACAACCATAGGACCAAGGAGAGTGAGGAGCAGAAGAACAGAAAGAACCTGTGTCCTCGATGACATAATTGAGCTACTGCTCTAAGCTTTCGACTCTGGAGCACCCAACCTCCAGCTTCTAGTTATGTAAGATGAAGGTCATTATTGCTTAAGTCACTATTAATAGAGTGTTCTGATACATTTCACATTGTTTCCAGTCATCCATGTAATATTTTAAAAAATTGACTCATACTGGGCCAGAAGGAAGTTTAACGTATTCTTAAGAACCAAACCCAGACAGAACATGCATTCCAGTTATAAGATAATAAAAAGTGAATATCAAAAGAGAGTTTAAAAGCCCTTACATTTTAGAATCTAAAAAACATACTTGTACTTTCAAATTCATAGATCTAAGAAGAAAGTGCAATGGGAACTATGGAATATTTAGAACTGAATACCAGTGAAAACACTACATATCAAAACACAGAGCAGCAGAAGCATACTTAGAGGAAAATGCAGTGTAGCTTAAATTCATGTATTAGTAAATAAGAAATATTAAAAATTAGTGAACTAGAGACAGAAAGTAGTATGGTGGTTGCTAGGGGCTAGAGGTGGGGGGGAATGAAGAGTTATTGTTTAGTGGGTACAGAGTTTCAGTTTGGGAAGATGCAAAAAATTCTGGAGATGGATGGTGGTGATGGTTATATAATGTAAATGTACTTAATGCCACAAACTGTATCCTTAAAATAGTTAAAATGGTAATTTTACCATGATAGAAAAATTTTTGTAAAAAATTTATTGAAATAAAGATTAGCTCAAGAAATTAGAATCAAAATAAACCCTCAAAAGGAAAAGGAAGAAATGATAAAGGTAAGAAGATAATTTAATTAAATAGAAAAGAAAAATAGAGACAAATCCCACAAACTAAAAGATGGTTAGGAAAACCTCTAAATAGATTTGTTAAGAGAAAAAAAACAGTAGAAATGACAAAGAAGGGAGTGGCTTATTGAGTCCATTGCCTCAGTGACATCTAGTAAGATAAGGACCATGACATGTCCTTTTGAATCGGCAACAAGTATGGAGTGGCAAGGGCAATCTCAGCAAAATGCTAAGGTCAGATGCTTCAGTTGCTGTTTTTGTTTAATGAATAGGTGAGGAAGAATTGAAAACATTGAGCGTAGCTAATTTTTATTTATTTATTTATTTATTTATTTATTTATTTTGAGACAGAGTCTCGCTCTGTCGCCCAGGCTGGAGTACAGTGGCATGATCTCCTCTCACTGCAGCTTCCTCCCAGGTTTAAGCAATTCTCCTGCCTCAGCCTCCTGAGTAGCTGGGATTACATGTCTATGCCACCACACCCAGCTAATTTTTGTATTTTTAGTAGAGATGGGGTTTCACCATGTTGGTCAGGCTGGTCTTGAACTCCTGACCTCAAGTGATCCATCAGCCTCGGACTACCAAAGTGCTCGGGTACAGGCATGAACCACCATGCCCGGCCAAGTGTAGAAAATTTTTTAGTGAAACTATTGTGAAGGAAAGGAGAGAGTGTGGGAGAGTAAGAGAACAAGGGAGAAAGCATACTAACCAGAGGGGGGAGTCATAGCACTCCTATTCACGGTTGAGGGATTTTCCAATAGTTTCCAGCAACCTGTGTGAAAGAAGGAAAGAAACTGGTGTAGCATAATGGTTGGGGGACCTGCCCTTAGTGGCCATATTTTAATCACATGACACTACTTTTTCTGGCCACTGCTGATTAGTGGGGGTAAGGTGACCACTCAGATTCTCTCTCAAGAATTTGTCCTAGGAGAGAGACAGAGATCATATTCCATTGGTGTGCTGGACTTTTGTGATAAAGACCTGAGGCTGGTAGTCATGCAGGATTCGTGCATCTAGAAGAAGCTTCTTAAGAGAAAATTAGTAAGAAGAGTGGATGGGGGAGGGATGGAAAGAAGAGGGGAAAAACGGAGGGTAGGGAAGGACAAGAGAGGGGCAGAGGGGAACCAAGAGGACAAACAGAGACAGGAAAATAGAAGCAGCAGAGGTGAGAAACACCATGGGGGATCTAAGAGAGAGAACAAAGTTTCAATTATTTTTAAAGCTTCATTTCTAAATCTTGCTTCCGTGAATTCTAGCTCTATCAATATGTGGATCGGGAAAATTGCCCTTTTCAAATCTTATAATAAATATCTATTCTTTGCAACAAAACAGCTTGACAATTATGATAGTAATATCTTAGGCCTTGAGAATGACATGATAAGGCCATAGGCATGGGAATTTAAATCCAATTGAACCAGGGAGAAATCATGATGAGAGCGGTACCTAACATCAATGAAAGTTAAAATTGCAGGAATAGGCCACCACAAGTTAATGGTAGAAGGAAAGTGAAGTATGAATTAACCAACAGACCAACTAACTAATTCACCTATCAATCTCAGGGGTAACTTTAGCCAAGATGGATCTAACTAAATCTTGCCATGTCACCTGTCTTCTTACCAAATCAGTCTTTCCCTTTTACTTAAAAATAGTTAAATAAAATTCTTTAAAGAAAGTGCCTTACACAAGACTGCAAGTGAATGTCAGCCCCAATTAACAACAAGTTTAGAAGAGGCGGATAGAGTAAATTAAAGCTTTTGGCAGCAGGAAACACTCGATATCTTTCTCCTTGCTGTGGCATATTATAGTTTCCAAAGGTGGTGGCAGCAATACATTCCCTATTCCACATGTTCTTCTACTATATGATGCTGACATGTTTTCATTGAGAGGTGATATCTATATTCCCCTTACTGCAGAATTTTTTTTTTTTTTGAGACGGAGTCTTACTCTATTGCCAGGCTGGAGTACAGTGGCACGATCTCAGTTCACTGCAACCTCCACCTCACGAATTCAAGCAATTCTCCTGCCTCAGTCTCCCGAGTAGCTGGGACTACAGGTGCGCACCACCACGCCCGGCTAATTTTTGTATTTTTAGTAGAGACGGGGTTTCACCATGTTAGCCAGGATGTTCTCGATCTCTTGACCTCATGATCCACCCGCCTTGGCCTCCCAAAGTGCTGGGATTACAGGCGTGAGCCACCATGCCCAGCCAAACCCGTGCAGAATTTTTTAACTGCCTTGGTCAATAAAAGCTGCATTTCAGAGATGTTGCATTACTTCTGAGGCCAGTCATAAAAGACAGCTTTTACAAGGCTCTCTCTCTGGGGATGCTTGCAGTTGGAGCCCAACTACCATGTAATGAGGAAGCCCAGACCACAAAGAAATGGCATGTATGGGTGTTTTGGCTGACAGCCTCAGCTGGACCCCCAGCCAACAGCTAGCACCAAATGAGAGTAAGTGAACTTTTAGACAATTCCAAATTTCAAGTCTTCTAGCTAAGGCTGCAGGAATCACATAGCACATGCTGTCTCCACTGTGCTCTGTCTATATTTCTGACCTGTAGAAACTATGAGAGATGGCTGGGCGCAGTGGCTCACGCCTGTAATCCCAGCACTTTGGGAGGCCGAGGTGGGTGGATCACCTGAGGTCGGGAGTTCGAGACCAGCCTGACCAACATGGAGAAACCCCGTCTCTACTAAAAATACAAAACTAGCCGGGCATGGTGGTGCATTCCTGTAATCCCAGCTACTCGAGCCTGTAATCCCAGCTACTCGGGAGGCTGAGGCAGGAGAATTGCTTGAACCCGGGAGGTGGAGGTTGCGGTGAGCTGAGATCACGCCATTACGCCATTCCACTCCAGCCTGGGCAACAAGCACGAAACTCTGTCTCAAAAAAAAAAAAAAAAGAAAAGAAAAGAAACTATGAGGGATAAGAAGAGATAATACATGATTATTATTATTGTTTTAAGTCACCAAGTTTTGGGATAATTTGTTATGCAGCAATAGATAATGAATACATTTCTCACAAATAAACCCAAATCATAAAGCTGGTGCTGAACAAGGCCAGGCTTTCTTGAAAAAAAAAAACTTTTATATTATTATGGAACAAATACCTAAGTTTTAGTGACATTCCTGTCTAACTTCGCCTTTGGGGAGTGAAAAGATTGTTTGTTATTTTAACCTAGAAAATTAGTTTCTATTACAGCCCTCCATGACAGAATCCAGAATCTAGATAACAGTCACTGATGCAAAATTGACATCTTCATGAATTATTGGACTTTTAGATTTCTCTGTCCCCCAAATCTCACCTTGTACTTTGTACATAGTAAGTACATAATGAATTCTGAATTGAATTGTGTTTTCCATATAAAGCAAGTGACTTTACAGGGTACTGGCAGTGAAAATGCCAGGATTTCTGCGAGAATGATAACAGTTTTAAAATAAGCCATTTGACAATATTTTGAGCAATTTCAGTGGCAATACCAAAAGAGTTGCCTGTAGTGACATTAAAGCCCTTTCTTTATAACTTCTACAAGACAACCCCTGGCCCCCACCCCCAATAAATGCATTCTAATTAAAAACAATGTGCTTGCTCTGGAAATGCAACTTCAAGACTGAAAGTCTGAGAATGAATGCCAGCATAGTCAAATTCTGGTGAGAGCCCACTTCCAGGTTGCAGACCATCAACTTCTTGTGACATCACATGGCAGAAGGGGTGAGGAAGCTCTGTTTCTTTCAAAATGTCACTAATCCTATTCACCAGGGCTCTGCCCTCATGATCTAATCACCTCCCAAAGGCCCCCACTTCCTAATACTATCACATTGGGAGTTAGGATTTCAACATATACATTTTGGGGGTACACAAACATTCAGTTTGTAAATAAGGTTAATTTCTCTTCCACTGTTGCTTATACCCTTTTCAAATTCTACCTCAGCCTTTATGAGCTCAGATAAATGTTAAAGAGTAAGCAAATAACGCTATGACAGCCTGTATTGTAGATGGCCCAGCTTTTTTTTTGGCTGGGGTAGGGCACGGAGGATATGAGATGTTAATAAAAATAATTAAAATTTGGCTGGGCACCGTGGCTCACGCCTGTAATTCCAGCACTTTGGGAGGCCGAGGCAGGTGGTTAGGAGATCGAGACCATCCTGGGTACCACGGTGAAACCCCATCTCTACTAAAAATACAAAAAATTAACTGGGCGTGATGGCACGCGCCTGTAGTCCCAGCTACTCGGGAGGCTAAGGCAGGAGAATCACTTGAATCTGGGAGGCAGAGGTTGTGGTGAGCTGAGGTCATGCCACTGCACCCCAGCCTGGGCACAGAGCAAGATTGTGTCTCAAAAATAAATAAATAAATAAATAAAATAAAATAAATTTTTTTATTAGAGAAAAATACATATAGCATAAAATTTGCAATTTTCCCCATTTTTTTTTCTTTTCTGGTCTAATTGCTCTGGCTAGAACTTCCAGTTCAGTGTTGAATAGCTGTAGTGAAACCTGGCATTCTTGTCTTGTTCCTAATATTGGGGAAAATATTACAGTTTTTTGGCACTGAGTATGTTAGCTGTTGGGTTTTTTATAAATCACTAACTTGTTGAAGAATTTCTCTTTTATTCCTAGTTTTCTTTGTGTCTTTCTCAGGAAAGAGTGTCGGATTTTGTCAAATGCCTTTTCTGCATCAATCAATATGATCTTTGTGTTGTCTCCCCTTCATTCTATAGATGTGATATATTACATCATTTGATTTTTCTAGTATTTTGCTGAGGATTTTGGATATTCGTTTAAGATTTTCTTTTCTTGTGATGTCTATTTATTTATTTAGACAGAGTCTTGCTCTGTCACCCAGGGTGAAGTGCAATGGCACACTCTTGGCTCATTGCAACCTCCGCCTCCTGGGTTCAAGCGATTCTCCTGCCTCAGCCTCCCGAGTAGATGGGATTACAGGCTTGAGCCACCAGGTCTGGATAAGTTTTGTATTTTTAGTAGAGATGGGGTTTTGCCCTGTTGGCCAGGCTGGTCTCGAACTCCTGACCTCAGGTGATCCACCCGCCTCAGCCTCTCAAATTGCTGGGATTACTGGCATGAGCCACTGCGCCTGGCCTCTTGTGATGTCTTTATCTGGCTTTGATATCAGGGTAATTCTGTTTTCATAGAATGATTTGGGAAATGTTCATTCCTCTTCTATTTATTGGAGCAGCTTGACAATGATTGATTGTTGTTAATTCTTTAAATGTTTGGTAGAATTCACCAGTGAAGCCAACTGGTCCTGGAGTGTATTTTTGTTGGGAGGTCTTTTTTTTTTTCCTTAATTATTCTTTATTTTTATTTCTATTGAGACAAAGTCTCACTGTGTCACCCAGGTGGGAGTGCAGTGGTGCAATCTCAGCTCACCGCAACCTCTGCCTCCCGGGTTCAAGCGATTCTCCTGGCTCAGCCTCCCGAGTAGCTGAGATTACAGGCGCCCACCACCACACCTGGCTAATTTTTGTGTTTTTAGTAGAGACAAGATTTCACCATGTTGGCCAGGCTGGTCTCAAACTCCTGACCTTAGTTGATCCACTCGCCTCAGCCTTCCAAAGTGCTGGAATTACAGCTGTGAGCCACCACACCCAGCCCTCCTTAATTATTCTCTTTCTCTTTTCTTTCTTCATTTCCTTTTTTCCCTTCCTTTCTTTCTCTTTTCTTTTCTTTTTTCCTTTTTTTGTAGCGACAGGGTCTTACTGTGTTGCCCAGGCTGGTCTCGAATCCTGAGCTCAAGTGATCCTCCCACCTTGGCCTCCCAAAGTGCTGGGATTACAGGCATGAGCTATGGCATCCAGCCAAGGTTTTTTGATTACTGATTCAATCTCTTTATTCGTTATAAGTGTGTTGAGATTTTCTGTTTCTTTTTAAGTCAGTTTAGGTCATTTGTGTGTTTCTAGGAATTTGCCCATTTCATCTTGGTTATCTAATTTGTTGGTGTATAGTTACTTGTTCACAGTATTCTTTTATAATTCTTTTTATTTCTGTAAGGTCAATAGTGGCTCCACTTTAACTTCTGATTTTAGTTTTTTATTTGTGTTTTCTCTCTTTTTTACTTTGGATGACCTAGCTTTTAATTTATGAAATCACTTGTCTAATAGCTACCATTCGTTGAACTCATAGTATTTGTTTTTAGAGGTTTAACTGCATGTTAATTAATTCTTACAACTACCCTAAGGGAGTATCACTATCCTCATAGAATAGATGAGGAAACCAAGACTCAGGGAGATTCAGTGTATTTCTCATGGTCATATAGCCAGTAAATGATTGATAAAGCCAGATTTCTAATGACCACTACACCTATTCCTTATATTTAAAGTTTCTTGAAGGGCAAAGATAAATGATAGTTTTGGTGTGATGGAGTTTCCCAGTTGAATTCTGTATAGAGAACAGCAGGTGTAATGAATAGACATTTCTCTTACGGTGAGAATTTTCTCAATATAAATAGGATATATGGAGATAGAGTAATTAGAGAACATGATTTGTATTACATGCAGCTGTTGGTTATACATCCGTTACAGGAGAAAGGTTATTATTCATGCAGCATTGGGAACACATGCATGTTTGTTTTGAGTGGCTGGCTGTTGATTTGGCAACGTATTCTTCCGATTCTTCCTTGCAAATATGAACTGTGCTACTGTTTATTTGGATTCTGTGCTTTTTAAAATACCAAGTTATTAACTTTTTTTGTTTTGTTTCTCATTTGATAACAATGAATCTAAAGTCTCACTGATTTTGATATAATCTTATATGCTGTTTAGAATTTGCTTAAAGGGGATTTGACTAGTATATTTTTAACTTTCAAGAGTAAAATATATTTATGCATTATAACTCCCCTTATTCTTCCTTGTTGCTAGAAACCTGAAACTCTGTAGCTGATTAAACCCTCTTTTATTTCTCATTTACACCATTGTTTTTAGGTTGTTTTCATACTACTGTTTTACGTTGGTTTTATAGGAATGCAAGAAATTACATTATAGAAAGCAAGCTGTACTTCAGAAAAACACACATCAACAGAGGAAGAGAAAGGCTCCATTTCTTTTGAAAATGATGGAAGATTCTTCTCAGAAATCTTTTTAAAAAATCAGTATATTCAGAGATCTGATAGAGACTTTATTTTAGTTCTAGTTTTTTTGGGGAAAAGTTTGCCATGGTTTTGGAGGCTCCTTAAAGTATTAAATCTTGAGCTCTTCTTATCAAAGTCAAGGGAACCTACTGAGTAAAACTATTTTTAAAAGGGAGAAATTTTTATGCTTTCCTTTTAAGAGGTTAATCAATAAACCCAAGTGAACAAGAACCTTTCAAGAGTAATGCATAATTGAATGTGTGTGAATAACACATACTCTCTTCAATAGTGAATAACATTATGAAATCCAGAATTATGAAAATGAGAGCATACCTGGTCCCCTATGCCTGTCTTATGACATCATATAAGGGCATCCCAGCAAATAGACTACCTCTACATGGAAAATATTGAATACATAGTTCCTTGTATCAACAGGCTATCTGGAGGACTTTGCTTTGGACCCCAAAGAGGAGTGTAATTATGAATAGAGAGGGAAAAGGGATGATGGATAGTTACATGTGGATTGTGATGAAGAGGGCAAGAACAGGACTTCTATTTTTCTAGCCAAGCATGAAATATGATTGCTTTCAGCATGCTGGACATACCCCTATCATGATCCCAAAATGTTTTGTAGCTATAATACTACCATCCCCTACCTTTCCCATGTTCTTTTCTGCCAACCAATTCATATCTCCTAGGTAATTTTATTCAGGAAAAAATGCTGTTTATCAAATTTACAATACTTATTATTTATTTATTTATTTATTTATTTATTTATTTATTTACTGAGATGGAGTTTTGCTCTTGTTGCCCAGGCTGGAGTGCAATGGTGCGATATCGGCTCACCGCAACCTCCGCCTCCCAGGTTCAAGCAATTCTCCTGCCTCAGCCTCCCGAGTAACTGGGATTACAGGCATGCACCACCATGCCCAGCTAATTTTGTATTTTTAGTAGAGACGGGGTTTCTCCGTGTTGAGGCTGGTCTTGAACTCCTGACCTCAGGTGATCCACCCACCTTGGCCTCCCAAAGTGCTGGGATTACAGGCGTGAGCCACCGCACCCGGCCACAATACTTATTTTTGACCCCAGACATCCAGTGGCACCCCTCCTCAACCATTTTTGCCCTCAACCGTTTTTGCCCTCAGTCATTTAGCCTGGGAATAGTCTCAGATACCCCATCGCACAGCTTTCCTCTATGTTTAGACTTTTGCCAAATCTCTTGTTCAGAGTCTAAGTTCTACTTTATCCTGCTGTGGCCACTTCTTTCTGCGCTGTGTAGTTCCCAGTATTCCTATATTTCAAAGTACAAGACAGCATATAAGTAATCATAATTAATGATCACAAACAGAGAAGTGGGATAGGGATGAAGTGGAAAAAGCATAAACTTCTAGGGATTTCTGTGGTGACTGTCACAGAGGGACTTACTAACCTCTCTTTTTAAGCACGATACTTAGCCTAGTGCCTAGCATACAGTAGGTGTTCAAAAATACCAGCTTGAGTGTTGAGTCTACTCAACTATGGGGTCCTTTATAGCTTACATGATCTCTTTTGATTTTTTTTAACTGACACATGATGATTGTACATATTTATGGGGTATATAGTGATGTTTTGATACATACAATGTAGAGTGATCAGATAAGGGTAATTAGCATATCCATATTCTCAAATGTTTATCATTTCTTTGTGTTGGGAACATTCAATATCGTCTCTTTTAGCTATTTGAAAATATATATTATTGTCAGCCATAGTCATCCTACAGTGGTATAGAACACTATAACTTTTTCCTCTCATCTAGGTATAATTTTGTATCTTTTAACAAGTTTCTCCCAATCGTCTCCTTTCCCCTACCTTTCCTAGCCTCTAGTAACATCTACGGTACATTTTACATCTATGAAATCAACTTTCTCCAGCTTCCTCATATAAGAGGGAACATGAAGTGTTTAAACCTGTGCCTGGTGTATTTCACTTAACATAATGTCCTCCACTTCCATCCATATTGCTGAGAATGGCAGGATTCCATTCTTATTTATTTATTTAGAGACAGAATCCCTCTGTCACCTAGGCTGGAGTGCAGTGACACAATCTTGGCTCACTACAACCTCTGCCTCCCAGATCAAGCGATTCTCATGCCTCAGCCTCCCGAGTAGCTGGGATTACATGCATGCACCCCCACGCCTAGCTACTTTTTTTATTTTTAGTAGAGATGGGGTTTTGCTATGTTGGCCAGGCCGGTCTTGAACTTTTGGCCTCAAGCGATCTGCCTGCCTCAGCCTCCCAAAGTACTAGGATTACAGGTGTGAGCCATAATGCCCGGCCTCATTCTTTTTTATAGCTGAATAATATTCCATTGTGTATATATACTGTATTTTCTTTATTCATCTGTTGTTGGACACCTAGGTTGATTCCACATCTTGGCTATTGTGAATAGTGCTGCAATAAACACGGGAGTGCAGGTATCTCTTCAATATACTGATTTCCTTTCCTTTTGATAAATGCTCAGTAGTGGGATTGCTGGATCATATGGTAGTTTTATTTGTAGCTTTTTTTTTTTTTTTTTTTTAGAAATCTCCATACTGTTCTCTATAGTGGCTATACTAATTTACATTCCCACCAACAGTGTATAAGAGTTTCCTTTTCTCTACATCCTTGCCAGCACTTGTTTTGTTGTTGTTGTTTTTTACTTTTTTTGTCTTTTTGATAGTAGCTATCTAATTTGGTAAGATGATATCTCATTGTGGTTGAAATTGGAATGAGTCTCTAAATATCTCACTGTGGTTTTGATTTACATTTCTCTGATGATTAGTGATATTGACTGTTTTTTCATATATTTGTTGGACATTTGTATATCTTCTTTTGATAAATATCTGTTCAGATCATTTGCCCATTTTTTGATTGGATTTTTTTTTCTTGCTGTTGAGATGTTTTGTTGTCATACTAATCCAATGAGGAAACCAAGACAGATATTATCTTCACTTTTGGCATGAGGAAACAATACCAGAATCTCAGAATTTTCAGATTTATAGACTCTCAGAGATTATGTAACTTCCCAATATCACCCAGCAAGGAAGTGGTTGTGTTTAGGACTTTAGAGGACTCTCCTAATCAAGGTGATTGAGAGGGCTGGGCTTGGTCACTCACGCCTGTAATCCCAACACTTTGGGAGGCCAAGATGGGTGGATTGCTTGAGCCCAGGAGTTTGAGACCTGCCTGGGCAACATGGCAAAACCATGTCTCTACCAAAAATACACAAATTAGCTGGGTGTGGTGGCACATGCCTGTAGTCCCAGCTACTAGAGAGGCTGAGGTGTGAGGATCACTTGAGCCCAGAAGGTTGAGGCTGCAGTGAGCTGTGAGTATGCCACTGCACTCTAGCCTGGGTGACACAGACTCTGTCTCCAAAAAAAGGGGGAAGGGGAGTTGAGGGAGGGGAGGATAGAGAAGACAGGATTATGAAAAAGACTTGGGGATTTGGTTGTTTTTCTGTAAAAGAGGCCATTTTCAAAGATTTTTTTGGGGGGTAACTATATATATATATTTCTTAAAAAAATTATTGAGCACAGGAGCTGATATTGGTATTTTCAAATGCTTTCATGTAAATTTCTAATAACCCTAAGAGATAAGTAGGGCAAGGATTATCACCTCTCATTTTCCAGTAGAGAAAATTGTGGCTCAGAGAGATTTTGTGTCCAGTGAAACTTGAATCTTTACCTTTGAATTCCAAATTCAATGTGATTTTCACCAGGCTACATTCAATATAATATCTTTCTGCTTTTGGTGGGATTAAACTTGGAAGTAAATATGTGACAGGAATAACTTGTTGAAATTGGAATGAGTCTGTAAAGACCTAGTGATTATGATCATATATTATGCCAAGTCATGTATTCATATTCCCTTTAGAGGAGATTCGGATTTTCAGAAATACTAGTTGACTTTCTCAAGCATAGCATTTCTATGGAATATTGTGGGTAAATCAGCTTCCCAAATAGCCTCTTACAGAGCAGATTATTTGGCTTTCATTCAAAGTTTTTAGATTCATGAACCCTCTTCTAAGTAGATGTAACTGTTAAGTGAAAGGACCAAGGTGGTAGAGCAGGAGACAAAAGGACCTTTGGCAAGTTTTCTACTTCCCCAGAGAGTTTTCTACCTTTCTACCCTACTGCCTTTTCCCTTTCTCCCAACAAGGTTTCCATAGCCGACCTTTCTCCCAGACAAGCCAGTCTGCAGTTCACTGGCATCTGTTGCCTTCCAGGACTGTTAGAGGCTGGAAGGCTATAGATATATTGTGATGAATTGGGCCTGTAAGTGTGTTAGCAACTCAATCTGCTGACACTGAGAGAGCCACACATTTTAATTATGGGCTTAGTTTCTTAGGCTTTGGAATTATAGCATCTGCATGTATTCTTGGCTTGCACGTTTAGGGATGTGTTCTCATCTCAGTTTGTGAAAATTTATGTGCACAATTCCCATTAGCATTAATGGGAGTTGAATATATAAATCGTTGAACGTCAAAATGAGAATATACCCTTTAGTCTCAAGGATGAATGAGCCACATCTCTCTTTCCAGCTCTTGTTACTAGGTGATCTTCAGAATTTCTTTGGCAATTTTTAAAACATCTGATAGTTAGATTGTGGGGAAGCCCTAAATATGGCACAAAATCATTTTATTTTACCAGTTTTATAAACACGGTTTTTGGTATATGCAAAGACTATGTGCTTATTTTAAGAGATTCTCCAAATACCCTATTAATGCTGATTGCTGTATTATTAAAATTTTTTTTGAAACATCATAGAATATATTAAAACTGTTAATAGCCGTCACTGAATGTGCTTTCATTTATTCATTTAGCATTATGGAATTGCTGCTGTATGGCAGGTACTGTACTAAGCTCTGGGGGTACTAGGAGACACAATTTTTTTTGATGAGGACAGATATAAAAACAAACAAACTTTACACTGCAAAGTGGTAAAAAAGAAAGTGCAAGAATCATGAGAACAATGAGGAGAGAAAGAATGGCTGGAAGAAATTTAAAAGCCTTCACATAGAATGTACTATTTGAACAGAATCTTGAAAGTTGGGTAGTAATTCTCCAGACTTTGAAGTTGGGGCAGGTCATGGAAGGATAAAGGCATTTTAAACAGAAGAAACTGAATGTCTAAAGATTAAGTGAGAAATGTATTGTAGCAGGAGTATGAAAGAACCTGAAGGGTACCAGAAAGAGATGAGCCTAGAAGGTGGGATGAGATTATATTAAGAAAAGTGTCCTTTAGAACTATATTCAGTGGGGGAACAATGGAAGTTTTTAAGAAAAGGAGTTATGGGAATGCCAAATGTTTTAAAAAGTTAATCCTAGGGACAGAGTGAAGACTGAACTGGCCTGGGAAGAGGTGATTTAGCTGAAGTAATTGGGAGGCCATTAAATCAATATCAGAATGATTTGTTCTTTGGAATAGATAGAAATATTTACAGTTTTCTTTAGGTAAAATTGACATAAAATAAGTGGCATATATTTAAGGTGTACAATTTGGGTCTGTTGGTTTGTTTGTTTGAGACAGTCTCACTCTGTTGCCCAGACTGGAGTGCAGTGGTGCAATCCCAGCTCACTGCAATCTCTGCCTCCTGGGTTCAAGCAATTCTTGTGCCTCAGCCTCCTGAGTAGCACTGCAATCTCTGCCTCCTGGGTTCAAGCGATTCTTGTGCCTCAGCCTCCCAAGTAGCTGGGATTACAGGTGTGCACCACCATGCCCGGCCAATTTTTGTATTTTTAGTAGAGATGGGGTTTCCCCGTATTGGCTGGGCTGGTCTCGAACTCCTGGCCTCAAGTGATCTGCCAACCTCAGCCTCTTAAAATGTTGGGATTACAGGTGTGAGCCACTGTACTCAGCCTATTTAAGGTGTATTAATACAATCCAATAAATCTTGACACATATATATATATACCTGTGAAACCATCACTACAATCACTACCAATATTATGAATATATTCATCATCCTCAACAGTTTTCTTGTGTCCCTTTGTAAATACATAAACCAATAACATAGTCGTTTATTATTGTTATCCAGTAGTATGTACTGTACTTAATTGTATGTGCTATACTTTTATACAAATGGGAGAGCAGATTTCTTTACACCAGCATGGCCACAGATAAACGAGTAATGTGATGCACTATGATATTATATGGACTATGACATCAACAGGAATTTCTCAGCTCCATTGTAATTTCATGGGACCAATGTCCTATGTGGTCTCTCATTGACTGAAATGTCATAATGTGGCACATGACTTTAACATACTATAAAATACATCCTTTTAAAGTGTACAAGTCGGTGATTTTTAAAATCAGTGTATTTTATATTATGTTTTATAGTGATTTTTAAAATTACCAGAGTGACGGGGCACGGTGACTCAAGCCTGTAATCCCAGCACTTTGGGAGGCCGAGGCAGGCGGATCACGAAGTCAAGAGATTGAGACCATCCTGGCCAACATGGTGAAACCCTGTCTCTACTAAAAACACAAAACTTAGCTGGGCATGGTGGTGTGCACCTGTAGTCCCAGCTACTCTGGAGGCTGAGCCAGGAGAATTGCTTGAACCCGGGAGGCAGAGGTTGCAGTGAGCCAAGATTGTGTCACTGCACTCCAGCCTGGTGACAGAACAAGACACAGTCTCCAGAAAAAAAAAAAAAAAATACCAGAGTTATGCAACCTTCACCACTGTCTAATTCCAGAACATTTTAATACTTATATATATTTTTATTTTTAGAGATGGGGGGTCTCACTATGTTGCCCAGGCTGGTCTCGAACTCCTGGGCTCAAGCACTTCTCCTGTCTCAGCCTCCCAAAGTGCTGGGATTACAGGCGTGAACCACTGCACCTGGCCCAAATTCCAGAACATTTTAACACCTCATAATGAAACCCCATACCTATTAACAGTCATTCCCCATTACCTCCTCCCTCCAGCCTCTGGCAACCACTCATCTACTTTCTGTCTCTAAGGATTTGCCTATTCTGGACATTTCATATAAATGGAATAATGCATGGTCTTTTCTGTCTGCCTTCTTTCACTTAGCAATAATGTTTTTGAGGTTCATCCATGTTGCAACATGTATCAGAATTTCATTCCTTTATGTCCAAATACAATTACATTATATGGATATATAGGACATTTTTATATCTCTTCATTGGTTGGTGAACATTTAAGTTGTTTCTATTTTTTGGCCATTATGAACAATGTTGCTATAAACATTTTTGTTCAAATTTTTGTGTGTAACATATGTTTGTGTTTCTCTTGAATATATACTTTGTGATAGAATTAATGGTTTATATAATAACTCTATGTTTAATCTTCTGAGGAACACCCAGCCTATTTTCTTTCTTTTTTTTTTTAAATTATAATTTAAGTTCTGAGTTACATGTGCAGAACATGCAGTTTTGTTACGCAGGTATACACGTGCCCTGGTGCTTTGCTGCACCCATCAACCTGTCACTTACATTAGGTATTTCTTGTAATATTATCCCTCCCCTACCCACCCCCCACCCACTGACAGGCCCCAGTGTGTGATGTTCCCCTCCCTATGTCCATGTGTTCTCATTGTTCAACTCCCACTTACAAGTGAGAACATGCAGTGTTCTGATAATTTGCTGAGAATGATGGTTTCCGGCTTCATCCATGTCCCTGCAAAGGACACGAACTCATCCTTTTATATGGCTGCATAGTATTCCATGGTATATATGTGCCACATTGTCCTAATCCAGTCTATCATTGATGGACATTTGGGTTGGTTCCAAATCTTTGCTATTGTGACTAGTGCCACAATAAACATACGTGTGCATGTGTCTTTATCATAGTATCATTTCTAATCCTTTGGGTATATGCCCAGTAATGGGATTGCTGGGTCAAATAGTATTTCCAGTTCTAGATCCTTGAGGAATCGCCACACTATCTTCCACAATGGTTGAACTAACTTACACTCCCACCAATAGTATAAAAGCATTCCTATTTCTCCACATCCTCTCCAGCATCTGTTGTTTCCTGACTTTTTAATGATCACCATTCTAACTGGCACGAGATGGTGTCTCATTGTGGTTTTGATTTGCATTTCTCTAATGACCAGTGATGATGAGCATTTTTTCATATGTCTGTTGGCTGCATAAATGTCTTCTTTTGGGAAGTGTCTGTTCATATCTTTTGCCCATTTTTTGATTGAGTTGTTTGATTTTTCTTGTAAATTTGTAAATTCTGGATATTAGCCCTTTGTCAGATGGATATATTGCAAAAATTTTCTCCCATTCTGTAGACCCCAGCCTATTTTCTAAAGTGGCTGCACCATTTTGCATTTCCGCCAACAATATATGAGTGTTCCAGTTTCTCCATATCCTCACCAATACTTGTTATTATGTGTCTTTTTAATTATAGCCATCCTAGTGGTGGTGAAGTGGTGTTTCATTGTGATTTTGATTGACATTTCCCTAATAACTAAGAATGTTGAGCATCTTTTTAATGCGCCTGTTGGCTATTTGTTTTCATTTTAAAAAAAATCTATTCAAATTCTTTGCCCATTTTAAAATTGAGTTATTGAAGTTTTATGGTTGAGTCATACAAATCCCTTATATATATTGGTTACAAGTCTTTTATCATATGTAATTTATAAATATTTTTTCCCATTCTGTGGGTTGTCTTTATTTTATTTTATGTTACCCAGGATAATCTCTGTAGGTTGTCTCTTCTTAATGGCAACCATTAAAGAACAAAAGTTTTTCATTTTGAAGAAGTCCAAAATTATCTTTTTTTTCTTTTGTCACTAGCGTTTTTGGCATTATATCTAGGAACCTACTGCCTAAACTGAGGTCATAAAATTCATGCTTATGTTTTTGTCTAAGAGTTTTATATTGCTTGTTTTTACAATTATTTCTATAATCCATTTTGAGTTAATTTTTGTATATGGTGTGAGGTAGGAGTCCAACTTAATTCTTTTGCATGTGAATAACCTGTTGAAAAGAATTTAATGGGAAAGATAATTCAACAGGAAAGGATATGTTTTCCAAGCATTGATGTTTTCCAAGCATCGTTTATTGAATAAGTAAGTGCTATTGAATAAGCATTTGGTATTCGAATGTAGGAATTCAGGATAGAAGTCCAAGTAGTGTATATAGGTGGTATTTATTTTATTTATTTATTTATTTTGAGATGGAGTCTCGCTCTGTTGCCCAGGCTGGAGTGCAGGGGCACGATCTCGGCTCACTGCAAGCTCCACCTCCTGGGTTCATGCCATTCTCCTGCCTCAGCCTCCCGAGTAGCTGGGACTACAGGTGCCTGCCACGATGCCTGGCTAATTTTTTTGCATTTTTAGTAGAGACAGGGTTTCACCGTGTTAGCCAGGATGGTCTCGATCTCCTGACCTCGTGATCCGCCCGCCTCGGCCTCCCAAAGTGCTGGGATTACCGGCGTGAGCCACCGCACCCGGCCTGTAGATGGTATTTAAAGTCCAGAGACTGTATGTGATTATCTAGAAAAGGAGTCTAGATAGAGATGAGGTCTCAGGTCTGAACTTTGGGAGACCTCAGTGTTGGAGCTTAGGTATATGAGATAGTCCAGCAAAAGACAATAGAAGGAGCTGTCATTGTAGTAGGAGGAAAATCAAGAGAACATGCTGTCTTAGAGTCAAGTAAAGCAAGTGTTTCAAGAGGCAGGACCAATCAAGTGTGCCAAACACTGCTGATAGGTTGAGTAAGATGAGGACTGAGAACTGATCATTGGATTTGACTGTATGAAGGTCATCACTGACGTTGCCAAAATCTGTTTTTGTGGAGAGGTAGGGAGTTAGGCTATTTCAAGTAGATTTAAAAGAGAATGGGAAGAGAGGAAGTAAAAGAGCATAGACAAGTCTTTCAAAAAAAATTTCCCAATGGAGCAGAGAAATGAAGCATTAATTGCCTTGAGAGAGATATGCTGTCAACAGGGGCGTTAGAAAAAATCTTTTTACTTTGGAAAATTTCAAACCTACAGAAAATTGGAAAGAATAATATAATGTACACCCATATATCCTTCACCTGGATTTAACAATTTTTAATGTTTTGCCATATTTGCTTGCTCTCTTTCTCTTCAGGTCGTTTGCTGAGCTTTAAAAGTAAGTTACAGATATTGTGACACTTTACCCATAAATACTTCAATTTGCATATCACAAGAATAAAGACATTCTTCTATATATCCACAATACCACTATCACATCTGAGAAAATTAATGATAATTCCATATCACCTAATATCCAGTCATATTCACTTTCTCCCAATTAGCTAAAAAAATATTTTTTTTGAGATGGGGTCTCACTCTGTCACCCAGGTTGGAGTGTAGTGGCATGATCATGGCTCACTGCAGCCTCAACCTCCTGGGCTCAAGTGATCCTTCCATTTCAGCCTCCTGAATAGCTGGAACCACAGCTGTGCACCATCATGCCCAGATAATTTTTAAAATTTTTTGTAGAGATGGGGTCTTCCTATGTTGCCGAGACTGGTCTTGAACTGCTGGGCCCAAGCGATTCTCATGCCTTGGTCTCCCAAAGTGCTGGGATTACAGGTGTGAGCCACTGCACCTGGCCCAAAAATCTTTTATATATTTTAAAACCCAGAAACCAAAGTTTACACATTGTATATTACTATGCCTCATTAATATTTATTAATATAAAAAAGTTCTCTGGCTTTTTTTCTTAGTGACTTTTTTCTTAATGTTTATTTTGTAAAGCATTTATGCTAGTTGTCCTATGAACAACTGTTTCTAATTATTTGTTTCTAATTATTTGTCCTGTTTCTAATTATTTGTTCATTGTATTAACTTTTTTTCATCTAAACAGCCTATAAACTGGAAATTAACTCTAGGGGTTTAATTAAATTCAGGTTAAACATTTTTGGCAAGAATATTCCTTTAAGTTATGTTGTGTACTTTATATTACATCCCATTAGGAGGCATGTAACATTTGGTTGTCCGCTGTTATTGATGCTAAATATGATCTCTTAGTTAAAATAGCGATTGCCAGATTTCTCCATTATAAAGTACCTTTTCCATTTTGTAATTAAGTAAAAAAACTATGGGGCAATATTCTAGTGCTGTGTAAATATCTTATTCATCAAGGAACGGCTTTTTATTTTTTAAAGATGGAAGTAAGTATAGCATGTTTATTTGCTGATGGGAACAATCTAGAAAAGAAGGAAAAATTGATGGTATAGGAGAGAGAAGAGACAATTGCTGGAGCATAGCTCTTGAGTAGATGAGAGAGGATAGGATCCAGTGCACAACTGGAGAGCTAGAATTTAGATAGAATCATAGACATTTTCCATAGTAGTTGGATGGAAGCAGATTGTATGGATATGAATGCAGGTAGGGTGGTGTCTACAGTGGGGAGGGCTTTTGGAATTCTTTTCTTGTTCTTTCTATTTGCCAATATAATTACTGATTATTTCAAGTAAACTCAGCCCAATTTAGGATTCCAGTCTTCCCTCTTTTTCTCCCTACAGTGGCATTTAAGTTCCTTGGGACTTAATTTGCCATGGTCTCAGGAGAAGGAAAAATCTGGTCTATAATCTCCACTAATCATTAGTCACTCTCATATCTGCTTCAGTGTCTGTTTTCCTACCATGACTTCCAGTTCATATAGTCCATGCCTTATGCCAAGGTGTCTCCTTATCCTTCAGGATACTTCTGGTACAGGGGTTTTCTTTATGAATCTTGCTGTATTTCTGGACTTTAGCCAGGAAGCAAAGCACAAATGTCTTCTTGGAATCTCCCAAACCTATCTGAGATTTCTTTTTTTCTGTTTTTGAGACAGCCTTGCTCTGTCACCCGGGCTGGAGTGCAGTGGCGCAATCTCGACTCACTGCAACCTCTGCCTCCTGGGTTCCAGCAATTCTGATGCCTCAGCCTCCCCAGTAGCTGGGACTACAGGCACCTGCCACCACACCCAGCTAATTTTTGTATTTTTAGTAGAGATGGTGTTTCGCCATATTGGCCAGGCTGGTCTTGAACTCATGGCCACAAGCGATCCACTCGCCTTGGCCTCCCAAAGTGCTGGGATTACAGGCATGAGCCACCGTGCCTGGCTGCCTCTTTCTGAGATTTCTATTGTCATTCCACCCAGGCTTGGCCCTGGAGAAACTAGAGCACAGGCTTCCTTCTTTGAGACTCACATCAGTGGCAAATTTCATTCCTCTCATTTCCATTCTCACATCTTTCTTCAGCCTAACTTTCAAACATGGATATTCTATCATAATGCCTTATTTCCAATTTTGTTTTTTTAGCTACAGACTTTATGTTCTGAGAAGTTTACCCTCCTCTCTTTTAAAAGAAAATCTTTTCTCTCTCTCAAAAAACAAGCACCCAACCTTAGCAACAAAACAAAGCCAAGCACTTGTAGGCTTTTAAGATTATTTTTGTCAGGAATTTAATAACATTTTTTTGTTTTTCAAACAAAGAGAAAATCTGTTGTCTGGATTTTACCTTCCCTTGAGTACATAAGCTTTAGCACCAAGCTTTCATTTTAATGGTAGAAGAATAAAGGACTTCTTGAGAACAAAAATTATTCAGTAATATTTAAAATGTTTTCCTGCAGATGTATTTTTAAAATATATATTTCCCTACGATTATTCTCTGTCGTTGGTGTATTAATCACAGTAGTGAGTATTTATTTTTAAAAGACCAAAAGAAGCATTTCAGAGTGTCCCAGGGAATGAATGAGAATGGAAAAAGAAAGATTCCAAAAAGAATGCAGACTGAAATTTAAGGTGGAAGGGAACGTGATCTGTCTTTGTGCACATTACTGATATTCAATCACTATTGGTCCATGGAGTGGAAAATATGAAAGGAATGACTTGAAATGGCATGAATTCATCAAGAAAGGTACTGGGTTCCTTTGAAACCATGTCCTATTTTTGCTCTCCTAAAGCAGACAGAGAAAGCAGTGTCATCACCTTTCTGATATTCCAAGGGAAGCTTGGTAATTGCCACTTGGTTCTGCTGGTCCTTTTAGTATGTACCCAAGTGGTGCAACTCAACATCACATTAATTTTAAAAATATGTGCCATTCTATTTATACATTTTTTTGTAGGCAAGAAGAAATAACTTCTGGGCTTAAATTCAATTTAGTGACATTCCATTGAAAAAGAAATAATGTCAGAGATTTGGAAGCTTGTTTTAGAGAATATACTGAAAAGTGACAATTCACTTTTAAATTTAGAGTAAAATTTCTGTATCTTTTCTCTTCATGCATAAATATTAGCTTTATCAACATATTTATAAATGCATATGATGTTACCGGTTATATTATACTTATACAGTAGTATGTATTTGTCATAAGACATATTTATGTAGATGCCCTAAAGTTATGGAATCTTGAAGGACACTGGAAGTGTAAATCAATTCAGTGCTTCAAGATATGTTGCTGAATAGTGGAGAAGGTAGGCTGTCCTAGAGTTCACTTGAATATTCTGTCCCAGAGGCAGCTTTTGTTTCTTAGGTACCTGATTGATTTTAAGGCTGATTCTTTCACTGCAAAATCACTTGGAATACTACCTGCTCGAAAATGGACAAAGCAACTTTCTCAAGGTTTATAAAACTGCTTATGCGAGGATCCTTTATAATGTATGCAAACTGAAAGACACATTGGAGAGTGCCTACTATTTGTCCTATGTGCATTCATTTAAAATGAATGTCTCCCAAGTCATGTGCATATGTTGACTGTAAATACAACCTTTTACTAGGTGATACAAAGTTGTGGGTCACGGCCTGTCCCTGAAATGCCACCTCCCTTTTCTGTATCCATGTCAATCCTTCCCATTCATTAAGGGCCAGCTGCTTCTTCTCCATGAAACTTTGCTTAATTCCATTAGACCATAGTGATTTCTGTATCTCTCATCTCTGGGAACATTTACTGTCTGCCTCATCCCTTCGGTTTTTCTCACTTTGGCTTGTAACCAGTACAGTTTACAAGGTTATTTAATTTTTTTCTGTTTCTATGTCACATCTCTTCACCTGGATTGCAGACTCTATGAGATCATGGACCATGTACAGCAAGTCTTCACATCGCTTTACATTGCTTAGCATAGGGTGAATGCTTAGTACCTTATTTATTAAGTGAATGAATGAAACAAGTGTCAGTTTCATGAACCACCACAAAAGGCCATTTACAAATGTGGTCTGTGAACTAGAATTAGCATAAGATATATGTTTTCAAAGGATAATAGAGTCTCGGGATGAGAAGACACTTTAAGGGCTACCTAGTTTATCCAGCACCCTGATGTGTACATTTCCTCTGCAGGGCAGAGTTGAGCCCCTCAGACTGAACATCTCCCATGATTCAGAATGAACACCTAAGTAACATGGAATTTTCAAGTACTATAGTAAAACGGATAAGCATGATAAATTTTCAACCAGATTATCTGGGTTTAAATCTATTCTTTCCTAATATCTCTCTAATCTTGGACGAGCTCTTAAGTTTCTTCACTGTTAAACTGAAATTATCAAACAAACTCTCAATTTATTATATGCAATTCTAAAATCCAAAATCTCTGAAAACCAAAAGTTTTTGTAACTTATTTGTCAGGAAAAACCTGCCCTGGTCTGAACTCATAAATCTAACTTAAATGGATATGAGGTTATTTATAGTCTTTATGTACCCACTGGTGAATATGCTTCTCTGTAAAAATATTAATGTATTTGACTATGGGGCATTGCCCCAGATCCTGCTAGAGGTGTTACGTATAGTATATGTGCTCTATTAATTTTCTGAAGAGTTTGAATACCAAAATATATCTGGCTTCCAAGTGGTTCAGATAAGAGGTCATGGATGTCTATTACCTATTTGTAGCATTGTTATGAAGATTAAATGAGATAATAGATGGGAACCATTTAGCACAGGGCCTGGAATATAATAAGTCCTTAATAACTACAATCAGATATCATCTCACCCCAGTTAAAATGGTTTATATCCAAAAGACAGGCAATAACAAATGCTGATGAGAAAGTGGAGAAAAGGAAACCCTCTGTTGGTGGGAATGTAAATTACTACAACCACTATGAAGAACAGTTTGGAGGTACCTCAAAAAACTGCAAATAGAGCTACTGTATAATCCAGCAATCCCATTGCTGGGTATATTTCCCTATTCCCCAAAAAGGAAATCAGTGTATTGAAGAGATATCTGCACTCCCATTTTTGTTGCAGCACTGTTCACAATAGCCAAACTTTGGTAGCAACCTAAGCGTCCATCGACAGAGGAATGGATAAAGAAAATGTGGTATTTATACACAGTGGGGTACTATTCAGCCATGAAAAAGAAGATCTTGTCATTTGCAACAACATGGATGCAACTGGAAGTCATTATGCTAAGTGAAATAAGCCGAGCACAGAAAGACAAACATCGCATGTTTTTACTTATTTGTGGGATCTAAAAATCAAAACAGTCGAACTCTTGGAGATAGAGAGCAGGAGGGTTACTAGAGGTTGGGAAGGGTAGTAGGGGATGGGAGGGAGGTGGGGATGGTAAATGGGTACAAAAAAATAGTTGGAAAGAATGAATAAGGCCGGGCACGGTGGCTCACACCTGTAATCCCAGCACTTTGGGAGGCCAAGGTGGGTGGATCACCTGAGGTCGGGAGTTCAAGACCAACCTGAGCAACATGGAGAAACCCTGTCTCTACTAATACTACGAAAATTAGCCGGGCGTGGTGGCAAGTGCCTTTAATCCCAGCTACTCAGGAGGCTGAGGCAGAAGAATCATTTGAACCCGGGAGGCAGAGGTTGCGGTGAGTCGAGATTGTGCCATTGCATTCCAGCCTGGGCAACAAGAGGGAAACTCTGTCTCAAAAAAAAGAATGAATAAGACCTAGTAGGTGATAGTACAACAGGGGGACTATAGTCAATAATAATTTAATTGTACATTTCAAAATAACTAAAAGAGTATAATTGGATTGTTTGTAACACAAAGGATTAATGCTTGAGGGGATGGATACCCATTTTACATGGTGTGATTATTATGTATTGCATGCCTGTATCAAAGTGTCTTACGTACTCTGTAAATACATATGCCTACTATGTACCCACAAAAATTAAAATAAAGACTAAAAAAACTCCTTAATAAATATCAGCTAATGTTATTGGTACTTATATTTTAAATTAATCACATTAGGCTTTTTGTGAAAGTTAAGTTTCTTTCTTTGAACATTTTATGTTTAGTATGTATAGGAGTATTGCTATTTTTCTTATTCCCTAATGAACAAATGACTTTCCCAGGAAGCTAAAGTGACCTTAAAAATAAAACAATACTTATGATTGAACCTTTATTATTGACTTTTATTTTAGAAAAGCCCTCTGAAATGTACTCACTCTTATTCATTTGTTTATCACTTCATTCATTTTACCAAAGTGTATTGGGCAATTGCTAGTTTCTGTTGACCTAACAATAGATAAACAGACATTGTCCCTACCTTCTTACAGCTTATAGTCTAGTGGACACAAATTATTTTTTTTTTCTGTTGATTCATTCTTTCATTTATTCAGCAAATAATTATTGAGTACTTATTATATACTAGATACTGTTCTAGTATATAATGGCAATGGGGATACAGCAGTTATCGAGGCAGACAAAGTTTCTCCATAAAATTCATTTTTTAGTGGCGAGAGACAGTAAACAAAGAAGCAAACAAATAAACACAATATTTTCAAGTGAGGATAAATTCAGTGAAGGAAATAAAATAGACTTATGTGCTAGAGCAGTGATCCCCAACCTTTTTGGCACCAGAGACCAGTTTTGAGGAAGACAGTATTTCCACAGACCGGAGTCGGGGAGATGGTTTTGGGATGATTCAAGTGCATTACATTTATTGTTCACTTTATTTCTATTAGTATGTTGTAATATGTAATGAAATAATTATACAACTCACCATAATGTAGAATCAGTGGAAGCCCTGAGCTTGTTTTTCCACAAGTGGATGGTCCCATCTGGAGGTGACAGGAGACAGTGACAGATCATCAAGCATTAGATTTTTATAAGGAGCATGCAACCTAGATTCCTTGCGTGCACAGTTCACAACAGAGTTCGCACTCCTATGAGAATCTGATTCTGCCACTGATCTGATGGGAGGCAGAGCTCAGGTGATAATGTGAGTAATGGGGAGCGGCTATAAATACAGATGAAGCTTTGCTCACTCTCCCACTGCTCACCACCTGCTGTGCAGACTGGTTCTTAACAGGCCACAGACTGGTACTGGTTTATGGCCCATGGGTTGGGGACCCCTGTGCTAGAGAGTGACATAGTACATGTGAGGATGGAGCTACTTTAAAAGGGGTAGCCAGGGAAGGCTTGGTGAAGAAATGATATTTGAACCGAGGCCATGGATTGGATATAGATTGACTGAATGTGACAGACTTAAAAATAATAGAGGCTTAAAACCAGATAGACATTAATTTTTTTTCTCACAAAGTTTTTCACCAAGTTCTGCTTCACCAAGTTATCCAGGGCCTAGAGTCCTTCTGTCTGTTGCTCTACTGTCCTTTGAGTGTCACACACATGGTTCAACATGGTTAACCACCAGGGTTACACTCCAGCCAATGGGAAAGACAAAGGGGAAAAAGAAGGTATCCCTTTATAAAAATGTTCTCCCTTTCAGGGAATAACCCTCAAACTAGACACATCATTTTCCTCTCATCCCATTGGCCAGGACATAATAATAGGGCTATATCCAGTTGCCTGCTAGGAAATGTAATTTTTACTTGAGTAATCATGTACTCAGCTAAATATTCTATTAGTATGGCAGAAGGGGAGAATAGATATTGGAGGACTAGAAGTCTCTGCTAAGACCTGAATAATGACATGGAGCCAGGGGAAGAGCAACTTGGGCAATAGCATTCCAAGCAGAAAGAATAGAATTTCAATGACCCTGAGCAGAGGTGGGTTTTCCATGAAGATAAATGAAGCTTAAGTACCAGGGCATCTCACTGGCATTGGCACCATCCAACACCCTGCACTTAATTTTATATAATTGTACCTAAACTGAATAAGCTTCAAGCCCTACAAAACCTTTATCAGACCCTGGCTCTGAGGAAGGAAAGTGGTAGGCGTGAAAGGAGATCACTATGTATGGAGCAGAATGAGCACATGACAGAGCAGAACTAAGTAAAATTGGGCAGGTAAGTAGGGAATGGCTCATATAGAATGTTGCATGAAAAGTTAGATTTTATTTTAATGTAATGGAAAACCTCTGGAGAACTTTAAGAAGAAAAAAATGAAATTTGATTTATTTTTACTCTGAAGGAGACATATAAGAGAGTGTTCACTGGGAAATTTAAAACAACCCACTGTACATAAACAGAATGGATTAATAAATTGATAAGTTGTGGTACATTCATAAGGGGCATATTTTGAAGTAGTGAAATGAATAAATTAGTTTTATATATATCAATATAGCTAAATCTCAAAAATACGTTGATCGAAAGGAGAAAATTTTAACACTAACATACAGTATAATTTATGCATGATTTTACTTATATAAAGTTTAAAGTCATTCAAATCAATATCTTACTTAAGGGTACATACTGTAGAAAAGACTGCGAGTTGCCTACCAAATATCTAGTCTCCTCTTCTTCCATAATGGCATAACTTTACTTTTATTGTGGTAGGAATATGTCCAAGTGGAAAACTATTTTTCGGCTTCTCTTGCAGATATAGGCCATGTCATGGTTCTGAAAAAAGAATGTAAGCAGAGGCTAGAAGCCTGGGCATGTTGGCTCATGCCTGTAATCTCAGCACTTTGGAAGACTGAGGCAGGCAGATCACTTGAGCCTAGGAGTTTGAGACCAGCCTGGGCACCATGGTGAAACCCCATCCCCACAAAAAATACAAAAATTAGCCAGCCATGGTGGTGTGTGCCTGTAGTCCCAGCTACTCGGGAGGCTGAAGTGGGAGGGTCACCTGAGCTGGGGAGATGGAGGTCGCAGTCAGCTGAGATTGCACCACTGCACTCCAGCCTGGGAAATAGAGTGAGAGCTTGTCTCAGAAAATAAATAAATAAATAAATAAATAAATAAATAAGAAGTTGTTGTTAGGTAGGAGATACTCAGCTAATGTAATTTTTTGCTATCAGCCCTTCTTTCTTTCTCTTGCCCAGAAATGGGTCACAAATGATTGAAGCTAGAACAACCATTAAGGGAAAACCAAGAAAATCCCAAATGATTTAGCCTTAGTCTTTGAGACATGAAGCCAACCTTATTGCTTCAACTGCCTACCCCAAGCCTCTCAATTATGTAAAAATGTTAAACTCCCATTTCTTTATAAACCCCTATTGTTTGGGTTTTCTGTTACATGCAGATTAACTCAATCCCAAATGATATTCATGAATTTGTAATAAAAGTAAAATCCCATCTATAGAAATAAAAATTACTGGCCGGGTGCAGTGGCTCACACCAGTAATCCCAGCACTTTGGGAGGCCGAGGTGGGCAGATCACCTGAGGTCAGGAGTTCGAGATCAGCCTGGGCAACATAGTGAAACCCTGTCTCTACTAAAAATACAAAATTAGCCGGGCGTGGTGGCACATGCCTGTAATCCCAGCTACTTGGGAGGCTGAGGCAGGAGAATCGCTTGAACTTGGGAGGTGGAGGATGCAGTGAGCCGAGAACGTGCCATTGCACTCCAGCCTGGGCAACAAGAATAAATCCCCAGCTCACCAAAAAAAAAGAAAAAGAAAGAAAAATTACTAAATTCACTAAATTTAGGACAATTATTATTTCTAAAGTGAGAATAATGTCAATGGAACTGGGAATGGATACATAGATCCTTCAGTTATATTTTATTTCTTAAAGAAAAAGACCTGAAGCAAATATGATAATATTTTTAAAAGTTAGGTGATGGACCCATGGGTATTTACACTTTTTTGCTTTTTTATATGTGTGAATTATTTCATTTTTAAAAAGATCTGGCTGCTGTGTGGAGAAAGAGTGAAGATACGGAAGTTGGAGGTTCTCGTAGCAATGCAGGTGAGAGACGATGATGGCTTGCGTTAGAGCAGGAAAGAACGTATTTTTAATAGACTGGGGAGTAGAGCCTACAGGATTTCATAATAAATTGTATGGGAGTTGTGAGAGAAGGAGGAAAATCAAGGATGACTCCTGCATTTTTGGTATGAGCAACTGGGTAGATGGGGTACCATTGAGAGGTGGATGGCTGAGGGAGGAGCCAGCTTAGGCAGGGTGGCAATCAAGAGTTTGATTTTGGACAGTTGAGATCAACATGTCTAAGTGGAAATGTCAAGCAGGCAACTTGATATAGGAGATTGTGAAGCTAGGACTTCTTCAAGGACTTCCAGAATATGGAATCAGATTGGTTTTTCCTCTATGTATCCCTGTGGAGTCTTGTTTATTATTTTCCCTTTGACCTTCTTTGATAGGGATTTAGAACTTGCAAAAAGGAAAGTGACAGAGTTGGGATAATTCTCTGTGAAACCTCCCATACTTGTTTTCAAGTGGCTCCTTGGAAGTGAGCACAAGATAATAGTGCAGGGTTTAATAATCAGTGATTATTAATATGAATTTCATGCATTTTTGGTCATTTGGTCAAGGATCTGGGCTTTTAACCTTGGAAGTGTGTAGGAAAGGGTATCAGCTTAATATTCATTCTGTTGTGCCTAATGTTGGCCTTAGCTTGTATCCTTCCTAAATCCAAGGGAGCAGAGTCTAGTATTTAATAAATATTGTGGTAAAAGTTGTGAATAATTATTTACATATGTTAAAGTAAAAATTTCACTAAATTCATCCCAAATATGTTAGCAGTTTTTTTTCAATACATAAAAACAAATGCAACCATTAATAGCCTGGTATATACCATACACTTTACATACATTAATATTAATCTGTGCAAACCTTTTATGAGGTAGATACTTTTATTATTCTGTATTATTTAACCTTTTGGGGACTCACTTTTTGCTTAAAAACAAGAATTATAATAGTATATATGTGAAAGATTTTTGCTATAAGTAAACTTTGATTAAACTGATACCTGTGGAATCTTTTAATGCCATAAATAGAAGCCAACAAAGACATGAATTGAATATTGTCTGAGAAAAGTGATAGATGTAAAAAACTTCAGGCTTGAGTGAAGGGCTCTAATTCTTATGGATAAAGAGCACTTTTATTGAAATATAGACATACACAGTGGCACATTCTTAAATAAATGGCTTTAATGTGTAAAAATCCAGTGTAGGGAAACCAAACTGTGATTAAAATTTAAGAGGTTTGATAAATAGCTTTTAAATTAATTGTGTGTGTGTGTGTGTGTGTGTGTGTTATTTCTGGGTAGAAGTTTTCTGGCTTGCTGTAGAATCTTTTGTCCAAATAGTCATCGATTTTCATGGTCTTCTGAATATTTTCCAATTTCAAATTATTTCAGGTTTTAGCTATAGAAAAACAAATTAAACAAAAATGTCAACATAAAAGACTGCGGCTAAGTGTAAAAATTTAAGAGCTTAGGATCAAAAATAATAAGATCACTGTTATGAAATTAGAAGAGACTAATCAAAGTAAAAGTAGCTGTGACTAAGGACTATGAAAATATAAAGGGATTAACATATGTGATAATAGGCTAATTAAACCTTAGCTTTTCACTGTGATGATTTTATAGCATCTTCTTGTTGTTGCCAGTTTGGAAGCTGCCAGCAACTATTTTCTTAATTGCAAAAGGAGACAATATGTGTTCCACCGTCTCATTCATAACAGTTAACGCAGACACTATTAGGACACTGTATGGAGGTTGAAAAGGACCATGTTATTTGGAGAGCCTGGGGGATGACAGAGAAGGGGGAAAGAGGATGTGTTTTAAAACAAAAACCGACACAAATCCTCAGAAGAAATATTTAACTAGAATTTGTACAGAAAAAGTCTACTCGTCTTGATAGACTAGCCTGCCCCTGTAATAAAACCTCCCAAAGTCAACAGTTCATAAAGTCTTTTGTTCTAGTAAAAGGGTCTTTAATTTTTAACACAAACTCATACTTTGGTATGCATGGGCTTAAGTAAAATTAGAAGACATGTATATAATAGGATTTAATGGATTATCATCTGCATTTTCCAAAGATGTCAGCTTCTCTCAGCTCTGATGGAGTAGCACTTAATGTAAATTTAATTTGAAGTGATGTATGGAAGGCTTGAGGTGGTACTCCGTGATTCCCTAACTGCCTGGAGAGCCTCTGTGGGTAGCATCTGGATTTGGCGGCTCCACATGCCCGGCAGCATCTACTAACTAGGATTAATGAGGTAGCCTGTTCACCAGTGATCCAAAGGAGGTATGCTACATTTACTCCCAACAATATGAATAGGAGGGCTAGTTTCCTTTGGGGGCACACTGTATGATGAAACTTAATGATGGACTTGATATTAGGTGTAATAAATATACTGTATTGGAAGCACTTTTGCTTTGTCAAATTTAAATATTATTTAATCATAAAATTGTCTTTGGTGGCTAGGGTTGAACTGAAGATTTTCATGTGTGTGTGAGTGTAAGTGTATGTGTGTTGACACTTTCACAGCTAATACATTTTTTTAATGAGATTAAAATAGTAAATCTTCCCTTCATTACATTAAAACACTTCAGGATTTTCAAAAATAAAACTCATTTTTAGAAGTTATTGAACATTTTAAACAGTTTTGTTGCTAACTCTGTGTGTATATATGTGTGTGACAGAGATTGTGGATGTTGTGTGTGTATTAAGTATGAGTAAATCACAGACTGTTGAGTTAGGCAAAACTTATTAATTCATTCTCAACTCATTTAGCCATCAAAATTTTATTTTGTCTTTGTGTCTAACTGAGCATTGAATAAAATCGCAGCTAATTTCAAATTCCCTTTGTCATCATGGTTTTCAGCCAAAAGTCTATAATAAATGGTCAGAAGATGAGCTGAGACTGAATGAATAGTGAGTGGTATTCATCAGCCAAACATAGAGTCCAGATCCAATTATATGTATTCATTAAGTGATAATGATATCATGGTCTTTAACTAGGAAGAAAAGAGTGTAATTGAATAATAACAGTTGTACAATCCCAACGGAACACACTTTCCATCCCAGCCCAGCGACCCTCGGGGATGATGCAGGATTGATGGAATTCTATTACTCTTTGATAGATTTATTATGAAAGGCTGAGTGGACTTGCAGCACCACTTTGTCACTCACACTAATCAGTATCGTAAGGGCCCCGAGCGGGCAGGCTTTTGTATCCCTTTGACAAAGACAAGGTTAGGGGAGGATGACAGACACCCAGACCTTTACAAACCCATACTGCAAGATAAAATGGGCCAGCTGAGCTCTGAGCTGGGACAGAATTTTAATTTGTTTATCAATGGCTCTCACATGTGCAAGACCATAAGGATATTTGTCAGAGGAGTAACACTGAGGCTAAACTCTTTTGTTTGGCAAGTGGAGCTTGGAAAAATATGTATTGAACTGTAAAAAAAACAGGCTAAATGGGGGGAAAAAGGTAAACGTCTTAAGAGAAGGGAAATAACTTACATTACTATAGACGTGATCTGAGCCTAACAGTTTATTGTGATTTTGACTTTTAAAAAATGCTTTTAGTTATTGCTTTTTAAAAAAAGAGGTGTTTTAGGAGCAACAGAACAGTAATGGGATTTTTTTTTCATTTCAAATTCTCTGATTTCTAAAGGAAATCTAAAACCTATGAAGGGATGGGTGGGGTCATTTGTTAATGGGAAGATGGGTGTTAATTTGTTGCTTTTTGTTGTCTGTTACAACGTTGTATAACTTAGCAGCAAAAACAGCGGAATTTGCCAAACATGCTTTTTATATGTAAAAAGTACTTTTTGTAAATGCCAGGAGGGCTCTATCAGTAACAGCTTTTCACATTTAAATGCGGCTTGCTCTCCTGTGTCTGCGGTCAGAGCCCACTGGATTTAGGAAACTAGATAATTTGTTGTGCTACCGATCAGAGCAGGAACTGAGAAGGCAAGACTGGCATCCGCCAGGGCTGCTTAGCACAGTGGTTGCCAGGGTTTATGTTTTGGTTATTGTTGTTGAATGATCCTTATTTGTAATCTCTTTTTCTGCTTGAGATCCCCTTTTATTTTTCAGAATTGTGGCTTGCATTGTAAGAGGAGCCTGTGAATTCAGAGGCAAGTCTGCTGAGGACCGAATGTTCCTGTCCATAAAAACAGAAGTCTGGCCTGGGCTCCTCTCTTGGGTGAATTTGCAATGCCAGATCCTCTCTATCAGTTTGGTTTTGTTTCTTGTATCTCTGGGAAGGCAGGCAGACAGCACGGTCACCTGTGAATGCAGCTACAATTGGCTTAGCTGCCTCACTGATAAATGTGCCCCCAGTAAGCTACAAAGGGATTACCAGCGTTCTCAGCAGCTAAAGGTGAGTTTCAAGAACAGGAAGGATTGCTTCAAACTGTTCTCCTAGCATTTCATTTTAATATTTTGCGTGACAGAGCACAGAGCCGATGGATATGAACACATTTAACTCCAATGACCAATGTGGTGCAGTCTCTGAAAACATGGAGCCCGGTTCTGTGTCTTCTTTTGGATTCCATTTTCTCAATGTTGGACATTCTCCAAAAGGTCAGCCAGGAAAAGTCTCTGGATGCCAGACACCAGGCAGACCAGGCAGGCCAGCAGACTACTGGTGTTCATTCATTCCTCCTAGAGATGGGCACAAAGTAAAGGTTAATTCAGACCACTTGGCAAGTGCTTGCTTGTCCAGTGAAGTTTACAAACCAATTCATGCAGGTTGACCGCAAAACTCCATGTACCTTATTTGGTCTTTCACAATGTAACCCATCCAAACAAAATCAGACCTTGATTGAAGAATAACTATGGTTTACAGAATATTACATTGAAAACAGCAGAGGGTTGGAATTTAAATTATTAACATACTTTTAGGGCATTGTCTAATACATATTATGAAGACATTTACTTTTTTTTAATTGAGAGGAACTAGAAAGCTCATGTATTAGAAGGTACTGTGAAACCTATCTTCAGTAGCTTCTTTTAAATTCAGTTTTGAATCTTCCTGTGTTGAAATGTAAGCTGATCTAAAGTGTAATCTTAGATGGTCTCATCTGAGAGAAATGTTATAGAAAGGAGGTGGTATTTATAATAATAGTAGCTACTGTTTATCGATTGCTCTATGCCAAGTACTTTCTTTACTAGCATTATCTTATTTAATCCTCATAAAACCTGTGAGGCAGGCACTATTATTAGTCACATTTTATAGATAAGGGAAATGAAATTTAGAGAAGTGATATAACTTGGTCAAAGTCACATAGTGAGTAAAGGGCAGAATTAATATTTGGACTCTGGTCAGCTTCCAAAGCCTTTTGTACTTACGGGGGTAAGCAGAAACTTACCGCAGGCACAGCACTGCCTCCTCAAAGTATCTAGCTCTGTTCTGTCACGTGTAGGGTATGTATATAAAATCTTCTGTAAAAAGTCACTCAACTGCTCTGAGCTCAGTTTCCTCATCTTTAAAATAGAGATAATAATACCTCCTAGATAGGTTTATATGTGAAACTTTTATAAAAATAAAACCCTATATACAACCAGTTATTATTACCATGTTGAAAAAAGATGGTTTCAATTGAAGCAAGTAAACACAGTTGCCAAATAAATCTTTTAAAAACATCATTTTCTTAGTGACTTGATCCTTCTTAACACTCTATGGTGGCTCTCTGTTGTCTATCAGAAAAGGTCCAGACGCCTGAGCCTGGAAAGAAGCCTGGCCCACGTTCTATCCATTTACCCTGTGGCCTTACAGAGACAGAACCTTTGCAGAGCCTGCACTGTGCTTTTACTGTTCCCTTTCGTGGTTGGCTGAATATTGGCCTTCCAAAGATGTCTACATCTTAATCCCCAGAACCTAGGGAACCTGTGAATACATCACCTAACATAGGAAAAGGAACTTTGAGGATGTGGTTAAGGATCCTGAGATGGTAAGTTTATCCTAGGTTGTCTGAGTGGGCCCAATAGTAATAATAACAAGGGTCCTTTTAAGAGGGAGGCTGGAGAGTCAGAGGCAGTCGCAGAAGATGAGACTATGGAAGCAAGGAGTTGGAGTGATGGGAGGAAGGGGCCACAAGTCTGGGGATGTGAGTGGCCTCAGAAGCTGAAAGAGGTGAGGAAACAGATTATCCACTGAAGCCTGCAGAATGAACACAGCCCTGCTGATACTTTGATTTTAGGCTTCTAACTTCCAGAACTATCAGAGAATATATGTGTGTTGTTTTAAACCACTCATTTGGTGGTAGTTCATTACAGAAGCAGTGGGAAACAAATGCATTTTTCATGACATGATCGTTCCCAGTGCTGCTCTTGTGCTCAGGCTGTTTCCATCCCCTGAAATATTTTCCTTTCCCTTCCACTTTTCTAATCTTACTTTCATGCTCAAGTCTCACTTAAAACCTACAGCAGGTAAATTATTTACCATAGCACCAACAGACCACTTGACCATACCCTAACATGTGTTGCTCATTTATTCATTGATTTCTCAAATATTTGTTGATTACCTACCAGGTTCTTGGGACATAGCCTTCAAGAAGCCTATGGTCTAAGAAAGGAGGCAACAGGGACTTATTAATACAGCTATGAGAGAGGAGAATGTGGAAAGCTATGTGGAGAGAAACCTGACCTATCTGGGGTGGGCAGGGAAGGCTTCACGAAGGAGATGGTGGTTGGTAGGAGTTTTGAAGCTTCAGATCTCCAATTGTTTCATATTTCCAAAACAATTGGAGAAGAGTAGTAGAGTGGTTAAGAATACGGCTTGAGAATGAGCGCATCTGAATTCAGATCCAAGCTTTGCCACTCCTTGATCTGTTTCTCCCTCTGTAAAATAAGGATGACAGTAATGTTAGTATCTAACTCACAAATTATAATCCGTTTATAGGAATACCATTTACATAATAAACATTAAGTGCTTATTTGTTATTTCAATTTCTCAAGGGCAGCTACTGTTGTATCAGTCTCATTTTGCATTTATATAGTGCTGGACACATAAACTAGCTCATTGAGAGTATATCTACAGATATGTATACATTTTTTTTTTTTTTTGAAATGGAGTCTCGCTCTGTCACCCAGGCTGGAGTGCAGTGGTGCGATCTTGGCTCACTGCAACCTCTGCCTCCTGGGTTCAAGCGATTCTCCTGTCTCAGCCTCCTGAGTAGCCGGAACTACAGGTGCACGCCAGCACGCTTGGCTAATTTTTTTTTTTTTCTTCTATTTTTAGTGGAGATGAGGTTTCACCATATTAGTCGGGCTGGTCTCGAGCTCCTGACGTCAGGTGATCCACCGGCCTCGGCCTGCCAAGGTGCTGGGATTATAGGCTTTTGTATTTTCTGCAGGTTAGCATATTAGCATAATGCTCAGCATATAGCTGGTGCTTTATGAATGCTCACTGACTTGGCGTGGAGCACCAGAAAGTCCTATCTACAGTTGCACATTTGGAAAATGATAATGCTTATTTTCATGCTGTCTTCACTCAACCACCTTCTAGGTATTTGGGTTAGGGCAGTCTTTATTATAACAACAGAGCTCATGCTTAGGGTATTGCATAGAGGCACAGATGGGTTTACCATGAAGCTAAAGGCAGATTTACTGTGAATCTTATAAAATGTAACTCTTTCATGGGCCCCTTCCAAGGCCCTGTACCTAGTTTTGTGTTTGTAGTGTTGTATTCTTTTTTCTCAAAGAGAGCTCCTAGAATTATATAAGCTTCATGTCCCACAAGACCTTGATATCCTCCCACATGTTGGCTAAGCATATGAGCTTTGTAGACAGACTGCCTGGGTACAAAGCCAGTTCTACTAGTTATTAGCTGTGTGATCTTCTCTGTGCCTTAGTTTTCTTAGCTGGAAAATAGGGTTGACAGTAATGCTACCTTCTTCATAGGGTTGTTGAGAGGATCAAACACACTAATCTTAGTAAGCATACTCTAAGTGATAGCAGTTATTATTAATTATGTAGAGCCTTAGGAAGTGTCCAGGGCTTTTAAGGTAAGAGTAGCAGTTATGAGAGAAGGCCAGAGTAGAAGCTTCATGACAGCAGGAATCATTTTGTCTTCTTCACTTCTATCCCCAGAACCTTAAAAAGGTGAATGCATATTGTGCTCTTAACCACTATGCCAGAGGGCTGCACTTATTACATATTATTTTATGGTCTTATAAAATAAGATGTTTTTTCTCCAACTGGATTGTGATAATAGCAACTTACTTTTTTTTTTTTTTTTTTTGAGACAGAGTCTTGCTCTGTCCCCAGGCTGGAGTGCAATGGCGTGATCTTGGCTCATTGCAACCTCTGCCTCCCAGGTTCAGGCAATTCCCCTGCCTCAGCCTCCAGAGTAGCTGGGACTACAGGTGTGCACCACCACGCCTGGCTAATTTTTTGTATTCTAGTAGAGACAGGGTTTCACCATGTTGGCCAGGATGGTCTTGATCTCCTGACCTAGTGATCCGCCCGCCTCAGCCTCCCAAAGTGCTGGGATTACAGGTGTGAGCCACCGTGCCTGGCCAGCAGCTTACTTTTATATAATTCTAAATAGGATTATTATCAGGATTATTCTATACAAGATTATTATTTTATATAATTCTACATAAGATTATTCATTCTTCCAGTAAATATTTATGGCACATGGTAGGTACTCAGTAAGATAGCTTTTAATTAAATCTTGACTAATCTGTCCAAATGCAAAAAATTGAGCCCTAGTCTTTTCTAACTTTTAATTTCTTGGTAAAATCTACATAGGATAAATCTAAGGTAAATTTTGGCATGGTGAGAAATACATTAGCTACACAAATAGACAAATCAACACATCGAAGGCAGAAAGATAGCATCGTCATCCCCATCTTCACAGTTATTGATCATCTACTTTGCATAAGCACTTCTTATCTATGGTACAATGCTGTGGACTCAAAGCAGGGAAGACATAGGATACATGGTAGTATGGTAGAAAGACATTGATTTAGGGGTCAGGGAACCTTGGCTCTGCTCTAGCTTTGTCCTCTGACTACCCTTACAGCTTTGGGCAAATTGTTTAACCTCTCTGAGCCTCACTTTGCTTATCTGTAAAAAAACATTAATAGGCTGGGCCTGGTGGCTCACGCCTGTAATCCCAGCACTTTGGGAGGCCGAGGCGGGCGGATTGCCTGAAGTCAGGAGTTCAAGACCAGCCTGGCTAACATGGTGAAACCTCATCTCAACTAAAAACACAAAAAATAGCTGGGTGTGGTGGCGCACGCCTATAGTCCCAGCTACTGGGGAGGCTGAGGCAGAAGAATTGCTTGAACCCAGGAGGCGGAGGTTGCCGTAAGCCGAGATTGTGCCACTGCACTCCAGCCTGGGTGTCAGAGCAAGACTCTGTCTAAAAAAAAAAAAAACAAAAAGCATTAATATTATCCTCATTAGCTATCTTATAAGATTGTTGTATTAAATGATGCATTTTGTGAAAAAATGCTTTGTAATTTTTGTCTACCTAAGAACTACTGTAGCACTTGGGGTACACATAAATGCTAACTAAATGAATTAATCATAATACATAGAATTTTATAAATAAGTTATGATTATCACAATCTAAGGAGATCAGGCCAAAAAGCATGATAGAGAGTATAAAATAATATGTAATAAGTAAAAAATGTGGCATGGTGGTTAAGAATACAAAATATATTTCTTCAAACATAATATATTCCAATCTGACCATCTCTCACCACCATCCACCAGACTTTGCCTGGACTATTGCAATACGTTTCTAATAGGTCTCTTTGATTCCACTCTTGCCTTCCTACAGTTTATTTTTCACTTCACAGACAGCATAATCTCTCAAAAATGCACATCCTATCACGTTACTCCCTTACTTAAAATCCTCCAATGGCTTTCCATTTTACTGGCAATAAAATCCAAGCTTCTCTCTATGGCCCGCCCAGCCCTCTGTGACCTGGCTCCTGCCTACCTCGCTTCAGCTTTGCCTTTTGCCACATCCTCCTTGTTCACTGTGCTCCAGCTACCTTGGCCTTGCTGTTCTCTGAACAGACCAAGTATTTTCCTGCCTCAGGGCCTTTGCACTTTAGCTTCTTTCTGCCTGTTCTGCTCTTTCCCTACGTACTTGCATGACTCTCTCAACATTTAGATCTCAGCTCAAACGTCGCCTCCACAGATAGGGACTCCCTGGCCATCTGCCTAAGATTGCCTCCCCATAGTCCAATTTGACCACCTTCTGAAAATTATACAATTTGTTTGTTAATTTACTTATTTATTGTAATTGTTGCTTGTCTCCCTTTGATGAATAAAAGCATATGAAAGTCAGGGCATTATTTTCTCTTTATCTCAGCTTCTGTTTTTCTAGTCTTCATCGTAATGTTCTCCCTTTTCTTGCTCCTTTATGATTTTTACTTTACACTTTCTTCATTCCCATTTTCATTTACCACCTTATGGTTTAATTTGTTGTGGAGTTCATAGGGCCCTGAGGTCTTGGTCATTCTAAAAGGGCTGTGTGATTTTATACACAGGATTTCACATTCTGAAGGCCCCTGGCTCATTCAAAAACCCCATTGAAATAACAATTTTTTTTTGGCCAAAATTATACATGCCATACTAATTGGCTCATTCCTATCTTAGAATTCTACGAACACTGCCCATGGCAGACAGTGCTGCTTTGCCATGTAGGGGTTGTGTGTGTGCACTCATTTGGGAATGTGTGTAGGTATTGACGGTATTCTTGGAAGCAGACATGCCTACTCAGAGCACTTCACCTCTCCTCATACCCACATTGCCACATTTCTTTTATCCCAAATAACTAGAATGAAAATGTTTATTTTTATCTTAAATGAAAGAGGCTGCATCTCCTTGGCATAGCTCTCACTAAGTCCTGCCGATTTGCCTGCTTACCACTGATTGGCATGGCTACATCTTGGGTTCTGGGTTCAGCTGTTTTCTCTCTGTCATGGTTCATTTTTCTCCCTAATAGAATACAACATGCAGAAAACTCAGTTTCCTGTTTATATGTATTAAGTTTTTCCAGTGACTATTTAGGTATATCAAGCATCCTCATCTCTTCTCTATGCTCTCATGACTTCCTCTATGCCACACTTAACACATTGCTTTTTCTTGGTTGGTAAGTCATATACCCCTAGCATCTACCCACACTGCCCAGCCCAGAATAGGCTGTCAGTCATGTTTGTCAAATGAATGTTTTGTGTTTATTTTTTATTTTCCTTTTGAGTTTTGATTTCCTTCTGGTTTGGGCATCTACATGTCTATAGGTATAAGCAAGTATAGAGGGGGCATGTGTCACCCGGGCTTTCTGATAGAAGACCCTCCCCATAAGACAGATGTCTCTGACTATGCAGTGGAGCTTGCCCATGTAAACCTCTTGCATTGTTTGGAGTCTCTATCCCTTGCCAAGGATCTAACCACTCACAAGCAGACACATTGCTGTCCAAACAGATGGACAAGGGAGATAGGCAGGCCAAAGCCCATGGATGAACGTGAAATGAATTGGTGCAGAGAAGCCAAGGGTGTTGGAAATGAATGCTAGTCCTTGCTGTGCAGTTTCCAGCATAAGGATGGACCAGCATGGTTGAAGTTTTGACACTGAGCTGCTTGGTAACAAAGGAATAGGTAAAGTAAAAATGAGTTTGCAACGAAGTGGATGCTTTAACAGGTGGGTGAAAGGCCCCAAGAACACGCGTTAGCTCTAAAATTTTCAAGTCAGTTTAGCAGGTGAAGTTTATATCTTCAGCTGGATTTGTTCTGAGAATCCACATCTGGTCCAATCATCCATCAACATTCATTCACTCACTCAACAAATATTTATTGAGCATCTAACACATTCCAGACGCTGGTAGGCACCAGGTGGGATAAAAAAAAAAACTCACATGGTCTCTGCCCCTTAAAAACTTACATTCCATTATTAATTTCATAGTTAGTTATTTAATTAAAGTTATAAGCACTATGAAAGAGTATACAGGAGCTAAGGCAATATGTAATGGGGGGTTCTTAGTGTGGAGCATCTGAAAGGATGTCTCTGAGGAAGTGATATTTAGGTTGAAATGTGAGGTCAAAGCAGAAATGGGATGTTTAGCAAAGAACAAGAGAACATTCTTGGCATAAGGGAATAATATCTATAATGTCTCTTTAAAGTGGCAATTAGCCTATGTTTACACATCTCCTAAGAAGGAAAATTCTCTTCCTCCAGAGGCAACACTTGGATCACTCTGTTCTTAAGATCTTCTTTATTTCCAACCAAAATCTGTCTCTCTGAAGCTTCTGACAATTGGTCTCAAATATATACTTCTTGGGGTCTTGTAAAACAAGCCAAGACCCTCTTCTTGTGACAGTAGTGGGTTTCTTCATTAATTAATGCTCAATTAATGTGTTTTCTTTATCCATTAGGGTCCCACAGAGATTTGCTCAGTATATAGTTGCTTACTTGTGCATTTATGATTCAACATCCATCTATGTCCAGAAAGTATTAGGTCTGTTGAGTAGTAGCTATTAAATATGTGTGAATTAATGGAATCAACAGATGTATGAAATTTACCTTCTTAACAATCTTTCTTATGTAGGAACTGGTGAAGATTTCCCCAGCAAAAAGTAGAAGCTCAGTGTTTCATAGATGAAGACTGGGGAGATTGCAAAAGACCCATCCAGGTACTGATGCGGTCTTCTGGGACCAGGAACCCTACTCATGCCTCAAGCTACCTGTGATGAAAAGTCCATTGTCTGCCACCTGTCTGGTAGATCTGTCCTGAGGATTAATGAGATAATGTCTGGAGAGCCATGTGAAGCCTTTGGAAGGAGATTACAGATAAAAGTCTAGTTCCAGTGAATTAGGCTACTGATAAGAGTACTGAATAACAAAGCTGTGATCAGGCTTTTAAAACGTTATTTT